>NC_000007.14:100991627-101294657 GCF_000001405.40 Homo sapiens | reverse complement strand
CTGAAAGACCCTTTTCTGACACCCGACCTTCCCTTTCCACAACCCCTGGTGGGAACACAGTGAAACCGCCTTTGCAAATTATAACTAAGGAAATCGTAACAGCGAAACACATCAGACCTAACCAACCCCATCTTGCTTCTAACGTCTAAACTGTCCTCATCCATTCCTGGGTGTAGGCGGAACTAGCCTTGGGAAAGAATTTAGTTTGTAGTTTAAACTAAACATAATAGCCTTTCCCCAAAGCTAAATTGTTCTTGTAAAATGAAAGAAAGGCCACCAGCCATGAAGTTAGAATAAGAAGGGCTGGAATTCTAAGTATTACCAGCCGTTATTCTGGAGGTAGTAAGATTTGCAACTTCCCCAATCACTCTTGAAGGTGACATCACTATTGTGAACCTAAGATCGGCCTTTTGAGATGGCTATTCAGGTTTTTGCATTTCTATCAACCGGATGGCCCCACCTGGACTTGTCAACCAGATCTGTGGCCCCCACCCAGGGACTGACTCAGCAGAAGAGAACAGCTTCTGACTCCCTGTGATTTCAAACCCCAACCAACCAGCCAGCACTCCCCATTCACTGGTCCCCTACCCATCAAATTATCCTTAAAAACTCTGTAAAAGCTCACGCCTGTAATCCCAGCACTTTGGGAAGCTGAGGTGGGTGGATCATTTGAGGTCAGGAGTTCAAGACCAGCCTGGCCAATGTGGTGAAACTCTTTCTCTACTAAAAATACAAAAATTAGCTGGGCGTGGTGGTGGGTATCTGTAGTCCCAGCTACTAGGGAGGCTGAGATAGGAGAATCGCTTCAACCTGGGAGGTGGAGGTTGCAGTGAGCAGAGATTGCGCCACCGCACTCCAGCCTGGCCAACAGAGAGAGACTCTGTCTCAAAAGAAGAAAAAAAAAACACAGTCTGATCCCCGACTCAGGGAGACTGATTTGAGTAATAATAAAACTCCAGTCTCTGGCACAGCTGGCCCTGGGTGAATTATCTTTCTCTATTGCACTTCCCCTGTCTTGATCTCTGTCTAGGCTGCGGGCAAGGTGAACCCCTTGGGCAGTTACAATAGGAGGAAGGATGTTCCGAGGTGGCAGGTCTATGCAAACCTATCCCCAAAGTCCAAGGAAGCTGAGGGGCCCAAGGAAGAGTAGAACTGCCCAACGGGTTCACCTTGTCCGCTGCCTAGACAGAGCCGATTTATCAAGACAGGAGAATTGCCTTGGAAAATAATTCACACGGAGGCAGCTATGCTGGAGACCTGAGTTTTATTATTACTCAAATCAGTCTCCCTGAGCATTCGGGGATCAGGGTTTTTAAGTATAATTTGGTGTATGGGGGAAGGCCAGTGAGTCGAGTTTTGATTGGTTGAGTTGAAGATGAATTCCCAGCGAGTTGAAGCTGTCCTCTTGCGCTGAGTCAGTTCCTGGGTGGTGGGGCCACAAGATGGTTGAGCCAGTTTATCCATCTGGGTGGTGCCAGCTGATCCATCAAGTGCAGGGTCTGCAAAATATCTCAAGCACCAGGCTGGGCACGGTGGCTCACACCTGTAATCCCAGCACTTTGGCCAAGGTGGGCAGAGCACCTGAGGCAAAACCCTCCCTCTACTAAAAATACAAAAAATTAGCCAGGCATGGTGGTGGACGCCTATAAACCCAGCTACTTGGGAGGCTGAGGCAGGAGAATTGCTTGAACCCGGGAGGCAGAGGTTGCAGTAAGCTGAGATCACACCATTGCACTCCAGCCTGGGTGACAAGAGTGAAACTCTATCTCAAAAAAAAAAAAAAAAAAAAAATTTCAAGCACTGATTTTAGGAGTGGGTTAGGAAGGGTCAGAATTTTGTAGCCTCCAGCTGCATGACTCCTAAACCATAATTTCTAATCTTGTGGCTAATCTGTTAGTCATACAAAGGCAGTCTAGGGCAGGCACAGTGGCTAATGCCTGTATTCCCAGCACTTTGGGAGGCCGAGGCAGGAGGATCACCTGACGTCCAGGAGTTCAAGACCAGCCTGGCCAACATGGTGAAACCCCTTCTCTACTAAAAATACAAAAGTTAGCCGAGTGTAGTGATGGGCGCCTGTAATCCCAGCTACTCAGGAGGCTGAGGCAGGAGAATTGCTTGAACCCAGGAGGCAGAGGTTGCAGTGAGCTGCTATCGGGCCACTGTACTCCAGCTGGGATGACAGAGTGAGACTCTATCTCAAAAAAATAAAATCTCAGAGGCCTTCCCGGAACTAGGGTTAATGATAAGTCAACGTGGCGATCAGCATCCAAGATGGAGTTGCCTTCACCTCCACAAAAGGATTGAGGAATCTGCCCGGCCTGCCCCAGTCCCAGGAACTGCCACTTTGCCGCTGCTCCCACCACAGTCCTGGGAGCAGCACAGGACTGCTTCTTAACCCAATCCCTGGAGCCTTTGGCCTCAGAGTCTGCAATGCTGTGATTCCAGTCACTTTATTTTTCTACTAGTCTGTGCACCAGCTGTTTCCTCACTGGGTCTCGCTGTAGAAGAATCTACTTTTTACTGCATTTGGGGTCTTGCCTGAGGGGATCTGTACTGTGAGAGCCAGTGAAGCCAATCGGAGTGAGGCCACTGTGGCTGTGCTGTGCCCTGTCCTGCAGCAGCCACCTCCAACCCCACACAAAGCCCCTCCCTTACCTGCTTCCTCTGTGTTGGCTCTGCCTGGAAAGCATAGGCTCTAGGACTCAGCCCAAATATAGACCTCCCAGCCGGGTGCGGTGGCTCACGCCTGTAATCCCAGCACTTTGGGAGGCCAAGTCGGGCAGAGCCTTGAGGTCAGAAGTTGGAGACCAGCCTGGCCAACATGGCGAAACCCCATCCCTACTAAAAATACAAAAATTAGCCAGGCATGGTGGCAGGCACCTGTAATCCCAGCTACTCAGGAGGCTGAAGCAGGAGAATCGCTTGAACCCGGGAGGCAGAGGTTGCAGTGAGCTGAGATTGTGCCATTGCATTCCAGCCTGGGCAACAGAGCAAGACTCCCTCTAAAAAAAAAAAAAGACTGAGCCTCACTCTGTCACCCATGCTGCAATGCAGTGGCACCATCATAGCTGGGTTCCAGTGATCCTCCTGCCTCAGCCTTCTGTGTAACCGCAACTACAGGCACACGTCACCATGCCTGGCTAATTTTTTTTTTCTTTTGGGTAGGGGTGAGGTCTTGCTGCCATGCCCAGGCTGGTCTAGAATCCCTGGCCCCAAAAGATCCTCCCACGTCAGCTTCCCAAAGCGCTAGGATTACAGGTGTGAGCCACTGAGCCTGACCCAAGCTCTCCTTTTAAATTAAATAACCCAATAACCCATTTTGTGACTTTTTTTTTTTTTTTTTTGAGACGGAGTCTCGCTCTGTCACCAGGCTGGAGGGCAGTGGCGCGATCTCGGCTCACTGCCACCTCCGCTTCCCGGGTTCAAACGATTCTCCTGCCTCAGCTTCCGGAGTAGCTCAGATTATAAGCACACGCCACGAAACCCAGCTAATTTTTGTATTTTTAGTAGAGACGGGGTTTCACCATATTGGCTAGGCTAGTCTCGAACTCCTGACCTTGTGATCCGCCCACCTCAGCCTCCCAAAGTGCTGGGATTAGAGGCTTAAGCCACCGCGCCTGGCTTTGTGACTTTTTTTTAAGTCAGCACCTTCAATGGGTACTTCATTCCAATCTACCACAACAGATACCTCAGCCAACTGTTGAAGTTATCACTGCACACCAGGCCTGCCAGGATCCCCCAAGACCCCTGTGTTTTCACTGCGTTCAGCCCCAATCTGGCCCCGTAACCAATCTCAGCTTCCCAGCCCTCCATTTCCCTGAGTAACTACTGCCTGGAAACAATCCTTGTACCAATCTCCGCATCCGCCAGGAGCATTTGTTACTAGAAACGTCATGCAGTTCTGACGCAGTTCTGACCTTAAGCAGAAAATAAACGTATTTATTGGTTAGCTCTCAGAATCCACAGAAAGGATGGAGAACCCAGGCTCAGAATTCCAGAGGAGCGCAACAGTCAAAATCACACCAGCAACCGGCCTGGTAAACACACAGAAGCTGCCAGCAGGGGGCAGCAGAGGCCACAGCACGGGATCTACAACATCCCGGGGGACTGAAGCTCAAGACGCCCCCCGCAGCTACTGCAGCCCCACTGCCCCGGGAGCTGGCAGTTGCAACCCCTGCCAAGACCACCAGAAAACATTGTCCACTGTGCCCCCCTCTTTGTTTCCCTAACACTTGACCCGATATCCAAGGCAGTAGCTTCGGCTTGCTGAGCATAAACCCTGTGCACACCTGCTCCTTCTATTGCCAGGGAGGCTGCAAAAGGAGGATGCGGCTATTTCTGCTTCCATCATGGAAGGCTGGGATTCCACAGGCACCTAAAGGAAAGAGGGAGAGATGGGAATGGGAATGTCCTCCAGACAGCTCTGGCAGGATCGGGTGTGGGAGGAGAGTGAGGGTCCCACCCCAGCTGGGGTCTACCCAGGTCCACGTCCTGGACATGTTGAGGCTTTTTCCAGAAGGCAGAGATGAAGTGTGGTCTGACAACACCCAAGTGACCCCAGAGGGTGTCATAATAGACTGGAAGGGCGACACATCCCAGGCACCTGCCACCCATCACACACACCTCCCACACACTGGCATCCTTCCGCCCCAGGCACACACAAAGCCTCAGTCCAGAGATCAACTGTCTCAGCTCTGAATTTGCATATCCTGTGTATAGACTCACTGGTCACAATCTCTGCCCAGCCTGGCTTGTGCATACTTCTTTCTTACTGTCAGGGGAGGAGCCCGGCCTGGTACTCCCATTGGCCTGTAGATTCACCTCCCCTGGGCATGGCCCCAGGACCCAGGATAATACCTGTGCCTCCGGCCCAGAACCCTCCAAGCAGACACAATGGTAAGAATGGTGCCTGTCCTGCTGTCTCTGCTGCACCTTCTGGGTCCTGCTATCCCCCAGGAGACCCAAGATGGTGAGTAGGGAAAGCAAAGGATGGATGCTGGAGAGGACTGGAAGGAGGTGAGGAACAGGACATATGGCTGGGAGAAGGGCTGGATGCAGCTGGGATTCCCTGGTATACGGCAGGAACGGGTGCCCAAGGCTGTCAACTCCCTCAGCTCACACACTTCCAGGAGCATTCAGGGAGCCTCTGCCCTCACCCAAAATAAGACCTTCAGGAATCTGAATCTAAAACCCCTTAGTTTACGTGAAAACAAAGACTCCAAAGACCAAGCGACCTGCTTGGGGTGGAGAGCCAGGACGGAGCAGGAACCACATGCCTGGAGCTGCTTCTGCTCCTGTTCCTTCCCTCCTTCCGATGGCTGGGTACACCTGCCTGACGCTGAGGGAAAGAGAGAGCAGCCCCAAGGGGAAAGTGGGAAGGGAGGTCGGCTGGAGGGATGGTGCTAGAAGGAAACCCGTGCCCAAATCCCACACTCAGACACCACTGCAGTGGGTCTGGAAGGCTAGTGGCCCGAAAAGAAGACAGTGGGAGCTTGGGGAGATCAAGAGTCACTTCTAGGATAGGGGAAGGAGGCTGTGGCATGAGAATGTGCAGGATAAAGACATGGAAGCGAATGGCTTCTCAGTTGTGTGAGTTAAAAATTTATGACATTTACAAGTTGTCAGAATAGGTGTTTCATGTTAGTTTTATAATAATCACATTTACAATATTAATCCCATTCTGCACCAAAATCTTAATTATTCGGGGTTCTCCAGAGAAACAAAACTAATATACATTGTATACACATGCATATATGTATATATGAATATACACTGTGTATATACACTAATTATATACGTGTGTGTGTATACAAAAGAGAGAAAGGGAGGAGTTTTATTTAATATTTCTTGTGGCTCATACAATTCTGAGGGCTAAAAGTCCTAAATCAGCAAAGCAAGCCAGCAGGCTGGAGACCCAGGAAAGAGTTGGTGTTGCGGTCCTGAGTCCAAGGGTAGTCTGGAAGCAAAATTCTTTCTTCTCTGGGGGACCTCAGCCTTTTCTCTTGATGCCTTCCACTGATTAGATGAGGCTCACCCACACTGTAGAGGGTAATCTGTTTTACTCAGGGTCTACTGATTTAAAAGCTAATCACATTCAGAAATTCATGAGCAAGAATGACTTCAGTACTTAAATTAGAAATCTGCCATATGACCTCCAACGTTACTAACACTCGTGTAAATTATATTCTAAATTAACTATGGAACTAATTGTGGAAATGTCCCACTCTCTCAACTTCCATCTTGTACCAAACTGCAAGGTACAATGCCAGGAATTCCGAGAGGTCTCCTAGCCTTACCCTATGCTGATCCATTCTAGGTCACTTCTTGAGTTTTCTAGTAAATCCACCTCCCTACACTTTCTAACTATATGTATTTGTCCGGTTAGACTAGAAATGTTTATTTCTCATGTTAAGTTCAATGCAGATTGGGCAAGGTTCCTCTCCTCCACAGGGTGACTCAGGGATCCGGGCTGTTTGCATCTTGGGACTCTTCTGTTTCATCCTGTGGTCTCCATAGTCATCAACAAAAGGGATAAGAGACAGTAGGGGAAAGCCAGGTGGTAGGGTCTTGGACCAGAAGAAAGACATCAGTCACTTCCAGTCACATTCTTGTTTGACAAAGCTCAGTCGTATGGTTCCAATCTATCTATAAGGAGGCTGAGAAATGTTATCTTCTTCTGTGCCAAGCAGATTAACTTCTGTAGTGAAGACACAGAATGGTCTCTGAAATATCATCCCCAGCATGAAAGTAGAGCCTGTTTCCTTGAGTGAGGCTCCAATGGTGTGAAGCTGATGGCAGAGGAGAGAGCTGGGGAGGAAGAGGCCAGTGGCCAGGCCTCCCCTCCTGGCCCTCTGCAGCCCCACAATGGGACACCCTTGCATGGACCCCAGCCCTCAGAGTCTTTTCTTTTGCAGGTCATTACTCTCTGACCTATCTCTACACTGGGCTGTCCAGGCCTGGCAAAGGCACCCACAGGCTGCAGGGTACTGTCTTCCTCAATGGCCGTGCCTTCTTCCACTACAACAGTGAAGACAGGAAGCCTGAGCCCCTGGGACCATGGAGACACGTGGAAGGAGTAGAGGACTGGGAGAAGCAGAGCCAAGTTCAGAAGGCCAGGGAGGACATCTTTATGGAGACCCTGAACAACATCATGGAGTATTACAATGACAGTAACGGTCAGTGAACAACAGACCGCGGGGGTGGAAGGTCTAACCCAAGAGGCAGCCCCCCAAGTGTGAGTGGCAAGGGGTCAGCAGGATGGAAATAGTCCCAATCCCAGAGGAGGAACAGGAGACACAGCAGAAACACAGATATGTCCGCATCCCGCCCACCCCACAGCACAGTGCTCCCCACTTCCCCATCGATTGCCCCATCCTCATCCCAGGCCTCAGCTCACACAGGAAGTGATGGCAGAGTCACTTCCTATCCAGGCACCTCTGACCTATCACCTCCACACCCCACCCGTCGGAGGCTGATCTCCCCACGAGAAGGCATCAGACTCACCCCTGTCCAGGGAGGGTGCCTGGAGAGTGAGCCACTCTCAAAGTCACTCAGACCTGGGCTCACCTGGTGGCTCTGCCAGTCCTACCTGTTGACAGTGAAATGTTCCCAAAATATCTGGTCAAAATCTGCAAACATTGGAGCACTGAGACCTACCTCCAAACAAGTCTGTAATATTTAACTATGTCTGTTCTATGAAGGATGTCACAGTCTGTCCTGATCTCCCTTGCAGCCCCATCACCTAGGACAGGGTACAGCCAATATTGGCTCAATTGAAATTTGTGGAATGAACAGAGAAAAGCACGCAGCACACACCGTAGCCCATGCTGGGGGCTCAGGAAGTGCTGCATTCAAAACCACAGGCTGTTAGAGATCCCTGCAGCCCTAAAGTTCCTCCTCACCATAAGATGCAGACCCAGGAAGGGCCACCTGCACTGTGGTCGGAGGAGCTGGTGGCAGACCCCGTGCAGAGATGGTCCCCCTGCCCCCGGCCCAGCGTTCTTTCTCCTAAACCACACTGCCAGCCCCAAGGCAGCCAACCCCAGGCCTGGTGAACTGCTGGTGTTAAATTATCATGGAGTGGGTGTCAAAAGATGGGCTTCTAAGTACAAAAATGCCCAAGGTGCTACATGGGATCTGAAGGTTTCCCAAAGGAGGCAAGAGATAAGCAGACATTTGAAGGATGAGGGATAGGAGGTCTTGGTAAGGAAAATGGCCCGGGGTGCGTGTCAGCAGTAGGAGAGGAGGGGGCACAAGTGATCAGGAAAGACACTGGGAGAAGCTTTGATGGACAGGAATAGAAATGGCAAAGTGGATAATTACGAGGAAGGAGGATGAAGAGATGAATACAGGGTATTAGGAAATAAGAGTAGCTGACATTTACTGAGCACTTACTTTGTGCCAGGCCCATCTATGAGCATATATAATGCTCCAGAATAGCCCCCTGAAACCGTGCTGTTCGCATTGCTGTTTCAGAGCTGAGGAAATAGAGGCCCAGGGAGGTGACTGGCTCCAGTTCATGCAACACACCAGGTGGGGGTGGGGAGAAACCTGGGATGTGAGCCCAGACAGCTTGAGAGCTTTCAGAGTCTATGCCAACAGCACCAACCAGTGCTGGGTAAACACCTGCTTTTATCATCAGAACAAAGAGGCTGTGTCCCCTGCCCTATGAGGTCCATTTCTGAGAGTTGTGGCTAATGGGCAAGAAGTTTGGGAATTTAGAGATTTGGGATAAAGATATCAAACACCAGAAAGGAAGAAAGAAGTGATCAGGTCGGGCACGGTGGCTGATGCTTGTAATCCCAGCACTTTGGAAGGCCAAGTGACCTCGGATCACCTGAGGTCAGGAGTTCGAGACCAGCCTGGCCAACATGGTAAAACCCCGTCTTTACTAAAAATACAAAAATGAGCCGGGCATGGTGGCACGTGCCTGTAATCCCAGCTACTCGGGAGGCTGAGGCAGGAGAATCACTTGAACCTGGGAGGCGGAGGTTGCTCCAGCCTGGGCAACAGAGCAAGACTGTCTCACAAAAAAAAAAAAAAAAAAAAAAAAAAATAGACCTCTAGATCGCCCAGAACTGGAGGTCAGGCCCACCAGTGTGACCAGGTCAGAGGGCTTTGACTTTGAGGGGAAGGGGAGCACGTGAGAAAAAGGCCTAGGGGCAGGGACTGCCAAGGTCATGGCCGAGAGAGGCCACATATGTGTGAGCTGAAGGGACACGAAGGATGTGTCTGGAGAGGCACACGGGGAGGGTGTCCTTCGGGAAGCCTGGCGTGGTGTTGTCACCACCAGGTTTGGAAGAGTGCGGGAGATGGCTAGGCAGCGGCTCCTCACCAGGACCTGCCTCCACCTTAGTCCCCTCTCGGGCCACTTGTCTGTCACTTCTGCTCTTTTTTCTTTTTCTTTTCTTTTTCTTTCTTTCTTTTTTTCTTTTTTTTTTTTTGAGACATGGATCTGGCTATGTTGTCCATGCTGGTCTCAAACTCCTGGCCTCACAACATCTTCCCCACTCGGCCTCCCAAAGTGCTGAGACTACAAGCATGAGCCACCATGCCTGGTCTCTTTTCTTTCTTTCTTTCTTTCTTTTTTTTGGGGGGCGGGGGTTGGGGGGGGAGTTTCGCTCTTGTTGCCCAAGCTGAAGTGCAATGGGGCAATCGGCTCACCACAACCTCTGCCTCCTGGGTTCAAGTGGTTCTCCTGCCTCAGCCTCCGGAATAGCTGGGATTACAGGCATGTGCCACCATGCCCGGCTAATTTTGTACTTTTAGTAGAGACTGGGTTTCTCCATGTTGGTCAGGCTGGTCTCGAACTCCTGATCTCAGGTGATCTGCCCGCCTCGACCTCCCAAAGTGCTGGGATTACAGGCCTGAGCCACCGCGCCCAGCCAAATTTTTTTTTTTTTTTTGAGCAGTCTTGCTCTGTTGCCCAGGCTGGAGTGCAATGGCGCGATCTCGGCTCACTGCAACCTCTGCCTCCCGGGTTCAAGCAATTCTTCTGCCTTAGCCTCTAAATAGCTGGGATTATAGGCGCGCGCCACCAAGCCTGACTCATTTTTGTATTTTTAGTAGAGAGATGGGATTTCATCATGTTGTTCAGGCTGGTCTCAAACTCCTGACCTCGTGATGCACCCGCCTCGGCCTCCCAAGGTGCTGAGATTACAGGCGTGAGCCACCGCACCTGGCCTCTTTTCTTTTTTTTTTTTTTCTTTATTTTATTCTTTATTTTATTTATTTATTTTGAGACGAAGTCTCGCTCTGTCGCGCAGGCTGGAGTGCAGTGGCGCCATCTCGGCTCACTGCAAGCTCTGCCTCCCGGGTTCACGCCATTCTCCTGCCTCAGCCTCCCAAGTAGCTGGGACTACAGGCGCCCGCCCCGACGCCCAGCTAAATTTTTTTCTATTTTTATTAGAGACAGGGTTTCACTGTGTTAGCCAGGATGGTCTCGATTTGCTGACCTCGTGATCCATCCGCCTCATCCTCCCAAAGTGCTGGGATTACAGGCGTGAGCCACCGCACCCGGCCTTTCTTTTTTTTTAAATCATAATACATTTTTTGTCTTATCAACAAAAGTCAGGCATGAAATAGAACATTTTGAAATACATATAAAGAAAGTGAAAAAAATTAGTCACATATTCTTGAAAGAATTTCTGGTAACGTTTCAGTGTCTTTCTAGCATTTTTTTCTAAGTATACATACATGGAGATTTTCCCCATTAATCAGAATTTTTTTTTTTTTTTTTTTTTTTTTTTTTTTTTTGAGATGGAGTCTATGGAGAGGCTGGAGTGCAATGGTGCGATCTCAGGTCACTGCAACCTCTGCCTCCCGGGTTCGAGCAATTCTCCTGCCTCAGCCTCTAGAGTAGCTGGGATTACAGGCGCCCGCCACCACACCCGGCTAATTTTTGTATTTTTAGTAGAGACGGGGTTTCACCATATTGGCCAGGCTGCTCTCGAACTCTTGACATCAAATGATCCGCCCGCCACGGACTCCCAAAGTGCTGGGATTACAGGCGTGAGCCACCGCACCCGGCCTAAAACAGATTTTTCTTTTTCTTTTTTTTTGAGACGGAGTCTCGCTCTGTCGCCCAGGCTGCAGTGCAGTGGCGCAGTCTCGGCTCGCTGCAAACTCTGCCTCCCGGGTACACGCCATTCTCCTGCCTCAGCCTCCCGAGTAGCTGGGACTACAGGCGCCCGCCACCACGCCCGGCTAATTTTTTGTATTTTTAGTAAAAACGGGGTTTCACCGTGTTAGCCAGGATGGTCTCGATCTCCTGACCTTGTGATCCGCCCGCCTCGGCCTCCCAAAGTGCTGGGATTTCAGGCATGAGCCACCGCGCCCAGCAATCAGATCTTTCTTAAAAAGAAGTGGGAAATCTCGTGGGGTTCACAACGTAGATGCAGCCCCTGGCCTATACCTTGGGGTTTTCAGGATGAGAACCTGGAGGAGGTCTCTAGCCTTTCTCTTCAGCGGCAATACCGCTCTCGACCACAAGAGGGGGATGTGTGCTTAAGAACGTTGGCCCCAAAGCTGGAAACCGCAGCTCTGGCACCTGGTGCTGGCAGCTCCCACTCGGATCACCCTTAGTCGCTCCTAGCTTTCCTGCTCACTGCTCAGTGCGCCTCTTGGAAACCTTGGTTCATGAGGGAAAAAAGACAGAACTCACATGCTCACTCTTGCATCGTTCTGCCCGAATTTGGCAAATCTCTGGACAGCTCTGCCCTTGTGTTGCAGCCTCCAGCTTCACAGGCCATCGCCCCCAGCCTCACACTCTTCACCAATATCCCATCATTGCCCAGGACCCATAAGGCCTGTCGGGCCCAGGATGCCCTGGTCCAGCTTCCAGCCTCCTTCCCTGCCGCCTGCCACCCCACAGCCTCTGTTTTTGGACAGCAGTGGGCTTATGTCAGCTGCGATTACGATCACTCACCTCTGCCACCCACAGACCTTCCTGCGTACAGCTTTTTCTTTTGTTTTTTTGTTTTGTTTTTGTTTTGAGATGGAGTCTTGCTCTGTTGCCCAGGCTGGAGTGCAATGGTGTAATCTCGCCTCACTGCAACCTCTGCCTCCTGGGTTCAAGCGATTCTCGTGCCTCAGCCAAGTAGCTGGGATTACAGGCACCCACCACCATGCCTGGCTGATTGTTTTTTTGTTTGTTTGTTTGTTTTGGAGACAGATTCTCGCCCTGTCGCCAGGCTGGAGTGCAGTGCAGTGGTGCGATCTCAGCTCACTGCAACCTCCGCCTCCCAGGTTCAAGCGATTCTCCTGCCTCAGCTTCCCGAGTATTTGGGACTACAGGCATGCGCCACCATGCCCAACTAATTTTTGTATTTTTAGTAGAGATGGGGTTTCACCACCTTGGCCAGGCTGGTCGCGAACTCCTGACCTCAGGTGATACACCAGCCTCCACCTCCCAAAGTGCTGGGATTACAGGCGTGAGCCGTCGCGCCCGGCCAGAATTTGGCGAACCTTTGGACAGCTCTCCCCTTGTGTTGCAGCCTCGGGCTTCACGGGTCATCACCCCCAGCTTCACACCCTTCACCGGTTTCCCATCATTGCCTAGGACCCAGTCTGAACTCCTTATAAGGCCTGTTGGGCCCCGGATGCCCTGGTCTCGCTTCCGGCCTTTTTCCTTGCCACCCGCCACCCCACATACTGTTACCAGACAGCACTGGGCTCATGTCAGCTGCGTTTGCGATCACTCAGCTCTGCCACCAGCAGACCCTCCTGCATGCACCTTTCCAGAAGGCTCTTCCCAGCATTTTCTTTCTTTCTTTCTTTCTCTTTCTTTCTTTCTTTCTTTCTTTCTTTCTTTCTTTCTTTCTTTCTTTCTTTCTTCCTTCCTTCCTTCCTTCCTTCCTTCCTTCCTTCCTTTCTTCCTTCCTTCCTTCTTTCCTTTTTTCTTTTCTTTTCTTTTCTCTTAAAAAAAATGGAGTCTCACTCTGTGGCCCAGGCTGAAGGGCAGAGTGGCACAATCTCTGCTCACTGCAACCTCTGCCTCCCAGGTTCAAGCGATTCTCCTGCCTCAGCCTCCTGAGTAGCTGGTACTACAGGTGTGCGCCACCACACCCAGCTAATTTTTGTATTTTTAGTGAAGACGGGGTTTCACCATGTTGGCCAGGATTGTCTCGATCTCGATCTCATGATCTGCCCGCCTCGGCCTTCCAAAGTGCTGGGATTACAGGCATGAGCCACCCCACCTGGCCTTCCCAGCCTTTCATAAGGAGTTATCTCTTCCCAGAAGTCTCCCTCCACGCTGCGAGTCTGTGTTATGTCATTCTCTGAGCTTCCATGGGGCCCAATGAGCCCCTGTCACACCACTTAGCGTGCTGGAGTGCCTGCCTGCCTTCTCAGATGGAAGCCCCATGAGGGTAAGCACGTGTCAGCCTCACGCATGCATATCCCCAGCACCTCGACGCTGTGCTTGGCACCCCATAGGGCTCAGTAAGGATTTTACTAAATATGGCCAGGTACAGTGGCTCACACCTGTAATCTCAGCACTTTGGGAGGCCATGGTGGGAGGATCGCTTGAGGCCAGAAGTTTGAGACCAGCCTGGGCAACATAGTGAGACCCCATCTCTTCAAAATATTAAAAACTTAGCTAAGTGTGGTGGCGTGGCCTGTAGTCCTAGCTACTCAGGAGGCCAAGGGTGGGACAGTCGCTTGAACCCAGGAGCTCAAGGGTGCAGTGAGCTATGATTGTGCCACTGTACTCCAGCCAGGCTGACAGAACGAGATCCTGTTGCTGCAAAAAACTGACTAAATGTGTGAATGAAGGAATGAATGTGTTCACTGTTCCCTGAGGAGGGTCTGCAAAAGCCAGTACATGTCCTTCCACCCCCTTTCCTCCCTGTTCACTGGGTGCCTCTCATTGTCTCCCAAGCCTCTGCAGACACATCCCAGGGAACAGTGCTGCTGAAGGACTAGTTCTGTTCCTTGTGATGGTGGAAAGAAATGGGATTTGGGCCAGGCACGGTGGCACACACCTGTAATCCTAACACTTTAGGAGGCTGAGGCAGGAGGATTGCTTGAGGCCAGGAGTTTGAGGCCAGCCTGGGAAACATAGTAAGACCCCCATCTCTACAAAAAACAAAGATTAGCCAGGTGTGGTGGTGCATGCCTGTAATCCCAGCTGCTCGGGAAGCTGAGGCAGGAGGATAGCTTGAACCCAGAAGGTTGAAGCTGCAGTGAGCCGTGATCACGCCAGTGCACTCCAGCCTGGGTGACAGAGTGAGACCCTGTCTCTAAAAAATTAAAAAAAAAAAAGAGGCCAGGCACAGTGGCTCATGCCTGTAATCCCAGCACTTTGGGAGGCCGAAGCGGGTGGATCATGAGGGTCAGGAGTTTGAGACCAGCCTGGACAATATGGTGAAACCCGTCTCTACTAAAAATACAAAAATTAGCCAGGCTTGGTGGCACACACCTGTAAGCCAAGCTACTTGGGAGGCTGAGGCAGGAGAATCCTTCAACCCAGGAGGCGGAGGTTGCAGTGAGCCAAGATCACGCCACTGCACTCCAGCCTGGGTGACAGAGCAAGACTCCATCTCAGAAAAAAATAAAAATTAAAAATAAATAAATAAATAAGAGAAATGGGATTTGGAGTGAGGCCAACCCAGTCTCAGTACCGACTCTACCACTTACCAGCTGTACATGTGCCTTATTTTCTCCATTTGCAAAGTGCAGAAAACAGGACCAAGCTTGCAGGGTTGCTGTGAGACATCGCCTGCCAGCCTGACACGTGGTAGGCAGTCATTAGATCAGGGTCTTCCTCCCTCTTTCCCAGAGCCCCCACCTAAGCTCCCTCCCCTCTGGAACCTTGGGACACACACACACCTGTAATCTGAAATAGCAGCTGCTACTTCCCTGACCCTCCTCTGACCCCCAAGGTTGCCCTGTCCTCTATCCCCCCACAGAGTAGTGCCAGGCACAGAACAGATGCTCCAAAGATATGAAAAGAATGAAGGAATGAACGAAGCAGCCACCACCACAGTTTCTCATGGGGCGTGTTCCCCAGAGGCCACGAGCCTCTTTTTTTTTTTTTTTGAGACAGATTCTCACTCTGTCACCCAGGCTGGAGTGCAGTGGTGTGATCTCGGCTCACTGCAACCTCCGCCTCTGCCTCCTGGGTTCAAGTGATTCTCCTGCTTCAGCCTCCCAAGTATCTGGGACTACAGGCACACACCACCATGCATGGCTAATTTTTGTATTTTTAGTAGAGACGGGGTTTCAACATGTTGGCCAGGCTGGTCTGGAACACCTGGCCTCAGGTGATCTGCCCGCCTCAGCCTCCCAAAATGCTGGATTACAGGCGTGAGCCACGGCGCCTGGCCTGGGCCTGGATTCTTGTACATGGCATTAGGGCACCCCTGTGAGTTGCCCCAAGGATCACATGTGCACGACTGTGTCATCTGAGCAAACTCCCCCAAAGGGTGTCTGCATTCCCCACAGCCATTGCTGGTGCTAACAGGACAAGTTCCAAAAAAGAAAAGCTTTTAAAAATGTTTTATTGATTTATGTTTGATTTTTGGTAGAGATGGGGTCTTGCTATGTTGCCCAGGCTTGTCTTGAACTCCTGGCCTCAAGTGATTCCCCTGCCCCGCCGCACCTCAGCCTCCCAAAGTTCTGGGATTACAGGTGCGAGCCACAGTGCCCAGCCTGAAATCACTTTCTAAATTTGCCCTTTTCATCATGTTTTCCTCTTGTAACCGTTTTATGTCACGTGTACCCTGAGGCCCCCTGACAGCCCCCCTTGGGTCCCCTCTGCAGCCTCTTGTGTTATATGTGATCGGAGCACCCCCAGAGCTTCGTCATCCGTGACGAGCACCCGCCCTCTCTCCAGTGGGAATCATCAGCTGATGAATAAGGGCTGATTTCTTCTCAAATGATCACCACCCCCAATTCATTACATTCCAAAGACTGAGCTCAGAATGGCTTATCTGATGCTTGGTGCGGTTGTGCTTTTTTGGAACGCCGTTCATTGAGGACGCAGGTTCTCTCCCGTGTGATGCTCTTGGGCGCAAGCTGTGACGTGGGTTCCACGCTATTCTGTGCCACGTCCTCCCCTGTGATTTTCGCATCTCCGATAACTGCTTGCCTCCGTCTGAGGATTTTCCTCCGCTGGTGCCATTCATTGGGAGTCTCTCTAGTATGAATTATGAGATGAATGGAAATTTTCCCTCATTCATAATATTCAAAGCTTTCCTCTGCCCTGTGAATTCTTTGATATTCTTCCAGAATCCTGACCAAATATTTTGCCATGTGTATCGGGCCAGTAGAGTTTAGGCTTAGAGTCTGCAATTTCCCCAAAGTGGTAACTTTCTTTTTTTTTAAGAGATGGGGTCTTGCTCTGTTGCCCAGGCTGGAATGCAGTGGCATGATTATAATTCACTGCAGCCTTGACCTCCTGGGCTCAAGTGATCCTCCCATCTCAGCTTCCTGAGTAGCTGGGACTACAGGCACACATCACCATACCTGGCTAATTTTTTTTTTTTTTTGAGACGGAGTCTTGCTCTGTCTCCCAGGCTGGAGTGCAGTGGCATGAACTCGGCTCACTACAACCTCCACCTCCCGGGTTCAAGCGATTCTCCTCCTGCCTCAGCCTCCCAAGTAGCTGGGACTACAGGTGCGTACCACTATGCCCAGGTAATTTTTTGTATGTTTAGTAGAGATGGGGTTTCACCATGTTAGCCAGGATGGTCTCGATCTCCTGACCTCAAGATCCGCCCGCCTTGGCCTCCCAAAATGCTGGGATTACAGGTGTCAGCCACCGCGCCCGGCCCCATTGAGGAATTTTAAAATTCCATTTGCTGGAAGAACCAGCCCGTTTTCTGTCTGTTACATGGCTATCTTGAAATAGTCCTGCCTGGAATTGCTTGAACCTGGGAGATGGAGGTTGCAGTGAGCTGAGATCGTGCCACTGCACTCCAGCCTGGGTGATAGAGCGAGACTCCGTCTCAAAAAAAAAAAAAAAAGAAAGAAAGGAAAAAGAATAAGAAAGAAATAGTCCTACCTCCACAGTCCCTTCTTCAGCCTGTCAAAGCCAAAAAGTTTCCCAAGATCCTAAGTCTAGTAGGCAAGAAACACTTCCAATCCCTATTAAAGCCATGTTCATGAGGGAACTCAAGTTTTCTACCCACAGGCACTGGAATTTCTGCTGTGGGAACTGGGGGACGTTCTCGAGCCATGGAAGCCTTGAGGCCGTTCGGACTCAAGAATGTGATGATGCCCTCAGTTTCGTGAGTCTTGTATTCTGGTTTATTTCTGCTCCACTATGTCTGAGGCCTCCTGTTCTCGCAGCAGCTATTGGGGCTGAAATGTCCAAAGTGGCTTTTGCAGTCACGTGACTGGTGCCTCATGTTCTTCCACTTGGTCTCTCTTCCCGACAGAGCAGCCTTGTTGTCTAGTACAGTTATTGGGCTCTGAGAACCCTCTATGGATGCCCTAGGCCATTGCACCATCACCTGTGCTACCCCTGGCCCCTCCATGGAAACCGCTGCCCAGGCAGCTGTGTGACACCATGTGACCCTGCCTCTCTTCCACCCACCAAGTCCCCAAATATACAGTTCACTGGACCAGGATCCCATATAGGCTGGCCAATGATTTTTGAAGTCATCTGGCTCAAAAATTTAGGGAAGTCACCCAGGCCAGCCAATTCCCTTTTGGAAACTGGGGCGGAAAAAGCAGACAGTAGAATTAGTAAGCCACAAGATGTCCTGAGGGCAAGTAGGGCCTGGTCGGACCAGTGTGCTGGCCGAAATTACACTGGAGAAGAAACTTGGCCGTTGAAGCAAAACCAAAATCAGCTATACCATGGAGAAAATCCCCTCATTGTGGAGGGAAAATGAGCTTGGCTTTGGCAAGAGGATAAAGGAGGAGAGGGTGACAACAGAGTTGGGACTCCACAAAAGGCCGAGACAAGCCAACCCTGGGCTGCCTTCTGCCTGTGGGTGTCACTGCTGCCAGTTTGCCGCTCGTTCCCTTGGCTGTCAGTTGGCTTAAAAGTGGGCAGATGACTTAGCTGTGCTGGTGAAACATATGGGGATTCCCGGCCCATGCAGCATGCCGTCCCACTTGCCAGGAGAGGTGGCTCACGCCTGTAATCCCAGCACTTTGGGAGGCCGAGGTGGGCGGATCACCTGAGGCCGGGAGTTCGAGATCAGCCTGGCTAACATGGTGAAACCCCGTCTCTACTAAATATACAAAATTAGCAGGGCATGGTGGCACATGACTGTAATCCCAGCTACTCAGGAGGATGAGGCTGGAGAATCACTTGAACCTCGGAGGCGGAGGTGCAGTGAGCCGGGATGGCGCCACTGCACTCTAGCCTGAGTGACAGAGTAACACTCCGTCTCCAAAAAACAAAAACAAACAAAAAAACAACAAAAATTAGCTGGGCGCAGTGGCAGGTGCCTGTAATCCCAGCTACTTGGGTGGCTGAGGCAGGAGAATCACTTGAACCCGGGCAGCAGAGGTTGCAGTGAGCTGAGATCACGCCACTACATTCCAGCCTGGGCAATAGAGTGAGACTTTGTCTCAACAACAACAACAACAACAAAAGTATGGGGAGATGGCTGGGATCTGGACCATCTTGAGACCATGAGGCAACAAGACCAAGGGGAAAAGCCCACACACTAAGGATGGCAGAGCCTACGTCCTCTATGAGAGCGTTGAGCCACCATACCTATCCTGGACCCCCCACTTCCAGTCTCTGATCTGTAAGTCACGTGTCTTTATTTTCTAGGCAGATTTCTGCTATTGCAGCCTAAAGCATCCCTCACCCCTTCTCAGAAACCCGTGGCTCTTGCTATAACTCCCAGTGGAAAATCAACCTAAGTTTAGACATTAGAAATGGAATTATTGCTTATATGGAAGGAATAAGAATCAGGATTGGTCCTTGCCTACAGAGGAATCCCAGCTCTGAGTCCTAACCCCAAGGCCTAGGGGACACAGACAAGGAAAGAAAGAGATATCTGGGAAAGTTCCAGACATCTTCTTTTTTTTTTTTTTTTTTTTTTTTTTTTTTTTTGTCTCACTGTCGCCTAGGCTGGAGTGCAATGGCACAATCTTGGCTTACTGCAACCTCCGCCTCCCGGGTTCAAGTGATTCTCCTGCCTCAGTCTCCTGAGCAGCTGGAATTACAGGCATGCACCATCACACCCAGCTAATTTTTGTATTTTTAGTAGAGACGGAGTTTCACCATGTTGGTCAGGCTGGTCTTGAACTCCTAACCTCGTGATCCACCTGCCTCAGCCTCCCAAAATGCTGGGATTTCAGGCATCAGCCACCGTGCCCGGCCTCTTTCTGGCTTCTCTAAGCAGAGCGAGGAGCCAGAAATCTGCAAAACCTAACTCACCTCTATTAAGAACTCAATGGGAGAGTTACTGTAGGGAGAGGCAAGAATGTATTTTGGAAGACTTAGAATGCTGGTCCAAGGACAAGGAACGAGGCTGGTAGGAGAGAAGCAATCAGTTGATGAGGATTAGAGAAAGCTTTCTTCTGGTCCGACTTTCGCCAAACAACGCGTTGTGTGTGTGTGTGTGTGTGTGTGTGTGTGTGTGTGTGTGTGTTGCTTCAACACAAGACATATGCCTGATTCTTCCCTTATGAAATGAGAAGCTGAATGCAAGAGCTCTAGCCCGTCCTCTTTAAATCTCTGTTTTTGAAAATATAAAACAAAGATAAACTGGCATCCTCCTAATGTATCTTTGAAATACACATTACTGGCCAGGCGCGGTGGCTCACGCCTGTAATCCCAGCACTTTGGGAGGCCTACGTGGGCGGATCACGAGGTCAGGAGATCAAGACCATCCTGGCTAACACGGTGAAACGCTGTCTCTACTAAAAATACAAAAAATTAGCTGAGCGTGGTGGCGGGCGCCTGTAGTCCCAGCTACTGGGGAGGCTGAGGCAGGAGAATGGCGTGAACCCGGGAGGTGGAGCTTGCGGTGAGCCAAGATCGTGCTACTGCACTCCAGCCTGGGTGACAGAGCAAGACTCTGTCTCAAAAAAAAAAAAAGAAAGAAAGAAATACACATTACTTCATTTTTCTCAGACCTGGAGAAAAAGCACCCCCAGCCCCATTTTCCCATCTCCAAATAATCTTCAGCATTTGTAGAGATGTGGCCCCTGGAAGTTCATCAGATATATGGGGCCCACCCACGCGTGTGTTGCGATGATATTAGAATTTGCAACTGCCAGATTCTGGCACCAAACCCAGCACCTCTCAATACTGTCCTGCACCCCACATATTGTATGATTTTTTGTTTTTTTGTTTTTTTTTTTTGAGATGGAGTCTCGCTCTGTTGCCCAGGCTGGAGTGCAGAGGCATGATCTCGGCTCACCACAACCTCCGCCTCCTGGGTTCAAGAGATTTTCCTGCCTCAGCCTCCTGAGTAGCTGGGACTATAGGCATGTGCCACCATGCCCGGCTAATTTTTGTATTTTTAGTAGAGACAGGGTTTCACTATGTTGGCCAGGCTGGTCTCGAGCTCCTGACCTCGTGATCCACCCGCTTCAGCCTCCCAAAGTGCTGGAATTACAGGCATGAGCCACCACACCCGGCTTGTATGACGTTTTGAAGGGCAAAGCCAATGCACCATTGATGTTTGCCTGTTGCTTCATTCACTCAATAGAGATGTAAGGAATGAAAGCTTTGATTGGGGTGAAAGAAGTAAAAAAGTTTAAACCCCTACTTTAATGGGATTAATGCTTTAATGTGAATATTAATAAACCCTGAACTCCTCCAGCAAGTTTCTCTATATATCACTGAGGATTCTGTGAAATCCAATAAGGAAAAAAACTGGAAGACTTTTTCCCCTTCTTCGTCATCAAGGTTTTTCTCGGGGATGAATTGGCCTGATTAGTGCCTGAAAGTTCTCCCACGATCTGTCCAAGCTCATTCCTTTTTTTGTGTGAATTCTCCAATGATGAAAAAGCTAAGCTTGTCCCCAAGTGATTTTCCACACTAATTATACTCCCGAGGCTTCTCTCCAGTGTGGATGATCTCACATTCCGTATTCTCCACGCTTCCCCGAGTTTTCCGTCTTCATTACGTATGACCATTTTAAGTCCCAACTGAATTAGCTGATATTGTCTAAGTATGGAACTCTGATTGAAGGTTCTTCCTCATCCATTATACTCACAAGGCCTCTCTCTGCTACAAAATCCCAGATGTCTGATTAGCTCTGGGCACCATCTCAAAGCATTTTTACATCCATTACGCACATATGATTTTCCTCCATTGTGAATTCTCCGATGTTGAATGAGCTGTACTTTCCCGAAAGCTCTTTGCACGTTTCTGCATTGATAGAGTCTTTGTTGCATCTGAATTAGCTGATGCTGCATTGGAATGTTGACAATGCCTCCCCCATCCCCAGGGATTCTCTCCAAAATAAATGTTACAGTGTTCAATAGCATGGAAGCCCCAGGGAAAATTGCCTATATAAATGACAAAGATGTTCTCTGTGATACAAACACTGTAATATTGAATAAATTCTAAATTCTGTTGCACAACTTGGCCATATCTTATTTGGAGTTTCTCTCACTTCTAAAACATGTAAATGGGATCATGGATTTTTTCTGTATTCGTGGCACTCAATGGGATGGGGTCCCTAAAATGGTTCTCCACAATGTCCCCATGTTTGTAATGGCCCAAGGGGTTCTTCCTGACTGCCACATAAACAAAGTCCACTCAAGACCATGGCATTAAAGAGTTTCATTGATGCGAAGCCAGCTATGCCACGCGGGAGGTGGAGATGTTATTCAAATCAATCTTGCCAATGGCTTGGAGATTAGGGATTTTTCCAAGATAGTTTGGTGGGCAGGGGCTAGGGTAGGGGGCCTGTTGATTGGTTGGGTGGAGGAGATGAAATCACAGGGAATTAAAGCTGTCCTCTTGGGCTGAGTCAGATCCTGGGTGGGGGCCACAAGACTGGTTGGCAGGTGGGGACGTCTAGTTGTCAGAAATGCAAAAATTTGAAAAGCATTTTTTCTTTTTCTTTGAGATGCAGTTTCGCTCTTGTTGCCCAGGCTGGAGTGCAATGGCGCGATCTCTGCTCACCACAATGTCCGCCTCCCGGGTTCAAGCAATTCTCCTGCCTCAGGCTTCCCAAGTAGTTGGGATTACAGGCATGCACCACCGTGCCCGATTAATTTTGTATTTTTAGTAGAGACAGGGTTTCTCCGTGTTGGTCAGGTTGGTCTCAAACTCCCGGCCTCAGGTGATCCACCTGCCTCAGCCTCCCAAAGTGCGGGGATTGCAGGCGTGAGCCACTGCGCGCAGTCCTGAAAAGCATTTTTTTCTAAATATACATATAGATTTTCCCTATTAATCAGATTTTTATTTTCTTTATTTATTTTATTTTTTTTTTATTTTGAGACAGTCTTGCTCTGTCACCCAGGCTGGAGTGCAATGGTGTGATGTCAGCTCACTGCAAACCCCACCTCCCGGGCTGTTCAAGTGATTCTCCTGCCTCAGCCTCCTGAGTAGCTCGGATTATAGGCACCCGCCACCATGCCCGGCTAATTTTTGTATTTTTAGTAAAGATGGGGTTTCACCATGTTCGCCAGGCTGGTCTCGAACTCTTGACCTCAGGAGATCCGCCCGCCTCAGCCCGCTAAAGTGCTGGGATTACAGACGTGAGCCACTGTGCCCAGCCTACTCTGATTTTTCAAAATGCTGTGGTAAAAACAAGATAGATATGTTAGAGTTAGTAGTCACTTAGAGATTGAAAAATGTCTTCAAAAGGGGTTAAGTGTTGTCAGTTGTGTCTGCATGGCCAAGAACTTAGATAAAATGAAAAAGGATGAAGGAAAAATCATGTAACATAATCACAAAAGGTTGTGTTCACAATGATGTCGGGGATCTCACGAAGGTTCCTTAATATAGATAACATTTTAACAATAGCCCTATTTTAAGTAGTCATCTTTTTTCTCTACAATGTATTCCTGGAACTGCTTTGTTAAAAAGTCATATTTTCTCTTAATAATTACTCATATCCTGCAGCAGCATCGAATTCTAATTATAATAAACACATCATAAAAGCAAAAACATGGCCAGGCGTGGTGGTTCACGCCTATAATCCCAGCACTTTGGGAGGCCGAGGCGGGAGGATCATCTGAGGTCAGGAGTTGAAGACCAGCCTGACCAATATGGCGAAACCCCGTCTCTACTAAAAATCCAAAAATTAGCCAGGCATGGTGGCACTCTCCTGTAGTCCCAGTTACTTGGGAGGCTGAAGCAGGAGAATCGCTTGAACCGGGAGGCGGAGGTTGCAGTGAGCCGAGATCATGCCACTGCACTCCAGCCTGGGCAACAAGAGCAAAGCTCCGTCTCAAAAAAAAAAAAAAAAAGGCAAAACCATAACAATAGGGTAGTCTTTAGTAATATACAAGGGTCATACTATGCTTGGAGTCATATGACTTTGGATATAGATGTGTAACAAGAGTGGTTATTTTACAGGCTTCAATGTACTCTGAAGTCCACACAAAACACAAACTATTCTGCTATTCTGTCCAGTCTAAAAATAGCCCTATGAAAAAAATATATAACATTAACAATGTGCTTCCCTTTTTAGAATTCTGGAGAATCATGAGGAAATTATGTATAAGATCTAGGGCTCTTTTCAAAATAAGCTTTTCAGAGAATACTGAAATAATCCTTTCTCTTTCTTCAGATAAATCTCCCTGAAAGAAACAGAAATACGCCAAGTAATCCCATTGATCTTTTTCTTTTCTTTCCGGTTTTTTTTTTTTTTTTTTTTTTTTTTGAGATGCTAGTCTTGCTCTGTCACCTAGGCTGGAGTGCAGTGGTACGATCTCGGCTCACTGCAACCTCTGCCTCCCAGGTTCAAGCAATTCTCCTGCCTCAGCTTCCCGAGTAGCTGGAATTACAGGCATTCACCACCAAACCTGGCTAATTTTTGTATTTTTAGTGGAGATGGGGTTTCACCATGTTGGCCAGGCTGGTCTCAACCTCCTGACCTCAGGTGATCCACCCACCTCTGCCTTCTAAAGTCCTGGGATTACAGACGTGAGCCACCGTGCCCAGTCCCAGTTTTGGTTCTTTTTGTTGTTGTTGTTCTTTTTTTTTGCTCTCGTTGCCCAGGCTGGAGTGCAATGGTACGACCTTGGCTTACCACAACCTCCACCTCCCAGGTTGAAGCAATTCTCCTGCCTCAGCCCCCCGAGTAGCTGGGATTACAGGTGTGCACCACCACGCCCAGCTAATTTTGCATTTTTACTAGAGACGGGGTTTCGCCATGTTGGCCAGGCTGGTCTCGAACTCTTGACCTCAAATGATCCATCCACCTCAGCCTCCCAAAGTGCAGGGATTGCAGGCGTGAGCCACCGTGACCAGCTAGTTTGAGTGTTTTCTATCAATCCACCTTTGTCTACTGACTCTTCCTCACCTTCATATTGTTACTGAGTCCATCCAGTGAGTTTTAAATTTTTGTTGTTGTATTTTTGTTTTAAAATATCCATTTGAGGGTAGGTGCTGTGAATCATGCCTGTAATCCCAGCACTCTGGGAGGCCGAGGCGGTCGAATCACTTCAATTCAGGAGTTTGCCACCAGCCTCGGTGACATGGCAAGACCCTGTCTCTACAAAAAATACAAAAATTGTGCTTGCTTTGGCAGCACATATACTAAAATTGGAACGATACAGAGATTAGCATGGCCCCAGCGCAAGGATGACACACAGATTCGCGATGCATTCCATATTCTTGCTATAGTCCGCTGCCCGTTACCTCGCTTTGCTTCCCTTCCCCGTATCCTGCCATAACGTCACAGGGCCCGTGACGTCATAGCCTTCCCATGTCCGTCTCCCGTTGCACCATTGAGGTTGGCGATTGGAGAACAATCTCGCCATCCCCACTCAGGCGTGGCGCCTTGCCACCTGCCGCTGTAGCCCCCATAAAACAATAAATAAAAATAAAAATACAAAACTTAGCCAGGCATGGCGGTACACGCCTTTAGTCCCAGCTACTCGGGAGGCTGGAGGTAGGAGGATCACTTGAGTCCGGGAGGCAGACGCTGCAATGAGCTGAGATCATATCACTCCACACCAGCCTGGGCAACAGAGTGAGACTCTGTCTTTAAAAAAGAGGGCCAGGCGAGGTGGTGCATGCCTGTACTCCCAGCTACTTGGGAGGCTGAGGTAGGAGAATCGCTTGAACCTGGGAGGCGGAGATTGCAGTAAGCCGAGATCCGTGCCATGGCACTCTAGCCTGGGCAACAAGAGTGAAACTACATCTCAAAACCTCAAAACAAAACAAAAAAACAAGGCCAGGTGCGATGGCTCATGCCTGTAATCGCAGCACTTTGGGAGGCCGAGGTGGGTGGATCATCTGAGGTCAGGAGTTCAAGACCAGCCTGGGCAATATGGTGAAACGCTGTCTCTACTAAAAATACTAAAATTAGCCAGGTGTGGTGGCGGGCGCCTGTAAACCCAGGTACTCGGGAGGCCAAGGCACTAGAATCGCTTCAGGAAGGTGGAGGTTGCAGTGAGCTAAAATTGCACCATTGTATTCCAGCCTGGGTGACAGAGCGAGACTCCATCTCAAAAAAAAAAAAAAAAAACCCAGAAAAACTGATAAAAGGATAGTAAGGATACCAAGCAACTCTACCCATATAAATCCAACAAGCTGGAAGAAATGGACCAATTTCTTGAAAACTACAAACTACCAAAAAACACTCAATATGAAACATAATTTTTAAAGTCTTGTAACAATTTTAAAAATGGAATTCATGGTTTTTTATTTTATTTTATTTCATTTCGAGACTGCGTCTCACTTTGTCACCGACACTGGAGTGCAGTGGCATAAACACGGCTCCCTGCAGCCTTGAATTCCTGGGCTCAGGTGATCCTCCCACCTCAGCCTCCTGAGTAGCTGGGACTACAGCCGCCCACCACCACACTCAGCTAATTTTTTTATTTTTTGTGGACATGGGGTTTTGCCAAGTTGCCCAGGCTGGCCTCCAACTCCTGGGGTCAAGCAATCCACTTGCCTTGCCTCCCAAAGTGTTAAGATTACAGGTGTGAGCCACCATGCCCAGCTGAATTCCCCTTTTTTTTTGAGATGGTGACTCACTCCATCACCCAGGCTGGAGTGCAGTGGCACGATCTCGGCTCACTGCAACCTCTGCCATCCAGGTTCAAGCGATTCTCCCACCTCACCCTCCTGAGTAGCTGGGATTACAGGAGCCCACCACCTGTAATCCTAATTTTTTGTATTTTTAGTAGAGACAGGGTTTCACCATGTTGACCAGGCTGGTCTCAAACTCCTGACCTCAGGTGACCCACCCACCTCAGCCTCCCAAAGTGTTAGGATTATAGGCCTGAGCCACTGCACCTGGCCTTGAATTCATAGTTTTAATAAAACAATTTCTTGTCTTCGTGGTCACATACAGCTAGTTTGGTGATTCCCTGGAAGGACCCACGTGACTGCAGATAAAGTTATGCTCTAGGTGAAGATATATTACAGCGGAGGATACAATACAAGAACAGCAGGAAAAAGGGTATTAATAGATGAAGGCTGGAGAGGTCAAATGCACACTTTTTTATCCTCTCTCTGCAGGAATGCACAGACATATCTTTTCCAGGAGCAAACTGCAAGGACTTGTGTGAGATGTCCTTGCCCAGGAAATTCCACTTGAGTTCTGGTGTCAAAATTTGTGTGGTCAGGCCAGTCGCAGTGGCTCACCCCTGTAATCCCAGCACTTTGGGAGGCCGAGGTGGGAGGATTGCTTGAGTCCGGGAGTTTGAGACCAGCCTGGGCAACATGGTGAGACCTCGTCTTTATTAAAAAGAAAAAAAAAATTAGGCTGGGCGTGGTAGCTCACGCCTGTAATCCCAGCACTTTGGGAGGCCAAGGCAGGCGGATCACCTGAGGTCGGGAGTTCCAGACCAGCCTGGCCAATATGGTGAAAACCTGTCTCTACTAAAAATACAAAAATATTAGCAGGGGCCGGGCGCGGTGGCTCACACCTGTAATCCCAGCACTTTGGGAGGCCGAGGCAGGCGGATCACGAGGTCAGGAGATCGAGACCATCCTGGCTAACACGGTGAAACCCCGTCTCTACTAAAAATACAAAAAAAATTAGCCGGGCATGGTGGCAGGCGCCTATAGTCCCAGCTACTCGGGAGGCTGAGGCAGGAGAATGGCGTGAACCCGGGAAGCAGAGCTTGCAGTGAGCTGTGATCGCGCCACTGCACTCCAGCCTGGGCGACAGAGCGAGACTCCGTCTCAAAAAAAAAAAAAATTAGCCAGGCATAGTGGTGGGCTCCTGTAATCCCAGCTACTCGCGAGGCTGAGACAGAAGAATCGCATGAACCCGCGAGGCAGAGGTTGCAGTGAGCCAAGGCCACGCCACTGTGCTCCGGCCTAGGTGACAAGAGTGAGACTCCATCTGGAAAAAAAAAAAAATTAAAACATTTGTGGGATGGGCGTGATGGCTCGTGCCTGTAATCCTAGTACTTTGGGAGGCTGAGGAGGGCAGATCACCTGAGGTCAGGAGGTTGAGAGCAGCCTGGCCAACATGGTGAAACCCCGTTTCTACTAAAAATATAAAAAAATTAGCCAGGTGTGGTGGCACACGCCTGCATTCTCAGCTATTCAGGAGACTGAGGCGGAAGGATAGCTTGTACCCAGGGGGCGGAGGTTGCAGTGAGCTGAGATCGCGACATTGCATTCCAGCCTGGGCAACATTCCTGCCATGTGACCAAACACAGCCCTTAACCACAGGTTGGGCATCATGAATCTTTTTTTCTTTTTTTTTAGAAATGGGGTCTCACTATGTCACCCAGGCTGGAGTGCAGTGGCATGATCATAGCTTACTGTAGCTGCTGCTTCTTCTTTTTTTTTTTTTTTTTTTTTTTTTTTGAGACGGAGTCTCGCTCTGTCACCAAGGCTGGAGTGCAGTGGTGTGATCTTGGCTCACTGCAACCTCTGTCTCCCAGGTTCAAGTGATCCTCCTGCCCCAGCCTCCCAAGTAGCTGAGATTACAGGCGTTCACCACCATGTTCAGCTAATTTTTTGTATTTTCAGTAGAGACAGGTTTTTCCCATGCTGGCCAGCCTGGTTTTGAACTCCTAACCTCAAGCAATCCCGCCCGCCTTGGCCTCCCAAAATTCTGGGATTACGGGCATGAGCCACTGCACCTGGCCAAGTATCATGAATCTTTATGTTTACTTTAAATCTGCTGACAGCCTGGTTCATCTGGGCTCACTGTTTTGGCCATGGAGAATAACATCTGAACCAGTAACTATGTGAATATTCCAGAAGTTTGGTTTTCAGAGTTTGACAAACAGCCATCACCTTGGCTACAGAGATAAGTGAGAAAGGGGGGAAACAGACCTGTTGTATTAACTCTTTCCTCCCACTCTTGAAAAAGATATCTCCAGACCCAGATAGTTTCACTGGAGAAGTCTACTCATAGTTAAAGAAATATCGACACTAATTACACGTAATCTCCAGAAAACAGAAGAAGGACCACTTCCTGACTGACGAGGCCAATACAGTTGACCCTTATAGCTGCAGGTTCCCCATGCATGGATTCAGCCAACCACAGATCGAAAATTTTCCGAGATATGGACGCCAGGCGCGGTGGCTCATGCCTGTAATCCCGAGAATCGTTTGAACCCAGGAGGCGGAGGTTGCAGTGAGCCAAGATTGCGCCACTGTATCACTGCACTCCAGCCTGGATGACAACAGTGAAACTCCATCTCAAAAACAAAACAAAAAAAAACCAGAATATCACCCTAGGTGGGCATGGTGGCTCACAACTCTAATCTCAACATTGTGGGAGGCCGAGGAGAAAGGATCGCTTGAGCCCAGGAGGTTGAGACCAGCCTGGGCAACATAGCAAGACACTGTCTCTACAAAAAAATTAAAAAATTAGCTGGGTGTGGTGGTGCACCTGTAGTCCCAGCTACTTGGGAGGCTGAGATGGGAGGATCACATGAGCCCAGGAGTTCCAGGCTGCAGTGAGCTATGATTGCAACACCGTACTCCAGCCTGGGGGAACACAGCGAGATCCCGTCTCAAAAACAAACAAAAAAACAAAAACAGAAAAAAACTCATTTCTGCCATTACCTCTTCAAAACTTTTCCTTAACTTGCAGTCTGGAGTTGAAGACCCTTCCGCTAAGCTCTGGTGAGAGGCTAACTGAATAAGAACACTTTGACCATCATATTATAATAATTGCTTTATTTATTTATTTGTTTTTTTGAGACAGGGTCTTGCTCTGTCCCCCAGGCTGGAGTGCAGCAGCATGATCACAGTCCACTGCAACCTCAACTTCCCAGGTTCAAGAAATGCTCCCACCTCAGCCTCCTCAGTAGCTGGGACTACGAGCATGCACCACCACATCGGGCTAATTTTATGTATTTTTATAAAGAGGGGCATCGGCCGGGCATGGTGGCTTACCCCTGTAATCCCAGCATTATGGGAGGCCAAGGCGGGTAGATCACCTGAGGTCAGGAGTTCCAGACCAGCCTGGCCAACATGATGAAACGCCATTTCTACTAAAAATATAAAAATTAGCCGGGCATGGTGCCACGTGCCTATAATCCCAGCTACTCGGATACTCGGAAGGCTGAGGCCGGAGAATTGCTTGAACCTGGGAGGCGGAGGTTGCAGTGAGCCGAGATCGCGCCATTGCACTCTAGCCTGGGCGACAAGAGTGAAATTCAGTCTCAAAAAATAAAGAAATAAAGAAATAATAAATAATAAAATAAAATTAAAATAAAATAAAGAGGGGTGTCTCGTCATGTTGCCCAGGCTGGTCTCATATTCCTGGGCTCGAGCAATCCACCCGCCTCAGCCTCCCAAAGCACTAGGATTGCAGGTGTGAGAGCCACTGTGCCCGACCAGAGCTGGGCTACATATCTTCATTAAACTTTTCATCAGGGTCAACTGGACCCTGGCTCCTGCCCCACCAGTCCTATGAGGCTGCAGAGTGTGTGGCCCCAATAAAGATTCTCCCCCAATCCCTCTACCCCCAGATCTTCCTGCAAGGTTGGCAGAGCTGGATGCTCTGAGAGCTAAGGGCACATGGGACAACCAGTGCCTGGCCAGAGAAGGGGAGGAAAACACGTGATGCCTCACTGAACACAGAACAGCCACCCCCGCATGCTTCTGCAGGGCGAGGAAGGTCAGCTCTTGCCTCCTTCTCCAACCCTCCTCCCAAACACCAAGCAGGTTTCTAAGAATAGTAAAAGGCCAGCAGATCCATCTTCAGGGCCTCTGTGATCAGAAATGTGCAAATACCTTTTTCTTTTCTTTTCTTCTCTTTTCTTTTCTTTTCCTTTCTTTTCTTTCTTTTCCCTCCCTCCCTCCCTCCCTCCCTTCCTTCCTCTCTTCCTTCCTTCCTTCCTCCTTTCTTTCTTTTTTCTTTTTTTTTTTTTGAGACCGAGTCTTGCTCTGTCACCCAGGCTGGAGTGCAGTGGTGTGATCTCTGCTCACTGCAACCTCCGCCTCCTGGGTTCAAGTGATTCTCCTGCCTCAGCCTCTCAAGTAACTGGGATTACAGGGGCCTGCCACATTGCCCGGCTAATGTTTGTATTTTTAGTAGAGACGGGGTTTTTCCTTGTTGGCCAGGTTGGTATCCAACTTCTGACCTCAAGTGATCCGCCCGCTTTGGTCCCCCAAAGTGCTGGGATTACAGGTGTGAGCCACTGTGCCTGGACCAAAGATCTTTTTCTTTGTGCCTTTTGGGAGTTAATAAAGCACTCATATCTGAAAATCTGTTTCTGCATCCCACACTCAGAATGCATGGCGGAAACAGTCCAGGAATGCACAAGGCTTGCCTGGGAATCACATTCAGCAAGTTCTGGGATAGAAAAACTGAATCTAAAGGAAAATTGTATTGTGTACTTACCAGTACTCTGTAGAGTGTTTCAGTACCATGAAGCCAGGCGTGGTGGCTTATGCCTGTAATCCCAGGACTTCGGGAAGTAGAGGCAGGAGGATTGTTTGAGGCCAGGAGTTCGAGACCAGCCTGGGAAACATAAAGAGACCCCATCTCTACAAAAAATATAAAAATTATCCAGGCATGGTGGTGCATGCCTGTGGTCCCAGCTACTCTGGAGGCTGAGACGGGAGGATCCCTCGTGCCCAGGAGGTCAAGGCTACAGTGAGCTATGATTGTACCACCACACTTCAAACTGGTCAACATAACAAGATCCTGTCTCAAAAATAATAAAAAGACATGAGCTAGCTGACTTTTTTTTTTTTTGAGACTGAATTTTGCTCTTGTTTCCCAGGCTGGAGTGCAATGGTGTGATCTCGGCTCATCGCAACCTCCGCCTGCCGGGCTCAAGCGATTCTCCTGCCTCAGCCTCCCAAGTAGCTGGAATTACAGGCATGTGCCACCATGCCCGGCTAATTTTGTATTTTTAGTAGAGATGGGGTTTCTCCATGTTGGTCAGGCTGGTCTCAAACTCCCAACCTCAGGTGATCCACCCGCCTCGGCCAAAGTGCTGGGATTACAGGCGTGAGCCACTGTGCCCTGCTGAGCTAGCCCGCTTTTGCATGTTGCAGTAAATTTGCTAGGGCTTTCTGAACAAAGTTCCACAGATTGGATGGTTTAAACAACAGAAATCTATTTCCTCACAGTTCTGGAGGCTGGGAGGCTGAGGCCAAGGTGACGCCAGGGTTGATTCTCTCTGAGGCCTCTCTCCTTAGCCTGCAGATGTCCACCTTCTCCCTGTGTTCATGTCCTCTTTCCTCTGTGTATGTCTGTGTCCTAATCTATCACCCCACAACCTTTTTTTTTTTTTTTTGGAGAGACAGGGTCTTGCTATGTTGCCCAGGCTGATCCCAATTCCTGACCTCAAGTGATTCCCCCCACCTCAGCCTCCCAAAGTACTGGGATTACAGGCGTGAGCCACCATGCGCGGCCCCATCTCCCCTTCTTCTTCTTTTTTTTTTTTCTTTGAGACAGAGTCTCCCTCTGTCGCCCAGGCTGGAGTGCAGTGGCGCAATCTCGGCTCACTGCAACCTCCACCTACCGGGCTCAAGCAATTCTTCTGCCTCAGCCTCCCAGGTAGCTGGGACTACAGGTGCGTGCCATCATGCCCAGCTAATTTTTGTATTTTTAGTAGAGACGGGGTTTCACCATGTTGTCCAGGCTGGTCTGGAACTCCTGACCTCAAGTGATCTGCCTGCCTCGGCCTCCCAAAGTGCTGGGATTACAAGCATCAGCCACTGCACCCGGCCCCATCTCCCCTTCTTATAAGGACACCAGTCAGATTGGGTGGGGGCCCACCCCAATGACCTCATTCTAACTTAACTTCTTTAAAGACCCCATCTCCAAATATAGTCACATTCTAAGGTCCTGGAGGTTAGGACTTCAACATATAAATTTGGGAGATGCAATTCAGTTCATGACACAGATACATCTCCGGCAATTCAACACCTAACAAAAGCGTGATTTCTTCACGTTTTCCACTGCTTTCATCTTCTCAGTCGTTAAGTCAATAAAAGCCTCCGAGTTTTAAAAATACCTTAGCAATTTTGACATTTAGGAAGGTTCATAGCTCTCAGATTTGCCCAGCTTGACGTGATCTTATTTTTCAGAGGAAGCAGCCTCTATTCAGCTCCTAGTCACAGCCGGCCTTCTGGAACATTCTTTCGAGCATTTGAAGGCTTCCAAGAGATGGGAGGGGGTGTCTTTTATACTATAACGCTTTGAGTAATCTAGCTCATGCAGGCATTCCTCTTCATGAAGGACTTAGCTACCTGACTTTTGACCAGAAACAGATGATTTTACCTCAAAATTACTTTTTAAAAAATAAGTTGACCTACCACATATCAAAAAGATAATAGCGAATAGAAAAATTACTGCAGACAATTTATAGAGTCAAGAGACCTAGAAAGGCTTCAATTCCCACTACCACACCTTGAGAAAATTACCCAACCTCTTTGATCATGTTTGCCAATTAAAAAATGGGCAACTCGTCCGGGCACCATGGCTCACGCCTGTAATCCCAGCACTATGGGAGGCTGAGGCAGGAGGATCACCTGAGGTCAGGTTCGAGACCAGCCTGACCAACATGGAGAAACCCCATCTCGACAAAAAACACAAAATTTGCTGGGCGTGGTGGCGCATGCCTATAATCCTAGTTACTCGGGAGGCTGAGGCAGGAGAATTGCTTGAACCCAGGAGACGGAGGTTGTGGTGAGCCAAGATTGCATCATTGCACTCCAGCCTGGGCAACAGAGTGAGACTCCGTCTCAAAAAAAAAAGTGAGCAACTGAATTGAAGATCTTCAATTACTGGCCAGGTGTGGTGGCTCACACCTGTAATCCCAGCACTTTGGGAGGCCAAAGTGGGAGGATCTCTTGAGGTCAGGAGTTTGAGACCACCCTGGGCAACATAGTGAGACCCTGTCTCTACTAAAAATACAAAAATCAGCTGGGCGTGTTGGCACATGCCTGTAATCCCAGCTACTTGGGAGGCTGAGGTGGGAGAATCACTTGAACCCAGGAGGCAGAGGTTGCAGTGAGCCAAGATCACACCACTGCACTCCAGCCTGGTAGACAGAATAAGACTCTGCCTCAAAAACAAACCAAAATGAAACAACAAAACAATGCAAAGTTGGCCGAATGTGGTGGCTTATGCCTGTAATCCCAGCACTTTGGGAGGCCAAGGTGGGCAGATCGCTTGAGGCCAGGAGTTTGACACCAGCCTGGGCAACATAGTGAGACCTCCTCTCTACAAAAAAAAATCAAGGAAATTAGCTGGGCATGGTGGCACATGCCTGTAGTTCCACCTACTTGGGAGGCTGAGGTGGGAGGATAACTTGAGCCCAGGAGGTGGAGGCTGCAGTGAGCCATGCTCACACCACTGCACTCCGGCCTGGGCGACCTCAAAAACAAAACAATGTGGAATTGTGGAATTGGCCAGGTGTGGTGGCTCATGCCTGTGATCCCAGCACTTTGTGAGGCTGAGGCACAAGGATTGCTTGAGACCAGCCTAGGGAACAGAGTGAGATTCCATCTCTATTTTTAAAATTTATTTGTTTATTTATTTTTCTGCGAAAGGGTCTCACTCTGTCACCTAGGCTGGAGTGCAGTGACACAATCTCAGCTCACTGCAACCTCCACTTGCCAGGCTCAAGCAATCCTCCCACCTTAGCCTCCCAAGTAGCTGGGACTACAGGCACATGCCACCATGCCTGGCTAATTTTTTAAATTTTTATAGAGATGTGGGTTTCGCCATGTTACCCAGGCTGGTCTTGAACTACTGAGTTCAAGCAACTCAAGTGATCCTCCCGACTAGGCCTCCCAAAGTGCTGGGATTACAGACATGAGCCACCGTGACCAGCCTAAAATTTTTAAATAATAATAAAAAAGTCTTCAATCATTTCCTTCTATAAAATTCTAAGATTTTAATATAAAACAAACAAGCATCTTTCATCACATGGGTATCCTCAATTTACCCTACAAATGAAGATTATTCCATTAAATTTTGAACTTAAGCCTGGTTGCCCCACCATTACCCATCTGAAGCAATCCTTAACAACGCAGAATTGGCCAAATGTGGTGGCTCACGCCTGTAATCCCAGTACTTTGGGAGGCAGAGGCAGATGGATCACCGTGGTCAGGAGTTCAAGACCTGCCTGGCCAACATAGTGAAACCCCGTCTCTACTACAAATACAAAAATTAGTTGGGGGTGGTGGCAGGAACCTGTAGTCCCAGCTACTTGGGAGGCTGAGGCAGGAGAATTGCTTGAATCCAGGAGGTGGAGGCTGCAGTGAGATCATGCCACTGCACTCCAGCCTGGGTGATAGAAGGAAACTCCACCTCAAAAAAAAAAAGAAAAAAAAAGAAAAAGAAAAAAAAGACTCTGACTTGTCCTTGAAGTTCCTTCAATATTTGATGGAGTTCTGGACTTCTAAAGGTCTGTTTTTTCCTATATTTATTACTTCTTAGATTTAATAAATACGTGTTAAACCCCCCATGATATAAGAGAAAACCTCATATAAGTCAAAATACAGGACCTAAATGGCATTATGGAAGTACTAAGAGAGTTTTGAAAAGGAGAGGATTACAAACTTCAGAATAATTTATAACGCTGTACATTAAAAATCTTTTTTTAAAACTTTTATTTTAGGCTCAGGGGTACATGTGCAGTTTTGTTATATAGCCAAACTCGCGTCACGGGGCTTTGCTGTACAGATGGTTTCATCACCCAGGTACTAAGCCTAGTACCCAATAGTTACTTATTTTTTCTTCTCCTCTCCTTCTTTTTTTTTTTTTTTTGAGACAGAGTCTCACTCTGTCGCCCAGTTTGGAGCGCAGCAGTGAGATTATAGCTCACTGCAGTCTCAAACACCTGGACTCAAGCGATCCTCTTGCCTCTGTCGCCCAAGTAGCTGGGAATATGAGCAAGTACCACCATGTCTGGTTGATTTTTGTATCTTTCGTGGAGATGGGGTTTCACCATGTCTCCCAGGCTGGTGAAAATCATATGTCTGCAGAACTTATCTGTGGTATAAATGCTCTGATGTTTAATAAACTTTTAGTGCCCTCAGAAAGCTTCCCCAGCTCATTTCTTTACTGTGAATTCTCTAATAGCCAATAAGAGATGAGCTTGGTGGTCGGGTGTGGTGGCTCACGCCTGTAATCCAAGTGCTTTAAGAGGCCGAGGCAGGCAGATCACATGAGGCCCGGAGTTCAAGACCAGCCTGGCAAACATGGTGAAACCCTGTCTCTACTAAAAATACAAAAATTAGTTGGGTGTGGCGGTGCATGCCTGTAGTCTCAGCTACTTGGGTGGCTGAGGCAGGAGAATCGCTTGAACCTGGGAGGCGAGGTTGCAGTGAGCTGAGATTGCACCATAACACCCCAGCCTGGGTGACAGAGCAAGACTTCATCTCAAAAAAAAAAGAGGTGAAATTGGATTGAAACCTCTTCCATCGTCTTCACATTCCCTGAGGCTTTTTTCCAACATGAAGTGTCAGATGATGAATGAGGCTCAATCACCACTGAAAACTTCCCCACATTGCTTGCACTTATAAGGTTTTTTCTCCAGTGGGAATTATCTGATGAGGAGAAAGGATTGAACTTCCTCCAAGCAATTTCCTGCATGCTCTGCACAAAGAGAGTTTCTCTCTCATGTGAATTATTTGGTGCTGAAAAGTTGATTGTTTTGTTTTGGTTTTACTGAGACAGCATCTGGCTCTGTCATCCGAGCTGGAGTGCAGTGGCACAATCATAGCTCATTACATCCTGAATCTCCTGGGCTGAAGTGATCCTCCCGCCTCAGCCTCCTGAGTAGGTGGGACTATAGGCACATGCCACCACACATGGCTATTTTATTGTTTGTTTATTGAGACGGAGTCTCGCTCTTGTCGCTCAGGCTAAAGTGCAGTGGCGTGATCTCAGCTCACTGCAACCTTCGCCTCCTGGGTTCAAGCTTCTCCTGCCTCAGCCTCCTGAGTAGCTGGGATTACAAGCATGGCCACCACACCTGGCTAATTTTTGTGTTTTTAGTAGAGATGGGGCTTCACCATATTGGCCAGGCTGGTCTTGAACTCCTGACCTCAGGTGATCCGTCTGCCTCGGCCTCCCAAAGTGCTGGGATTATAGGCGTGAGCCACCGCGCCTAGCCTTTTTTATTTTTTTTGAGACGGAGTCTCGCCCTGTCGCCCAGTCACCGAGGTTGGAGTGCAATGGTGCCATCTCGGCTCACTGCAACCTCTGCCTCCTGGGTTCAAGCAATTCTCCTGCCTCAGCCTCCCAAGTGGCTGGGATTACAGGTGCCCGACACCATGCTCAGCTAATTTTTGTACGTTTACTAGAGATGGGGTTTCACCATGTTGGCCAGGCTGGTCTCGGTCTCCTGACCTTGTGATCCGCCAGCCTCAGCCTCCCAAAGCGCTGGGATTACAGGCATGAGCCACCGCGCCCAGCCTTCTTTTTTTTTTTTTTTTTTTCCGTAGAGACAGAACCTCATTATGTTGCCCAGGCTGGTCTTGAGTTCCTGAGTTGAAGCGATCCTCCCACCTCACCCTCCCAAAGTGCCGAGATTGCAGGCATGAGCCACCTTGCCCAGCCTCTCTTTTTTGTTTTGTTTTCAGACAGCATCTCACTCTATTGCCCAGGCTGAAGTGCAGTGGCACGATCTTGGCTCACTGCAAGCTCCCCCTCCCAGGTTCAACTGATTCTCGTGCTTCAGCCTCCTGAGTAGCTGGAATTACAGGCGTGCATCACCACGCCTGGCTAATTTTCATATTTTTTGTAGAGACAGGGTTTCACCATGTTGGCCAGGCTGGTCTTTAACTCCTGGCCTCAAGTGATCTGCCTGCCTCGGCCTCCCAAAGTGTTGGGATTACAGGCATGAGCCACCACACCTGGCTTTGTTTTGTTTTAAGGGAACAGGTCTTGCTCTGTTGCCCAGGCTGGCCTCGAAATCCTAGACTCAAGCAAATCTTCCTTCCTCAGCCTCTGGAGCAGCTGGGACTACAGGCACACACCAATGCACTCAGCTTTGAGTAAGTTTTACCCTTTTTTTTTTTTGAGATGGAGTCTCGCTCTGTTGCCTAGGCTGAAGTGCAGTGGCGTGATCTTGGCTCACCACAACCTCTGCCTCCTGGGTTCAAGCGATTCTCCTGCCTCAGCCTCCCGAGTAACTGGGATTACAGGCACGCGCCACCATGCCTGCCTAATTTTTGTATTTTTAGTAGAGACAGGGTTTAGCTGCGTTGGCCAGGCTGGTCTTGAACTCCTGACCTCGTGATCCACCCGCCTCAGCCTCCCAAAGTGCTGGGATTACAGGCATGAGCCACCGCGCCTGGCCAGTTTTATATGTTTCCAGAATGCATTCCCACCTGTGCTATGCTTGTATGGTTTGTCTCCTGGTATGAATAACCAATGTGGCCCCCGGTTTGAGCACTGATTGAAAGCCTCCAACTCACAGGGCCTCTCTCTCTGCTGTGAATTCCTGGTGCCTAAGAAGCCTGGAGGCCTGCCTGAAGATGTTTCCACTCCCTTTCCAGCCACCTGGTTTCTCTCTAAGGTGAATTCCCTGAAACTGAATGCAGCGTGAGGCTTGAACAAAAGACTTCCCATATTCAAAACACTCAAAGATGTGAGTAGTCGCCCCAATGTAAATTATCATATACCAAATGAGTATTCATTTTCCCTGAAAGCTTTTCCACATTAAGTACGTTTCTCTCTTGTATTAATTATACAAATTTGGCCAGGCGCAGTGGCTCACACCTGTAATCCCAGCACTTTGGGAGGCCGAGGTGGGCGGTTCACAAGGTCAGGTGGTCAAGACCAGCCTGGCCAGCATGGTGAAACCCCATCTCTACTAAAAATACAAAAATTAGCCAGGCATGGTGGTGCTTGCTACTCAGGAGGCTGAGGCAGGAGAATCGCTTGAACCTGGGAGGTGGAGGTTGCAGTGAGCCGAGATCGCACCACTGCACTCCAGCCTGGGTGATAGATGGAGACTCTGTCTCAAAAAAAAAAAAAAATGATATATATATATATACACACACACAAATTTGTTTATAGTTTGGATTGTGGTTGAAGGTTTTCCCACATTTATCACAGTCATGGAATTTTTCTCTACCACAATTTTTAAAATACATAAATAGATGCCGAGTCTTGCTATGTCGCCCAGGCAGGTCTGGAACTCCTGAGCTCAAGCTATCCTGCTGCCTCAGCCTCCCAAAGAGCCGGGATTAGATTATGGGTGTGAGTCACATCCAGACAGTGATTTCACTTCTGCAAAACCTTCCTCCTTTCCATTCGGCATCTTCTCATTCCCAGTCTCACATGTAGAAACAATAGAAAATGTAAATATCACCAATTCCCCATTCAATGAAAAAGGAAGCTATTGATTGGATATCCATGGAGTTTTAGACGCAAGCTTAAGGGGAAAAGTCCTTCTGAGTATCAATATAGCATGATGAGATTTGTCTTTGATAACAACTTTACTCCAGAGTAAACAACAGAAAGTATTTGTGTGTTGAATATAAGGTGATGTACAGACATCCTGTGAAAATAGTTTTGAGTTTTCTGGTTAACAGATATGCTTATCATGTTTATTCTTGTGGTGCTGATCAGTTGATTTTACTGAAGACTGATTTCTTCTTTTTCTTCTTTTTTTGAGACGGAGTCTCACTCTGTCGCCCCATGCTGGAGTGCAGTGGCACGATCTCGGCTCACTGCAACCTCCACCTCCCAGGCTCAAGTGATTCTCCTGCCTCAGCCTCCAGAGTAGCTGGGACTACAGGCGCCCACCACCACACCCAGCTCATTTTTGTTTGTTTATTTATTTATTTAGAGACGGAGTCTCACTCTGTTGCCCAGGCTGGAGTGCAGTGGGGTGATCTCGGCTCACTGCAACCTCTGCCTCCCCGGTTCGAGCAATTCTCCTGCCTCAGCCTCCAGAGTAGCTGGGATTACAGGCATGTGCCACCATGCCCAGCTAAGTTTTGTATTTTTAGTAGAGATGGGATTTCACCATGTTGTCCGGGCTGGTCTCGAACTCCTGACCTCAGGTAAGCCACCCACTTTGGCCTCCCAAAGTGTTGGGATTATAGGCATGAGCCACTGCACCCAGCCAGCTTCTCCTTCTTCTTGAGAAAGGGTCTTGCTCGGTCACCCAGACTGAGTGCAATGGTGCAATCATAGCTCACTGCAGCCTGAAACTCCCGGGCTCATGCAATCCTCCCACCTCAGCCTTTCGAGTAGCTGGGACTATAGGTGCACGCCACCACACCTGGCTAATTCTTTAATATTTTGTAGAGACAGTCTCATTATGTTGCCCAGACTGCAGATCTATTTCTTGGTGATAACTAGTCAAGGTTTCCTTTGTGATCACCTTGAAACAACTGACTAATATGGGGTGTCTTAGATACTTACAAGCTTGGAACTAGGATATGGAGGAAAAAGGGGAGCAGACCAGTGAAAGTTCTAGAATAGCTATAGAGGAGGGACTTGGGGGTAGTAGTGTAGTTGAAAGGGGGTGAAGCTGTGTCTACACCCTAAGTATTCAGATTATCAGTAAGACCATAATCTAATTACTTGGGGTGGTTTTGGGAAGGGAAAGCTAATGAGGATTACAGGGAGCTAAATCCTCCTAAACCGTTTCTACTGCAACCACAACTCTACATCATTGCTATGATAAATTAAATTCTGGGCCAGGCACAGTGGCTCACACCTGGAATCCCAGCACTTTAGGAGGCCAAGGCGGGAAGATTGCTTGAACCTGGGAGGTGGAATCTGCAGTGGGCTGTGATCGGGCCACTGCACTCCAGCCTGGGCGACAGAGCAAGAACCTGCCTCAAAAAGAAAAAAAAAAAAAGGCCTGTCGCGGTAGCTCACACCTGTGATCCCAACACTTTGGGGGGCTGAGGTGGGTGGATCACGAGGTCAGGAGTTTGAGACCAGCCTCACCAACGTGGTGAAACTCTATCTTTACAAAAATACAAAAATTAGCTGCACGTGGTGTCGTGCACCTGTAATCGGAGCTACTCAGGAGGCTGAGGCAGGAGAATAGCTTGAACCCAAGAGGAGGAGGTTGCAGTGAGATGAGATCAAGCCACTGCACTCCAGCCTGGGCGACAGAGTGAGACTCCATCTCAAAACAAAACAAAACAAAACAACAACACCACAAAAAACAACAAAAAACTGTGCATAAAGCCATTAAGTGTGCTAGTGACACCATCAAAAATAACAATTGTAACTGTTACCTTTTAGAACGTGAGGTAGCAGGTAGAGTAGGAATGCTGTCCTTAGCTGACCTGAGTCAACTCTAGACTCATTTTTCTACCAATAATTTGCACATATTGGATAAATATTTGCTAAATGAACGGGCGAATGAATGAATGAATACATCTGGACTCCCTTGTGTAGCTTAGCAAAAAGGGAGCATGCTGGCTGGGCACGGTGGCTCTTGCCTGTAATCCCAGCACTTTGGGAGGCCGAGGCGGGAGGATCACTTGAGGTCAGGGGTTCGAGACCAGCCTGGCCAATATGGTGAAACCCCGTCTCTACTAAAAATACAAAAATAAGCCGGGCGTGGTAGTGCACACCTGTAACCCAGCTACTTGGGAGGCTGAGGCAGGAAGATCGATTGAACCCGGGAGGCAGAAGTTGCAGTGAGCTGAAATCATGCCACTGCACTCCAGCCTGGGAGACAGAGCAAGACTCTGTTTCAAAAAAAAAAAAAAAAAAAAGAAAAAGAAAAAAGAAAGGAGCATGCTAATACCTATTTGATCTTTTATTTTCCTTTCCTTCCCTCCCTCCCTCCCTCCCTTCCTTCCTTCCCTCCCTCCTTCCTTTCTTTTTCTTTCTTTCTTTCTTTTTTTCTTGAGACGGTCTCACTGTGTTGCCCAGGCTGGAGTGCGGTGGCACAATCTCTGCCCACTCCAGTCATGAACTCCTGGGCTCAAGCAATGCTCCCATCTCATCTTCCCGAGTAGCTGGGACTACAGGCATTCACCACCGTGTCTGGCTTATTTTTTGTAATTTTTTTGTGGAGACGGGGTTTCACTATGTTGCCCAGGCTGGTCTCAAACTCCTGGCCTCAAGTGGTACCCCCACCTTGGCCTCCCAAAGTGCTGGCATTACAGGCAGGAGCCATCGTGCCCAACCTATAATACTTGATTCTTTTCTTTCATGCATTATTATTGTTATTATTAAGACAGAGTCTTGCTCTGTCGCCCAGGCTGCAGTGCAGTGGCGCGATCTCGGCTCACTGCAACCTCCTTCTCCCGACTTCAAGCAATTCTCTGCCTCAGCCTCCCGAGTAGCTGGGACTACAGGCATACGCCACCACACCCGGCTAATTTTGTATTTTTAGTAGAGACGGGGTTTCTCCATGTTGGTCAGGCTTGTCTCGAACTCTTGACCTCGTGATCCGCCCGCCTCGGCTTCCCAAAATGCTGGGATTACAGGAGTGAGCCACCGCGCCCGGCCGATCAGTACTTTTTAAAAACTTTTAGGTTCAGGGTACACGTACAGGTTTGTTATATAGATAAACTTGTGCCACGGGAGTTTGTTGTACAGATGGTTTCGTCACCCAGGTACTAAGCCTAGTACCCGAGATGACAACTTCTGAAAATAAAATAATCTGATAAAAGCGATGGACATTCTCTTTCACTTCCAGGTGGCGTGGCGCCGCGCCCCTCCTGCAGAGCTGAGTCGTTCATTGGCCAGTGGGGTCCCCGTGCCCCGCACCGGGCTTCGCTCGGCCCCGCCTCCCCGCCTAGGGTGGCTCCTGCGCAGATGCCTTGAGCGTTGCTCCGAGTCCTCCAGCCCACCGAGTCCTCCTCCTAGAGCGGCCCCAGAAGAAGCGCTTCCTCCTCCCTCTCGGGAGCCAACGAAACCGACACCCGGAAGCCTAGTCGCCCGGAGGTTCTGAGCGTTCTGTTCGGACCTCCTACCGTTACTCTTTCATTCACTCAAGAAATGATTTCTTGAGTTCCCGGCCTTTGTCAGAGAGATGAACGAGGCACGGTCCGTGTCCAGCTAAAGGACAGTAGGACTGGAAGAGCGTTGTTTTCCAAGGTACAGGATGCCGCGCCTCCTAGGAGCCGAAGGGACGGGAGGCCGCGTAGAGGAGGGGACCGTCCCCGAGCCTCGCCGAGCCTGCGGTGTAGACACCTCTGGTGTCTAGTGGTTGAGGATCTGTTGACCGGGCATGGTGGGTAGAAGGAACGCTCCGAGCAGAAGAAAAGTGGCTGTCGTGAAGACATCTGCGTGTGCGGGGTGCGTGGGTGCCTGGAGATGAAGCTGGAAAGGTGAGCAGGGGCGGGCCTGGAGGGCTTCGTGTGCGTGGTAAGAAATTTAAACAGGATCCTGAGTAGCCTAGACGGTATTTTAGGGGCTTTTTTTGTTTTTGTTTTTTTGTGAGACAGATTCTAGCTCTGTCACCCAGGTTGGAGTGCAGTGGCTAGATCTTGGCTCACTGCAGCCTCCGCCTTCCGGGTTCAAGCGATTCTCCTGCCTCAGCCTCCCGAGTAGCTGGGATTACAGGCGCGCGCCACCACAACTAGCAAATTTTTGTATTTTTAGTAGAGACGGGGTTTCGCCATGTTTGCCAGGCTGGTCTCGAACTCCTGACCTCCAGTGATCTTCCCGCCTCGGCTTCCCAAAATGCTGGGATTACAGGCGTGAGCCACCACGGCCGGCCTAGGCTGTATTTTCATCTGGACATATGAGCTTGTATTTGCACTTCGAAATACACCAGGTAACCAGGTTGGGTTGAGGAGGAAAAGTATGCAGCCTGTTTGGGTATGGTGACAGAATCGAGGCAGGGACGGCCTGACATGTGTTTATTGGTGAGCAGTCTTGTGTCTCTTCCATTGACATGTAACTCTCATGAGAGCAAGGACTATTACCTCTTTAGTTCATTTGTCTTACCCAGCACTTAGAAGAGCGACTGGCCTGGCACACGGTAGGTTCTTTTTTTTTTTTTTTTTTTTTTTTGAGATGGAGTCTCTCTCGTCGCTCAGGCTGGAGTGCGATGGCACGATCTTGGGGCCCACTGTAACCTCCGCCTCCTGGTTTCAAGCGATTCTCCTGCCTCAGCCTCCCAAGTAGCTGGGATTACAGGTGCCCGCCACCATGCTTGCCTAATTTTTGTATTTTTAGTAGAGATGGGGTTTCACCATGTTGGCCAGGCTAGTCTGGAACTCCGGACCTCAGGTGATCCGCCCACCTCAGCCTCCCAAAGTGCTGGGATTACAGGCATGAACCACCATGCCCGGCTGGTAGGTTCTTTTTGTAAGATTTTTATGTATTTATTTTTAACTTAGTGTTGGGGTCTCGCTGTGTTGCCCAGGCTGGTCTCGAACTTCTGAGCTCAAGCAATCCTCCCACCTCAGCCTCCTAAACATAGTAGGTTCTTAAATGTTTTGATGGGTGAATGAATTAATTGATAGTTGACAGGACTTTCTAACTGGATAGCAGATGGAACTGGGAAGTAGAGGAGACAGATTACTGAAAATTGGAAGAACGCAAATATGGAATCCTGTTCAGCGGGTGTTTGCTGAGCCCTTCTTGTGCAAAAGGCTGAAGCGGGAAGTGCAAAATAGGCCCCAGCTGCTGGTGTACTCCAGGGAGGGGTCCAGAGCCCAGAATCTGCCCATATACACCAGTTCTAGGTCTTAGTCTCACCAACCTAAGATGTCAGTTTCCTTTCTGCTCACCCACCTGTCTGAATTTGAGAAGTAGATACTTCTTTGTTTTGTTTTGAGTATTACTGTCCACAGGCATAGAATCCATGTGACTGTGACTTTAAGGCTGTATATTATTCCATTATATTGATGTATTATCATTTAATAAAACCATTCCCTGGCATTTTTGTTGTTTGTTTACCTTCACAGATAATGCAGGAATGAATATCTTCATGTCTTCCTTTTCTTCCATTTTTTTTCTTTCATCATTTTCCCAGAGGAGTAATTTTTGTTCTGTTTTGTTTTGTGTTGTTTTCTTTTCTTTTTTTTGAGACAGCGTTTCGCTCTTGTTGCCCAGGCTGGAGTGCAATGGCGCAATCTCGGCTCACCACAACCTCCGCCTCTCAGGTTCAAGTGATTCTTCTGCCTCAGCCTCCCAAGTAGCTGGGATTATACGCATGCACCACCATGCCCGGCTAATTTTGTATCTTTAATAGAGACGGGGTTTCTCCATGTTGGTCAGGCTGGTCTCTAAGTCCCAACCTCAGGTGATCCGCCCGCCTCGGCCTCCCAAAGTGCTGGGATTACAGGCGTGAGCCACTGCGCCTGCCTTGTTTTGTTTTGTTTTGACAGCATCTCGCTCTGTCGCCCAGGCTGGAGTGCAGTGGTGCAATCTCGGCTCACTGCAGCCTCCACCTCCCAGGTTCAAGCGATTTTCCTGCCTCAGCCTCCCGAGTAGCTGAGAGTACAGGCACGTTCCACCTTGCCTGGCTAATGTTTGTATTTTTAGTAGAGACAGGGTTTTACCATATTGGCCAGGCTGGTCTCGAACTCCTGACCTCAAATGATCCACCCATCTCGGCCTCCCAAAGTGCTGGGATTACAGGTGTGAGCTACTGTGCCCAGCCAAGTTAAGGGCTTTTTATGTAAGCTTGATCACGTAGACATGATCGATTATTAACTCAATCTCCAGCTCCTCTCTCTTCCCCAAAGGATGAGGGGGGAGGCTAAAAGTTCAAGCTTAAGAGGCTAAACTTCAAATCCTGGCTTGGTCTTCCTGGTGACCAGCCCTCATCCTGATGCTGTCCAGGAGCCCAGCGAGTCACTTCATTAGAAGAAAAGGCACTCCTGTCACTCAGGATGTTGCAAGGGATTTTGGAGCTCTGTGTAAGATGCTCTTATTGGCCGGGCGCCGTGGCTGACACCTGTAATCCCAGGACTTTGAGAGGCCAAGGCGGGCGGATTGCTTGAGCTCAGGAGTTCCAGACCAGCCTGGGCAACAAAACAGCCTGAACAACATGGCAAAACCCCGTCTCTACAAAAAAATACAAAAATTAGCCGGGTGTAGTGGTGTGTGCCTGTGGTCCCAGCTACTTGGGAGGCCAAGGTGGGAGAATCGCCTGACTTGGGAGGTCGAGGCTGCAGTGAGCCAGGATCCCGCCACTGCAGTCAAAGCTGGGGTCAGAGTGAGACGCTGTCTCCAAAAAAAAAAAAAAAAAGATGCTCTTATTACTTCTATCACTCAGGAAATTACAAGGATTTTAGGACCTTTGTGTTGGGAACCAGGGCAGAGACCAAATATATATATGTGTGTGTATGTATATATGTATATATATATATATATATTTTTTTTTTTTGAGACAGAGTTCGTTCTTATTGCCCCGGCTGGAGTGCAATGGCGCGATCTGTGCTCACCGCAACCTCCACCTCCTGGGTTCTAGCGATTCTCCTGCCTCAGCCTCCTCAATAGCTGAGATTACAGGTGCTTGTCACCACGCCCGGCTAATTTTTATATTTTTAGTAGAGACGGGTTTCACCATGTTGGTCAGGCTGGTCTCGAACTCCCGCCCTCAGGTGATCTGCCCGCCTCGGCCTCCCAAACTGCTGGGATTACAGGCATGAGCCACCGGGCCTGGCCCCAAATATATAGGTCTTATTATGTCACAGTGCTTTTATTTGTTGAGTTATTTTTTTCTGTTTTCCCCATGAAAATGTAAGCTCCACCTTGGCTTACACTGTGCCAGGCTACTATTTGTAGGCAACTAATTGAGCACCTACTACACAGCAGGAGCTCAATTAGTATTTCTTGAATGAATTAAATCATGAGGGAATGAATGAGCCAAATAAGCAATGGAGGAGGAGACAGATGTTCCAAACAGAGAGGACTGCCTGTGTAGCGGAGCTGTGGCCACCAGGGGTTTGAGAGCTGAAGGAAGGCCTATAGGGCCAGTGTACATAGTACATACCAGGAGAGGTAGTGATAGATGAGGAAGAGAATTAAGCATGGCTAGATCCTAACGGACCTTGAAGGCTGTGTTTGTTTTAAGGGCAATGAGAAGGCATGAAAGGGTTTTTTTTTCAGACGGAGTCTCGCTCTGTCACCCATGCTGGAGTGCAGTGGCGTGATCTCGGCTCACTGCAAGCTCCACCTCCCGGGTTCACGCCATTCTCCTGCCTCAGCCTCCCGAGTAGCTGGGACTACAGGCGCCCGCCACCACGCCCGGCTAATTTCTTTTTTGTATTTTTGGTAGAGACGGGGTTTCACCATGTTAGCCAGGATGGTCTCGATCTCCTGACCTCGTGATCTGCCCGCCTCGGCCTCCCAAAGTGCTGGGATTACAGGCGTGAGCCACCGCGCTCAGCCATTGGGTGTAAAATTAACAGGGACTACTTTCTATCACTATGTCGGAGGTGGATGACTATGCTAACTAGACTTGAAAAGCTACAGACTACGGATCTCTTCATTGGCACACAACTGAGCCACCTGAGTAAATCACTCTCCCTTCATCCCTTGTTGACATTCAGCAAATCCTGATGGTGCTTCTGCCATGCACCAGGCCTCTACCAAGGGCTGCAGCAAATATAAACATGACTGTGGTTCAGGCTGCCCCCCAAAAAGGAGCCTCCTAATAGAAGGAGTGCCCCCTTCATCTTCCTGTGTCCCCTGCCCTGCCAGTGTTTGCCTCCCGTCTTCAGTCCTGTTTTCAGTCACCTGCTTCATATCGTGTCCATCTTTTTTATTTTTTATTTTTTTAGAGATGGAGTTTCGCTCTCGTTACCCAGGTTGAAGTGCAGTGATGGGATCTCGGCTCACTGCAGCCTCCACCACCTGGGTTCAAGCGATTCTCCTGCCTCAGCCTCCCAAGTAACTGGGATTACAGGCACCCACCACCATACCCGGCTAATTTTTTTTGTGTGCATATATATATATATATATTTTTTTTTTAATTAAAAAGTAAACTTTAATGTTGAAAATGCAAACTTGGGGAGGGCAGAAAGATCACATACAAGGCTGTCACTTCACACTTGGAAGGTTGCACAGCGGCTGGGCAGAGGTGCATTTTTTGTATTTTTAGTAAAGATGGGATTTCATCATGTTGGCCAGGCTGGTCTCGAACTCCTGACCTCAGGTGATCCACCCGCTTTGGCCTCCCAAACTGCTGGGAATACAGGCGTGAGCCACTGCACTCAGCCCTAGTGTCCTTTGTGCCACCCCAAGGCCCAGGCAAAATTAGGTGCTGTATACTTCTCTGAATGAACATGAAGTTTTCCCCTTGAGGCTTATGCTAGTGGGCAGCCAGTTCCCCAACCTGGGGATTCTCTCAAGGCTTACAGAGCTTACTGTATCAGTCATTTCAACCATCCACGCCAAATAGGGAAGAATAACTCTTGTCTTTCTAACTCACGAGACTATTATGAGGAGAAAAATATTAGAGGCTTGGCTGGGCACGGTGGCTCACGCCTGTAATCCCAGCACTTTGGGAGGCCGAGGCAGTCTGATCACCTGAGGTCAAGAGTTTCAGACCAGCCTAGCTGACATGGTAAAACCCCATCTCTGCTAAAAATACAAAAATTAGCTGGGTGTGATGGCCGGCGCCTGTAATCCCAGCTACTTGGGAGGCTGAAGCAAGAGAATCGCTTGAACCCAGGAGGCGGAGGTTGCAGTGAGCCGAGATTGTGCCACTGCGCTCCAGCCTGGGTGACAGAGCGAGAAACTGTCTCGGAAAAAAAAAACAAAAAACAAAAAACAACCTGGGTGTGGTGGTGCACACCTGTAGTCCCAGCTTCTTGGGAGACTAAGGCAGGAGGATTACAGGAGCTCAGGAGGTCAAGGCTGCAGTAAGCTCTGATTGTGCCGCTGCATGCACTCCAGCCTGGGCCACAGAATGAGACCCTGTCTCTAAAAAATAATAAAAATTAAAGGGGCTTTGCAAACGCGGAAGGTGTCTGGATGATTATCCCCTGCATGTGCAGTGCCTTGTTTACAATTAATTTGCTTTTTCCGTGTTTATTCAACAAATATTTATTGAGCCCTCACTCTCTGCCAAGCCCTGTGCTAGATGCTGGATAAGCAAGGTAAGTCTCTGCCCTCAAGGAACTTACACTCCAATGTGACTCAAGGGGAAAAGAATTTGAAAGTTGCTACTTACCCAGTCCCCTCACTGCACAGAAACTGAAGCCAGAGGTGTCCACACCTTTCTCCTTCCCATGCTCTGATAGCTCCTCACTGCTAAGCTCCCCATTGCCCGTGACCCCATGTGGCAGGTTTCCCGCCTGGGGTGCACTCCCAAAATGGTTTATGTAAATAATATTGAAAATTGGACCTTCTCTGCCAATAATGGGGCCGTTGCTTTTTGAAAAACTTCCCGTTGATAGTGTCTCCTATGACTACCCCTGTGTGGCTGTGTGGTTTACAGATCCAGTTGCCTCTGCTCTTGCATTGTGAGAGTCAGCAGAGGCCCAAGAAACCCCGATACTAGTTTGCTGCTGTTGGTGGGTTTTTTGAGACAAGGTCTCTGTCGCTCAAGCTGGAGTGCAGTGGCGCGATAACTCACTGCAGCCTCGAACTCCCGGACTCAAGCGATCCTCCTGCCTCAGCCGCCCCAGTAGCTGGGAGTACAGGTGCACGCCACCACGCCGGTTGATTTTTTTAAAAATTTTGTAGAGATAGGGTCTCGCTATGTTGCTCAGGCTGGTCTTGAACTCCTGGCCTCCAGCGATCTTCCCGCCGCGGCCTCCCAAGTTGTTGGGCTTCGGACGTGAGCTACGCGCCGGGCTCCCGGTTCTAGTTAAGATTTTGTTGCAGGCGATGAATAGTCACGTGGCCTCCAAGGTCCTAGATTTCTGAGGGGCGTCAGCTTGGCACCCTAATGTACTGTGATCTCTGGTCAGCTACCCACCCTCTTTTTGCTGTTTTCATCCTGGGGGCTAACCGCCAAGACATGGCCTCCAGTTTCCCTAGGGAAGCCTCCACAGAGGAAGGCACCGGCTGAGGCACCTGGGAAGACCAACCTGGGGAAGGTCTCCCTGCGCGCAGTCTGCGGGCTGGAGGGACCGGCCGAGCCTGCGCACTAGCGCCCCGCCGGCGCTGCTGAACTGAGAGGAAGGGGCGGGGCGTCGCCAGGTCGTGCCAGCATCCGCCGGACGCCGGAAGTGGTTCTCCGCCCCTGCCACTGGGCCATGGAGACTGTGGCACAGTAGACTGTAGTGTGAGGCTCGCGGGGGCAGTGGCCATGGAGGCCGTGCTGAACGAGCTGGTGTCTGTGGAGGACCTGCTGGTGAGGCCTGGCCCGGACAGAGGGAAAGGGAAGGTCGGAGGGCGGGTCCTGAGGAGAGTCAGGTAGGGGCCGAACCCTCCTCCCGGCATCGGCTTGGCCGAGGGAAGCCGAACTACGGCTCCCGGCAGCCTCCACAGCGCCTGGCTCCTGCCCGGAGGGCCTGCTATGCCGCAGAGGCTCCTGGGAGTTGTAGTGTCCTGAGCCCCCCACACCTCAGACTACGGGCCTGGAGCCCGACCGTGGTTAGACTGACGGGATCTGGGATCATGCAGGAGCTGTGAGCTCAGGGCGCTCCTCCAGCGGTGGAGGAATACAGTGACCATCATAAGGTGTCACCTATTACTGCGTCCGGCACGGTGCTAAGGCATCGCATGCCAGATCTCAGTCTTTGTAGCTCTAGGAGGTAGGCACTACTTCTATTCCTGGACAATAAAAGGTCCAGGCCCGGCAGGGTGGGGCAGGATGGGGCCAGCAGCCTCAAATGAGGACCGCGTGGGCTGTTGAGCAGTTCTGACAGCGTGTTTACTGTTCGGCCGCCGGGGTCAGCTGCTCCGGGAGCGGTGCCTGGAGCTGCCACCAGGTGGCATCTCCGCTCGGTACCGCCGCGGGGAGGGGAGACCGGGGGCCTCTGTCCCAAGAGCTGGCCCGCAGGCCCGGAGGAGCCGAAAGCCTGGGTCCCGGGCATGGAGATAGCAGAAGCTGGGGTGCCAGATACCGAGACCTGCGAGGGAAAGGGGCAGAGCCAGGGAGATGGCATGTCCAGATAGAGAATGGTTGACGCCCTACATTTCTAAATGATTCCTTTCCTCCCCTGTGGCAGAAGTTTGAAAAGAAATTTCAGTCTGAGAAGGCAGCAGGCTCGGTGTCCAAGAGCACGCAGTTTGAGTACGCCTGGTGCCTGGTGCGGAGCAAGTACAATGATGACATCCGTAAAGGCATCGTGCTGCTCGAGGGTGAGGCGCTGTACTCTCCCTTTCCCGCTGCCATCTGGGCTGCTCTGCGATGTGGGCCCCGTAGTCCAGGCACCTCTGAGTTGTCTCCGGTAGATTTACTGCACCAAGGGCTATACTTAGCTTGACGTCTCCCAGTGAACTTTTGGCTACTTACCGCCCACCATTGTTTTGCCAGACAGAGTGTAGCATGTCAGTTCCCCCAGGACTGTCTTGATCTGGGAAAGTGACTTGAGGTCACCCAACTAATCAGTTAATGGCTGAATTGGGACTAGAAGCTCCTGTTTTGTGAGACCTAGGCCCATGCCCTTCCCCCCAACACCACCACCGTGTTGCTTAGCAGCTATTGAGAATCTTTTGTGGCATGGAAGAGGTACAGAGGACTGTCCTACAAAATTGTGAGCAGATAGTGCTTTTTGTTTTTTGTTTTTGTTTGAGACGGAGTCTTGCTCTGTCCCCCAGGCTGGAGTACAGTGGCGCTGTCTCAGCTCACTGCAACCACCACCTCCCGGTTCAAGCAATTCTCCTGCATCAACATCCTGAGTAGCTGGGATTACAGGTGCCCACTACCACGCCCAGCTAATTTTTGTATTTTTTGTAGAGATAGGGTTTCACCATGTTGGTCAGGCTGGTCTCTAACTCCTGACCTCAGGTGATCTGCCCACCTCGGCCTCCCACAGTGTTGGGATTACAGGTGTGAGCCACCTCGTCCAGCCAGATAGTGCTTTTTGGATGGGAACCCTATTTCCTATTGGTTTTAGGTGGGTCATCATTTGTCAGAGGCCACAATACTTAACCACTTAGTTTCTCTGTAGCTCCTTGTGTTCAAATAATCATTTATAAGCACACAGTCAGTGTACAGCCATCCCTCTGTAGCCATGGGGGATTGGTTCTAGGAACCCCACCCCCACAGATACCAATAGCCACCCAAGTCCCGTATATAAAATCGCATGGTATTTACATGTAACCTGTGCACCTTCTCCCATATACTTTAAATCATCTGTAGATTACTTATAATACCAAATACAATGTAAATGCTGTGTAAATAGTATACTGTATTGTTTAGGGAATAATGGCAAGAAAAAAAGGTCTGTTCATGTTCAATACAGATGCAACTATCTTTTTTTTTTTTCTGAGTATTTTTGATCCATGGTTCGTTGAATCTATGAATACAGAATGCTGACTGTGTTAGCAAAGGATGCCTATTGAAAATCTATAAAAATGGCCAGGCACAGTGGCTCACACCTGTAATCCCAGCACCTTGGGAGGCCAGGGCAGGCGGATCACGAGGTCAGGGGTTCGAGACCAGCCTAATCAACATGGTGAAACCCTGTCTCTACTAAAAATACAAAAATTAGCTGGGCCTGGTGGCGCACACCTTTAATCCCAGCTACGCAGTAGGCTGAGGCAGGAGAATCACTTGAACTCGGGAGACAGAGGTTGCAGTGAGCCAAGATCACGCCATTGCACTCCAGCCTGGGCAACACAGTGAGACTCCGTCTCAAAAAAAAAAAAAAAAAAACTATAAAAATAAGACTCTTTCTTAAAAGATACAAATAATTTTACCCTATGTTTGTCTACTTCGGCAATTCAGATTTTCAGGTTTATTCTACAGCAGGGTGTAGGTGTAGAAGAAACAGCCTCTCTAAGTGTTGCCAGTCTAGTTGAGAAAACAGTACAGACAGGAAGATTTATAAACACCTGCAGAATTATTTAGCAACAAATTCTAGTGCATACAGTACAGTTATCCTCTGGGAAGTCTCTGAATTAAGAAAGTCAGGTGGGGCCAGGCACTGTGGCTCATGCCTGTAATCTCAGCACTTTGGGAGGCCAAGGCCAGAGGATGGCTTGAAGTCAGGAATTTGAGACCACCTGGCCTGTCTGTGTAACAAAGATGTTTAAATTAGCCAGGCATGGTGGTGTGTGCTTATAGTCCCAGCTACTTGGGAGGCTGAGGCAGGAGGATCACTGACCCCAGGAGTTTGAGGCTGCAGTGAGCCATGGACATGCTACTGTGCTCCAGACTGGAGTGACAGAGCGAGACCCTGTCTCCGTTTTTTGTTTTTTTTTTCCCGAGACTGAGTGTGCAATGGTGCAATCTTGGCTCACCGCAACCTCTGCCTACCGCATTCAAGCAATTCTGCTGCCCCAGCCTCCCGAACAGCTGGGATTACAGGCATGTGCCAACACGCCCGGCTAATTTTGTATTTTTAGTAGAGACGGGGTTTCTCCATGTTGGTCAGGCTGGTCTCAAACTCCCGACCTCAGGTGATCCGCCCGGCTCAGCTTCCCAAAGTGCTGGGATTATAGTCATGAGCTACGGCTCACGGCCCACCCTGTCTCTTTAAAAAAAAAAAAAAAAAAAAAAAAAAGGAAGGAAGACAAAGTCAGGTGGGGTCTTCGGGGAAGGCTGATTGAAGGTGAGTTTTGAGCTGATTTTTTTAAAGGGGGAGGGAGTCCTAACTTTTTTTTTTTTAAACAATAATTGTACAGCAGGCAGTTTAGTTAAAACCACAACGGCAGCACTTTGGGAGGCCAGGGCAGGCAGATCACTTGAGGTCAGGAGTTTGAGACCAGCCTGGCCAACATGGTGAAACTCCATCTCTACTGAAAATACAAAAATTAGCCAGGCGTGGTGGCGGGCACCTGTAATTCCAGCTGCTCGGGAAACCGAGGCAGGAGAATCGCTTGAACCCAGGAGGCGAAGGTTGCAGTGAGCCGAGATCACGCCATTGCACCGCAGCCTGGGCGACGAGTGAAACTCCGTCTGAAAAAAAATACCACAGCAGATGCCAAAACTGAGTCACGCTGCCTTTGGCTTCTCCAGGGCCCCGATTTCCTCATTTCAGTTGGATGGACCAGTTGACTGTAATACTGATAAAAGGCATGTTCTGTCACTGGGGTGTTGGCACAGCTGGGGTTCACCCTGTCCCAGAGCTCTGGCTAGGGTGCTGGGAGTGACTGGAGCTGAAAGGGAGGCTTAGGACTGTGACCCTCCCAGGATCACAGAGGCATTCAGAGAGTGGAAGGGGCCTCTGGGACACAGTATTAGGAAAGTATTAGGAAAGAAGCATTTCTCACCCTCTTCTCTGCCCCTCCCCAGAGCTGCTGCCCAAAGGGAGCAAGGAGGAACAGCGGGATTACGTCTTCTACCTGGCCGTGGGGAACTACCGGCTCAAGGTGAGGTGGGGACCCCGTTCCCTTCACCCTCCTCTGGGGCTGCAGGACCTTCTTACTGTGTCCTCCAGGGTGGAGCCCTGGACAGCGGGAAGGCTGAAGGGGTGCAGAGGTGCAGAGCGGTGTCAGATGAGGACTCCGAGGGAAGATCAGAGTGGCGAGGGGGTGGGGAGGAAGGTGACGTCAAGAGACTGGGTGCAGGCCCAAGCCTTGCGCTGTTATCTCCCGCAGAGTTGGGGTTGTTTGTGGACTCTACTCCGTGGGGTGGGGCTGGAGGGAGGGAGTGGGTGGAGGTCGAGGGAGGAGCCCCCAGGGCTGAAGAAGGGAAGGCCCTTCACGTGGGCAGGGGGAGTGGTGGATACTGAGGTGTAGCCGGCCCAGTGGCTCACGCCTGTAATCCCGGCTACTCAGGAGGCTGAGGCGGGAGGACTGCTTGAGCCTGGGAGTTTGAGGTTGCAGTGGGCTGTGATTGCGACGCTGCCGTCCAGCGTGGGCAACAGAGCAAGACCCCGTCTCTTATTAAAAAACAAACAAACAAAAAAACACTGCGGTGTGTATGACGCGTGCGCGTTTCCCCGAGCGCAGGAATACGAGAAGGCCTTAAAGTACGTCCGCGGGTTGCTGCAGACAGAGCCCCAGAACAACCAGGCCAAGGAACTGGAGCGGCTCATTGACAAGGCCATGAAGAAAGGTGACAGCCTCGGCCCCTTTGTTCAGCCCCGCTCTTCCCCACGCCTGGGCACTTTGGTCTCTCTGTAAATGAACCCCTCCAGGCAGCCCCTCAGCCCCACCCCTTCCAGTTCTTAGAGCCCCTTGCCCTGCGACTCCAGGTAGGGGTGTGCCTCTGTTGAGGGGCAGGGCTGGCGGAAGGGGACGGTCAGGGTTTCCGCAGGGGCCGGGCTCCTGACACTGTCCCTTTCCTTCCCCAGATGGACTCGTGGGCATGGCCATCGTGGGAGGCATGGCCCTGGGTGTGGCGGGACTGGCCGGACTCATCGGACTTGCTGTGTCCAAGTCCAAATCCTGAAGGAGACGCGGGAGCCCACGGAGAACGCTCCAGGAGGGCCTGTCCATCCTCGCTGTCCTTTCCCTGTTCTCCCCCTGCCCCCCGTCTCTATCCTCTGTGGCCTTCAGCTAATTTCTGCTCCCCTGAGATTCGTCCTTCAGCCCCATCATGTGCTTTGGGATGAGTGTAAATAAAACGGGGCTGTGGCTTGGGAACCCCCGTGTCTGCGTTGAGGGGAGGGGTGGGTTCTGAACGCTGGGCACAGGGGGCGGAGACGTCACTCCTGGTCCTCTCCTGCCCCTGCCCTCCAGGTTGGCACGGGGTTCTTTGTCCACCCCGCAGCCCAGAGCCCACACCCTTCCTTCCTCCCTTTCCTGAAGCCATGTCCTTGAGAGTGCCGGGCAGCTCGGAGACATGGGGCTTTTCCATGGTCCCAGAGTCCTGGGAGAAGGCAGTGACCTGAGCATGGGCGGGCAGAACTTCGGGGCCAGGCCGGGCTTCAGGCCTGCATTCTCCTCTGACCCACTCAGCTACTTCTGTGGAGTTTTCCACAGCAGGCCCCCTTGGCTTCCTCCTCCCCACCCTCCCCTCCCTTTGTCTTCCTGTGGCCTCCCCTTCCTCCTACCTCCTCCTCTGGGGGAGGGGGAGCCCAGTAGGGGAAGGAATCCTGCATCTGGCATGGAGTAGGCGGGGGTCCCGGGAGAGGTCAGAGCCCAGGGAGCCCCAGCTCTCGCCTGTGGGCTGGAAGGTCAGGACTCAGCCCCACCTAGCCAGCTTCGCCCCCTCGTGCCAGGCTCGGCATGGGCCTGTTTTGCTTCACCGCATACCTCTCGTTCCACAGCCCAGGCCAGCACAGGAGTAGGGAGGAGACACCTGAGGGGAGGCCGGAGAAGCCCAGCAGGGCCGTGGGGCCAGGGAGGTGCGCAGCCAGCGCTGATGGCCCCCAGGGACAGAGCCCTAGGGAACCGGAGCAGGAGATGAGAGTGTCTGCTCTGGGACAGGTGCTCTGCACTGGCTCGGGATGGGGACCAGAGGCTGCTAATCCATCATCATTAACGAATAGAGTGGGTGACAGTCCCTGATAACTGGGAACAGGTTGCAGAGCTTAGCCACAGGATCACGCTCCAGGCTGTTGGCCAGCAGGACCAGGCTCGATGCTGAGTCAAAGATCAACTTAGGAGGAAATTTGAGTTTTGGGTGAGAGCGACTCCCTGGTGGCCTCAGCCCTGTGACACTCACATCCAGGACAGTTCCCGGTGCCAAGCGCTGGTTATGTGTGGGGGGCTTGACTCCCTGGTCCCAACGAGGTCTCAGTGTGTTGCCCAGGCTGGTCTTGAACTCCTGAGTTCAAGCAATCGTCTCAGCCCAGCCTCCCAAAGTGGTAGGATTACAGGCGAGAGCCACTGCGCCCGGCCCCTGGTCCCAGTTCTCACCACAGCCCCTGCAGTAAGCAGTCGGGTATGTCACTGACAGAGCAGAAGCTCAGGGGACTAAAACTCCCCGCCTGAGTTCCCTGGTGAATGGATGGTGGGGCCGAGTTCCATTCCAGGCTGGATGGAGCCCAGAGCTGTGGGTCTCCTACCCTCCCATCCCCTCATTCCAGCTTGATCTTCCTTAAGAGACTCATACGCCCCAACCCCTTGGTCTGAGTATCTTAGATTGTTCTCGTGGTTCCTCCGTCCTTCACCACTGAAGGCTGCTGTTCATTCTCTCTCCGTCTCTGTCCCTTATTGCTCTCACGTCTGTCTCTGTCATCTTTTCACTCCTTGTCCCTCTTACTCCGTTCTTTGGCCCCCAATGAAAGCTGAGTCAGAGACAGACGCTTCCCCTCAGTTCCCAGTGCCTCCCTTGGGGGCCCCTCCTTGGCTGTATCCGTCAGTGGCTCCAGGGTAAGTCTGCCCCCCCCACCCTCGTGGGGCGGGGAGCCCGGGGCAGCCCAGAGGCTGGGGGGAGGGGGTGGACTTTTGGCCCGTTTCGGTTATTCCCTCCATCTCGTCAACAGCTGCCGCGCGCAGGCTTAGCTCATTCCTCTGACCTGCCAGGAAGCAGAGAGACCCACAGAGCAGGAGGGAGGCAGAAAGTGGAGACGGACCTGAGCCCGAGGAAGAGGCAGGCAGAGGCTGAGGCTGATTCCACCCCAGCCTGCCTGGACAACCCTCCTTAGCCGCAGCCCCTTCCAGTTCCCTAGGGGTTCTGCCCCTCCCCCTCTCTGGGGCACCAGCCCCCCAGGGTCCTGCATCCCACCATGTCGATGGCTGTGGAAACCTTTGGCTTCTTCATGGCAACTGTGGGGCTGCTGATGCTGGGGGTGACTCTGCCAAACAGCTACTGGCGAGTGTCCACTGTGCACGGGAACGTCATCACCACCAACACCATCTTCGAGAACCTCTGGTTTAGCTGTGCCACCGACTCCCTGGGCGTCTACAACTGCTGGGAGTTCCCGTCCATGCTGGCCCTCTCTGGTATGGGGTGGGGAGCGCTCCAGGGAGAGAGGGCGGCGGGGAAGCTGCAGAGACCCCAGGGGAGGGCGGGTACTTCCGTGAGGATGCAGGGAGCCCTGAATTAAGCTCTGCGGGTCTGAGTTCCCGCAGCCAGGAGTGCTGGGGGCGGCCCATGCCTAGAACTGGAGTGAAGACCTTGCCACACGTGGCCCCCTGCGCTAGTGTGGCGCTTTTAGCTGTTACAGGTGCAGGCACCAGAATCAGACCCCCTTTCCCAGCCCTGTGCTGTGGGCAAATGATGAAACCAGCTTCATCTCCCACCTGTAGGGTTAGGGTGAGAGTCCCAGTTCACAGGTGACTGAGAAAGTGCAGAATGTTAGCGTGATGTTAACACACATAGGCACTCAGTACGGTTGAGCATGTTTTGGGGGTGGGATTGCTGGGGTGGGCAGGGGGAGGAGGCCCCATCTTGGATTCTTAGAGGTTGATCAACTTCCAGGCTCCACAGACTCCCCAGCCTCACTGTCGGGGGGCACTGGTCTCCTTGTCCGGCTGATGTCTATAAAGGGCCCCTGTGAAGGGAGGCGTCTTGCAAGTTGCAGGTTGAGCGTCCGCTGTAAGGAGGCGGTGTGTGTGCAGGTGTGTGGGGCTTCCAGGACAGTGTCTTTCTGGGGTCTTAGAGGGCTGGAGCCAACAGCTCTTTGGGCCCAGGGCAGTTCTTTCTGTGGCTGCGGCACCTTCCCGCTCCCTGCTCCCCGCTAAGATGAGGCCGCCCCATTGTTTCTCCGGGGCAGTCTCCCTTCCGTCTGCCCTATGCCAGAGACTGAGCGCTGGCGACCGTGAACTGTGTGTGGTGCCGCTGCACGCCCTCCTGGGTCCTTCAGGGCCAGTCCACTCACCAGGCACCGTGTGGCAGGGAAGGAGCCGAGGGCGACACTGGCTGTGAAGCGGGGCTTGAGAGCTCACCCCCGGGGATGTTGGAGCTGCTCTGAGCAGTTAGGGGGCCTGGGTGGGTCTCCTGTGCCCCCACTACTCCCAGCCCCTCCTGAGGCAGCGGCAGAGGCTTCCTGTTTTCATCCATCTCTCTAGGACTGACTGTATGCAGGGCCGGCGGGCCCCCCCCCCAAAAAAAACCCTATAAAAGCTGAGTACAACTTGGGCCAGAACCCCAGAGTTCTGAGTGTCCAGAAGGGACACTGGAGGCAGCCCCTACACCCACTTCCCAGACACATCATGCTGTGAGGAGGGGGCTCTGCTGTGAGCCTGCACACCTGAGAGGGGCACCCCTGGCAACTGCATGAAAGATGGTGCCAGAGTCCCCAGGGCACAGGGGTAGAGGGTGACCAGGTTCCGGGCCTTGGGCTAGGTGCTTCTGCCTACATTTTTCCACAGTGGGGAAGTAGGGGGAAACTTTTACAGAAGCAAGGTGCAGCACCCCACCCTGAATCACACAGGCAGGAGAGGGGAGCCGGCATTCAGACTCCACGGCTGGGGTGGTCCTGGGAGAGGGACCTGACTGCGTCTCCCAACCGTGCACCCCAGCCCCTGGCCACGCAGCCCATGTGCCCCTGGGCTCTTCCATAATCTCTCCATTGACTGCTAGAGCCACCTGGGGACTCAGACTCGTGTCAGCCCCAGAGGGAGTGGCTGGGAGGAAGAAAGTGCTCCCAGAGAACTTTGTCCCTCCTGCCTACCCCCCGACTCTGCACCCTGCATCTCCTGGCAGGGACCCAGCCTTTCCCCTTCAGCACCAACAGTTATGCCCCACCCGGGAAAGGGGTGCAAGGTCCTTGGAATGCTTGGCAACTATCAAAGACAGAGAAGGGAGGAGAAGGGGGAAGCAAGAGGGAGCCCGCAGCCTCCAGCTCTGAGAAAAGGGAAACTGAGGCACTGAAAGACTGAGCTAGACTGACCTGGATCGGTCCTGGGCCCAGGATTCCACCTAGGTCAGAAACTCCACCGGGTGTGGTGGTCCACACCTGTAACCTGAGCTACTCAGGAGGCTGAGGCAGGAGGATCGCCTGCATCCAGGAGTTCAATCAAGGCTACAGTGATGAGCTGTAGTGGCGCCACTGTCCTCTGGCCTGGGCGACAAAGCAAGACCCTGTCTCTAAAACTGCCCTAGGCCCTCTGCTGTACAGCACCGCTGCCCCCTACCTGTTACTCCAGGAAGAAACCAAGGTCAAAATGTCCAGCACTGGGCTAGGACAGTGAAGGACTTGGAGTGGAATCAGACGTGGGGAAGGCGACAGCGATGCTTAGCTGTGGTTTCTGTATACCCAGCAACGTGAGAGCAACCTGATAGGGCAGTTGTTCTCAGCCGGGCGACTTTGCACAATGATTGTCACAGCTTGTGGGGAGGGGGTTGCTACTGGCACCCCGTGGGTAGAGGTCAGGGAGGCTTCTGAACATCCCACAGTACACAGGACGGCCCCCAGAATAGAGTTGCCCAGCTCAGGTGTCAAGAGTGCCCAGGAGAAAGCCTGTAATCCAGGCACAAGCAAAGCGTGCCAGGTGCATGGGAGGAGTGGGGAGCAGGGTGGGAGGGGCCCAGATGCCTAAGGAGGGAAGGGTGACTGCAACTGGGTAGGCTGGAGGAGCCCAGGGGAAGGAGAGGATGTGGGGACTGTTAGGTACAAGAGAGCAAGAAGGTGAGGGGGGCCTGGCACAGTGGCTCATGCCTGTAATCCCAGCACTTCAGGAGGCCGAGGCAAGCAGATCATTTGGGGTCAGGAGTTCGAGACCAGCCTGGACAACATGGTGAAACCCTGTCTCTACTAAAAACAGAAAAATTAGCCGGGCGTGGTGGTGCGTGTCTGTAATCCCAGCTACTGGGGAGGCTGAGGCAGGAGAATCACTTGAACCTGGGATGGTGAGGGGCTGTTGGGCTGGCTCCGTCGCAGAGGGGAGATGGGAAAGGCTGACAACTGTGCCCACCCCCAGGGTATATTCAGGCCTGCCGGGCACTCATGATCACCGCCATCCTCCTGGGCTTCCTCGGCCTCTTGCTAGGCATAGCGGGCCTGCGCTGCACCAACATTGGGGGCCTGGAGCTCTCCAGGAAAGCCAAGCTGGCGGCCACCGCAGGGGCCCTCCACATTCTGGCCGGTAACTGGGGGAAGGTGATGGGGCGGGGGTCCCCCTCAACCGCAGACTTCAGGCTGCTTTGTCCTCATCTAATCTCCTCTCCAATTCCCACTCCTCATGCTCACCTCCCCTACCCTGCTGCATGGACACCTGCTCACCCCTGCCTCATCTGTACTCCCCAGATCTCCTGGCTGCAAATCAGCCCATCGGCAGTGTTTCTTGAGCTCCCAGTAGGGGCTGGCCACGGCCAGGTGTGGGAGGGACTTCGAAGATAAGAGTGAGCGGCTGCCTCCGGGAGCTTACATCCTAGCTGGGGAGCAGAGTTAGGGTGCACGCTATGGCGCACACACACAGTGCACGTCCACAGTGCCATACCACGGGGCATGGTGGCTCATGCCTGTAATCCCAGCACTTTGGTAGGCTGAGGTGGGTGGATTACTTGAGGTCAGGAGTTCAAAACCAGCCTGGCCAACATGGTGAAACCCTGTCTCTACTAAAAATACCAAAAAAAAAAAAAAAAAAAAAAAAAAAAAATTAGCCAGGCGTGGTGGCAGGCACCTGTAGTCCCACTGACTTGGAGGCTGAGGCAGGAGAATCACCTGAACCTGGGAGGCAGAAGTTGTAGTAAGCCAAGATTGTGCCACTGCATTCCAGCCTGGGTGAAAGAGTGAGACTGTCAAAAAAAAAATGGCCAAGGCAGGAGAACTGCCTTGAGCCCAGGAGTTCCAGACTAGCCTGGGCAGCATAGTGAGAACCCGTCTCAGCAAAAAACAAAAACAATGCCATCTGGCCATTGCTTTTCAATTTGCAGAACATTTCTGTACCCATTGCCTCACAATAAGCCTTTGAGGTAGGGTGGGTATTGCTTGTTTTCCAGAGGTAAAACAGGCCCAGAAAGGTCAGGTGGCTTGCAAGAGGACAAGCCCCCAGTGAGTAGGGTGGTGCTAGCCCGGGGGTCTGCCTGGCTTCAGGAAAGGACGACCCTGGACTCCCATGGCCCAGCTGGGTTTTCAAGGTTTCAAGGGTGGGCGGGATTTGGATGGGGCTCCATCTGGGTGAGGAGATGATGGGATGAAGGCCCTAGAGGTGGGCATGAACTAGGTAGATCTGGGACCAAAGAGAGAAGAGGCAGGAGGAGGTTGAGGTAGTGTGAGATGAGCTGGGTGGGCTGGACTTGGGGCCTAAGGGCTACCCTGAGAAGTTGACCCCAGGAAGGAGGAAGGCTTATAAACTGGGGTGGGGAGAAAGGAATTGAGTGAAATTGCTGCTCTGGGACTTGGTGCCCCCGTCCTACTCTGGGCAGCCCCTGCCTGCCTCTCCCCTAAGCCCCCTCCCCCACTATCCCTCCCCCTGGACTGGACTGGGGTCGTCCTCCGGTCCCCAGGTATCTGCGGGATGGTGGCCATCTCCTGGTACGCCTTCAACATCACCCGGGACTTCTTCGACCCCTTGTACCCCGGAACCAAGTGAGTGAGGAAACCCCCCACCCCCCGCCCTCGGGGCAGCGGGTGGGACTCAGCCCTGCCCCCCGGCTGGCGTCTCACTTGTCCCCCGCCCCCGCGCCGCCCTTGTGCGCAGGTACGAGCTGGGCCCCGCCCTCTACCTGGGGTGGAGCGCCTCACTGATCTCCATCCTGGGTGGCCTCTGCCTCTGCTCCGCCTGCTGCTGCGGCTCTGACGAGGACCCAGCCGCCAGGTGAGCAGGGTGAGGCGCAGGCTGGGGCCGGGCGGGATTGGAGAGAGGAGGGCCGCGCCCCCGCTCTGACCCCGGGCCCTCCCCGCAGCGCCCGGCGGCCCTACCAGGCTCCAGTGTCCGTGATGCCCGTCGCCACCTCGGACCAAGAAGGCGACAGCAGCTTTGGCAAATACGGCAGAAACGCCTACGTGTAGCAGCTCTGGCCCGTGGGCCCCGCTGTCTTCCCACTGCCCCAAGGAGAGGGGACCTGGCCGGGGCCCATTCCCCTATAGTAACCTCAGGGGCCGGCCACGCCCCGCTCCCGTAGCCCCGCCCCGGCCACGGCCCCGTGTCTTGCACTCTCATGGCCCCTCCAGGCCAAGAACTGCTCTTGGGAAGTCGCATATCTCCCCTCTGAGGCTGGATCCCTCATCTTCTGACCCTGGGTTCTGGGCTGTGAAGGGGACGGTGTCCCCGCACGTTTGTATTGTGTATAAATACATTCATTAATAAATGCATATTGTGACCGTTCAGGGCTTGAAGGTGTCAGAAGCGGCCGGCCAAGCAAGGGGTGAGGGGTGGTGCCAGGGGTCGGTTCAGGTCTGGGACCCCAGACTGCCACCCTGTCCACCACTTTGGGGCTGTGTTGTACAGCAAAATAGAAGAGGGGTTGCAAGTGATTTCGCCAGTGGCACATAATTGCTGGTAAGAGTCACCAAGGAGCAGATCCCGGAAGTCCCGGCTGCAGGAAACTGGAAATAGCAGAGATGGCCCCTGGCCAGCCTGAGACCCCAAGCTGCTCCTTTCACTCTCCATGGCCAGTCTAGAGCAGAGCTGCGTGCCCTGGGCCTGAGCATGGATGGTTATCAGGAGTGATAAGCCTTTTGAAATTCTGTTTAACATTAACTTGGGAATGGTGCAGAGACTTTCTCCGGGGAAGGTACAGTACCTTCCAGAAGAGCCTCTGGAGGTCTGTCGGTGGGTATGTGTGCACCTCGGTGGTGTCCGGCTGAGACACGGTTCTGGGTTGTGGGTGGGTTTGCTGCAGGCCCAGTGGGTGCTAAGCACAGAGCTGCACCCGCTTAAGATGAGACAGTGAGGCCAGGTGTGGTGGCTCATGCCTGTAATCCCAGCACTTTGGGAGGCTGAGGCGGGGGAGGGGGGGTGGCGAGGAGGATCACTTAAGGTCAGGAGTTTAAGACCACCCTGGCCAACATGGTGAAACCCCTTCTCTACTAAAAAAAAAAAATACAAAAATTAGCTGGGCATGGTGGTGCGTTACTGTAGTCCCAGCTACTCAGGAGGCCAAGGTGGGAGGGTCGTTTGACCCCAGGAGTTGGAGGCTGCAGTGAGCTGTGAACCACTGCACTCCAGCCTGGGCGACAGAGGGAGATCCTGTCTCAAAAAAAAAAAGAGAGAAAACAAAAGGACAATGAGGCCGCTAGGAAGAAGCCTGGTATCCAGCAAAGTGGGCAATGGAGCCCCATCCCAGCACTATCCTCTGCAGTGCGAACAAGTGGCCAGTCCCTTGGGGAGCCCTGGATTCTGACCACAGCCCCTCCCCTTTCTCCTTCATCTCATTCGCCCTCACCAACCCTCCCCTGGAATGGAGAGATCTGCATTGGCATTCCACCTGTGCCTCTCCCCTGCGCTTCAGAAGTACATGTATGTTCCTACCATGTGGGCTCCAGACACATCGAATTCATCACTTTCCGCAGAGCTGCAGTCCCCATCACCCCTGTCACCAGCATGGCTGACATCTCTGTCTGCAGATGGACAACCTCTCCCTCCCCTCTGCTCCACCACTTCCTCTCCTCCGTTCATTGCCAAATCCTCCAGACTCTCCCTCTATGGTGTTTTTCACACCCATCTACTTCTCTCTCTTCTCCACTGCTGGTCCTGGGGCAGGCCCTCATACTCTCCTGCCCCCCCACAACTACAGGGTTCCCCCAACTGGGCGTCTCAAGCACGGTCTTCCTAATGCACTCCTGGAGAACCACCGACCGCCCTGCCTTGGCAGCTCCTGGCCCCGCCAGAAGAAAGCCCCAGACAGTTATGAACTTGACATGCTGCCTGGGCCTGGCCCACCTCTCCATCCCCATTGCTCCCTTTCCTCCGGATAAACCGTGCTCCACCATCACACCAGGCTGCTTCCTGGGCCCTGGACACACCTTCACCTTGGGGCTGGGATCCTTGGGATCCTTTTGGCTGGGCTCCAGCCAGAAACACTGGTGCTTTTTTTTTTTTTTTTTTTTTTTTTTTTGAGACAGAGTCTTGCTCTGTCACCCAGGCTGGAGTGCAGTGGTGCGATGTTGGCTCACTGCAACCTCGGCCTCCCAGGTTCAAGAGATTCTCCTGCCTCAGCCTCCCAAGTAGCTGGGACTACAGGCGTGCGCCACCATGCCCAGCTAATTTTTTTGTATTTTTAGTAGAGACAGGGTTTCACCATGTTGGCCAGGCTGGTCTCAAACTCCTGACCTCAGGTAATCCGCCTGCCTCAGCCTCCCAAAGTGCTGGAATTACAAGTGTGAGCCGCTGCGCCTGGCCAGATGCCCTGGTGCCTTTTGAGCTGCTCCCTACATAAAGGGTCCTGTGGCCAACAAGTCTGTGACCAACTGCAATCCTCTCCTTCCACACCGTCTTCTGTCTTTTACAGGCCAGGCTCAGTAGAAGTGTCTTTTACAGGCCAGGCTCAGTGGATCATGGCCATAATCCCAGCACTTTGGGAGGCCAAGGCAGGAGAATCCCTTAAGCCCAGGAATTCAAGACCAACCTGGGCAACGTAGCGAGACCCCATCTCTACTAAAAAAATAAAAATTAGGGCCAGGAGCAGTGGCTCACACCTGTAATCCCAGCACTTTGGGAGACTAAGGTGGGCGGATCACCTGAGGTCAGGAGTTCAAGAGCAGCCTGGCCAACATGGCAAAACCCCAACTCTACTAAAAATACAAAAATTAGCCAGGAGTGGTGGCACACACCTATAATCCCAGCTACTCAGGAGGCTGAGGCAGGAAAATTGCTTGAACTTGGGAAATGGATATTGCAGTGAGCTGAGATTGTGCCACTGCACTCCAGCCTGGGCGACAGAGCGAGACTCCGTCTTGAAAAACAAACAAAAAGTGTCTTACAATCCTGAAAGGCCATGAGAGTGCTCCCTATAGTGAAGGAAGACAAAAGTCAATTACAACTGCTGACACCTCCAGGCACTTCCAAAAGTCTTCAGTGTGCCACCCCCACATGTCTACCTCCTTTTCCCAACACCAGCCTGCCTCTTCTCACTTCTTCCCCCTTCAGGAAAAACAACCTGTGCCCAGTTTTACAACTCGGCATTTAAGTGTGTGCCTTAATATGGTCACCAGGTTGAGTTTTGATTTCTTCCCGGGTGGACATGTGACTACAAAGGGTTATGGAGACATTTGCCCTTTTTCAGAACACATACTGAGCTGCTTCCCTGCTAGAAGCTGGAGTGGGCCTGTGCCCTCAAAGAACCCACAGCCTAGGAGCAAACACAAATGTAAACCACTGGCCGGGCGCAGAGGCTCACACCTGTAATCCCAGCACTTTGGGAGGCCGGGGTTGGCGGATCACCTGAGGTCAGGAGTTCGAGACCAGCCTGGCCAACATAATGAAACTCCATCTCTAATAAAAATACAAAATTATTAGCCAGGCGAGGTGGCGGGTGCCTGTTATCCCAGCTACTTAGGAGGCTGCAGCAGGAGAATCGCTTGAACAACCAGGGAGGCAGAGGTTGCAGTGAGCTGAGATCGTGCCACTGCACTCCAGCTTGGGTGACAGAGTGAGACCCTGTCTCAAAAAAATTAAAAGAAAAAATAAAAAACATCCAAAAACTAGCGGGGCATGGTGGTGGGCACCTGTAATTCTAACTACTCAGGAGGCTGAGGCACGAGAATCACTTGAACCTGGGAGGTGGAGGTTGCAGTGAGCCAAGATCATGCCACTGCACTCCAGCCTGAGCGACAGAGTGACACTCTGTCTCAAAAAAAGAAATGTAAATGCAAACTGCTGGCTACCTGACAATTGGGCCAGGTGCTGGGTTTAGTCCCCAGGGAGCTGGCTGTGAAAAACTCAACAACATGCTTTAGGTCTTGGCAGTATCATCAAGCGCTCTCATTTGCTGCGTACTCACTAGAAGTCAGGTCTCGGGCTAGGTGTATTGAATTCTTGCAATAGCTGCAGCATGGCTCCAACAGCATCAGAGAGGTGAAGTGACCTGTCCGAGCTACACCACTAGTTAGTACTCAGACCAGGATTTCTCCAAGACTGAAGACACAATTGCCCTGCTTCCCAGAATTCTTGGCTCTCCTAACTCACATCAATTAAAATCAAGATCTTTTTTTTGTTTTGTTTTGAGACAGGGTCTTGCTCTGTTGCCCAGGTTGGACTGCAGTAAAGTGATTGCTGCCCACCACAGCCTCAACCTCCCAGGCCCAAGCCATCCTTCCCTGAGTAGCTGGGACTAAAGGTGTGCGCCACCATACCTGGCTAATTTTTAATTTTTTTTTTTTTTTTTTTTTTGAGACGGAGTCTTGATCTGTCGCACAGGCTGGAGTGCAGTGGCGCAATCTCGGCTCACTGCAAGCTCCGCCTCCCGGGTTCACGCCATTCTCCTGCCTCAGCCTCCCGAGTAGCTGGGACTACAGGTGCCCGCCACCAGGCCGGCTAATTTTTTGTATTTTTAGTAGAGACGGAGTTTCACCGTGTTAGCCAGGATGGTCTCGATCTCCTGACCTCGTGATCTGCCTGCCTCGGCCTCCCAAAGTGCTGAGATTACAGGCATGAGTCACCGTGCCCGGCCAATTTTTAAATTTTTTGTAGAGATGGGGTCTCCCTGTGTTGCCCAAGCTGGTCTCAAACTACTAGGATCAAGAGACCCTCCTGCCTCAGCCTCCCAAAGCGTTGGGATTACAGGCCTGAGCCACAGCACCCAGCCTCATTGAAGTTTTTAGGAGTAACCACCCGTGTCCACACTTCCAAACCCTGGCACCAACCTCTTCCTCCTCTGTGCTCCCAGGAAAGGGGGGTGCTGCCCTTATCACATGACACTAGGTTTACCTTCTAGAACCTTAGAGCAGAGTATACATTTCCCAAAGACCAGGTGTCTCCCAAGGTAGGAAAAAATCTCCCTAGCATGAAGGAAGCTGGCAAAATTGTTTCAGGCTGTCCTTGGGGAATTATGGTTTTCTTTCTTTTTTCTTTTTTTTTTTGAGACTGAGTCTTGCTCTGTCACCCAGGCTGGAGTGCAATGGCGTGATCTCAGCTCACTGCAACCTCTGCCTCCTGGGTTCCAGCAATTCTCCTGCCTCAGCCTCCCAAATAGCTGGGATTACAGGCGTGTGCCACCACACCTAGCTGATTTTTGTAATTTTAGTATAGACTGGGTTTCACCATGTTGGCCAGGCTGGTCTCGAACTCCTGACCTCAAGTGATCCGCCTGCTTCGGGCTCCCAAAGTGTTGGGATTACAGGCGTGAGCCACCTGCCTGGCCGAATTATGGTTTTTCAATGGGGGTCCAAAGTCCCTGGACTCAGCTTCCTAGAGAATGTCATGGATGGCATCAGAGAGCAACCAGAGGCCTTCAGGGTCCAGCCCTGTCCTCTCAAGGTCATTTTGGAAGGCGGAGTACGTCACTGGGGAGAGAAATCTTACATTGAACAGAACCAGTGTGCCTCTTTTTATAACCACAAAATATGAAACAGTCAGCTAAGTTAGGAAAGAATCCAAAGAGATTGTGCTGACAGTGCAAGCTGGACGGGAATCCCAGCCTAGGATGCCACGGAGAAGCACAGATGGTGTTGTTCAGCCCCGAAATAGTCTTTTCTTTTCTTTTTGGAGACGGAGTCTCACTCTGTTGCCCAGGCTGGAATGCAATGGCGCGATCTCAGCTCACTGCAACCTCTGCCTCCCGGGTTCAAGCGATTCTCCTGCCTCAGCCTCCTGAGTAGCTGGGATTACAGGCACATGCCACCATGCCTGGCTAATTTTGTTTTTTTTGTTTTTTTTTTTTGAGATGGAGTCTTACTCTGTTGCCCAGGCTGGAGTGCAATGGTGAGATCTCAGCTCACTGCAACCTCCACCTCCCGGGTTCAAGCGATTCTCTTGCCTCAGCCTCCCAGGTAGCTGGGATTACAGGTGCCCACCACCACGCCCGGCTAATTTTTGTACTTTCAATAGAGATGGGGTTTCACCATGTTGGCCAGGCTGGTCTCAAACTCCCGACCTCAGGTGATCCACCTGCCTTGGCCTCCCAAAGTGTTAGGATTACAGGCGTGAGCCACTGCACCCGGCCTTTTTTTTTTTCTTAGCCGGGGTCTCATTCTGTTGCCCAAGCTGGAGTGCAATGACGTGATCTCGGCTCACTGCAACCTCCGCCTCCCAGGTTCAAGCGATTCTGCTGCCTCAGCCTCCAGAGTAGCTGGGACTACACGCACACGCCACCATGCCCAGCTAATTTTTGTATTTTTAGTAGAGACAGGGTTTCACCATGTTGGCCAGGCTGGTCTCAAACTCCTGACCTCAAGTGATCTGCCCACCTCAGCCTCCCAAAGTGCTGGGATTACAGGCGTGAGCCACCTTGCCTGGCCGTAACACTCCACTTTTTAATGGGAGGACAAAGATTTTTGAGCCATCTTGAAAAACCACCTCACCTGGATTGTCTCTGAATCCTGACATCAGCCCCCCAACATGAAGCTGACACCAAAACCAGTACTGCCTGCCCAGCTGCAAGTCTTCAGAGAAAGGGAGGCAGTTCCTCAAGAAAACCCTGGGGAATACTTGAGCCAACCCCCAGGAAAGTACCCAAAAGTGAAGGCCTAACATGGTGACTGGCCAGGCACGGTGGCTCTCACCTGTAATCCCACCACTTTGGAGGCCGAGGCGGGTGGATCATCTGAGGTCAGAAGTTCGAAACCAGCCTGGCCAACAAGGTGAAACCCCATCTCTACAAAAAATACAAAAATTAGCTGGGCATAGTGGTAGGCGCCTGTAATCCCAGCTACTCAGAAGGCTGAGGCATGAGGGTCACTTGAACCTGGGAGGTGGAGGTTGCAGTGAGCTGAGATGGCGCCACTGCACTCCAGCCTGGGCAACAGAGCGAGACTGCATCTCAGAAAAAAAAAAAATGGTGCCTAACGTTGACTTTGCTGGATCTCTCTAATATCTTAATGAGGCCATCTGTTCAATGGATACTTACTAAGCACTTGCTTTGCTATGAGGTTAACAGGGTTCTGGGCCTTAATACAGCAACCAAAAGGACCTTACGAGATTACAGCTTGCAATTCATTTAGACAAGGTATGGGTATAAGAAGTTCACATGAGTCACAGCACCCAGGGCCACCCAGACCAGGGGCCTCTAATCCAGGGGTGTCCACTCTTTTGGCTTCTCTGGGCCACATTGGAAGAAGAATTGTCTTAGGAGACATATAAAATTCACTAACATTAACGATAGCTGATGAGCTAAAAGAAAAAAAAATCGCAAAAGAATCTCATAATGTTTTAAGAAAGTTTATGAATTTGTGTTGGGCTGCATTCAAAGTCATCCTGGGCCACATGCAGGCTGCAGGTTGGACAAATTTGCTCTATACCATGAATTCCCCCATGTTTCCCAGAAACTTCTGGGTTTTCCGTACTGCTAATAACTTCACACACTGCAGCCCCTGGTAACAGGGGCTTCCTAAGGACAACTGCTCCCTCAGTCTGGCAGCACCAAGGACAAGGACCACTCCCCTTTGCCTAAGTACCTTGAGAGGAAGACAGGCCAAGGTCCCTCCGCGGTACCATTCTGCACATGTTCCACAGTCCTCCCGCCACCTCCCTGTCACCCATCCCTGGAACCTAGCTGTACTTTGAAAATATAGCAACTGGAGAAATAAAAAGGAAAAACATGGCCGGGCGCAGTGGCCCACGCCTATAATCCCAGCACTTTGGTAGGCCGAGGCGGGTGGATTACCTGAGGTTGGGAGCTCAAGACCAGCCTGGCCAACACATCAAAACCCCAACTCTACTAAAAATATAAAAAAATTAGTTGGGCGTGGTGGTGGCCACCTGTAATCCCAGTTACTTGGGAGGCTGAGGCAGGAGAATCCCTTGAACCTGGGAGGCAGAGGTTGCAGTGAGCTGAGACCGCACCACTGCACTCCAGCCTGGGTTACAGTGCGAGACCCTGTCTCTAATAAATAAATAAAATAGTTTAAACAACTAAATCAATAACCAAAAAGACTTAAAGAAGCAGCCAAGGAGGGCAGGGGCTCGGGGGTGGCAGGAAAATGGGACAGAATCTCTCGCGATCAGGGACACAGAGGGGCGGACGGTGGCAGGGGTGAGTGGGAGGCAGGAGGAAGAGAGACAGAGCCGTGAGCAGGAGAGACGGGTGACCCATTACCATCACCTCAAACACACCACGACCAAACAGGAAGGCTTCCGGCACGAGGCTTTTTATTCTAACAGCACTGGGGGGCCCAGCCTACCTGCCAGACAGTTCCCAGGAGTGAGGCTGGTCTTTCCTGGCAGATAAGACACAGTTTTGTTGGGTGAATGAGCGGCTCCTCCCTTGGTCCAGGAAGAGCTCCCCCTGCATTGGGTGATGAAATTCTGTCTTTCTGAAGGCCGGGCAGTGCACAGCGGCCCTTCCTCTCTGGGAATGCCCAGGCTCACACAGTCCACTTCAGACACCTGCAGACAGAGGGGAAGCCAGGATGAGGGGAGAGAGGTCTGGGGAGGCTGTGGGAAGGAGGGAGTGGGAGTGGACAGCAGGTCTCATGCTCACCTGGTCTCCTGGTGGGTCCCCAGACAGCGCACAGTGCAGTACCGGGCACCGCAGCTGACACAGGTGTAGGGGGATGGGAAGCCACAGACAGCACAGAAGGGGCGCTGGGGCCGCGATGGGGGTCCCGCACAGGCCGTCAGGTAGTTAGGGCCCTCGGCCACACTCAAGTTCTGCAGAGACAAGGGGCCGGCTCTAGAACTCCTCCGCCCACCCACGCAGCGAACACCTGCCCGGGCCAGGCTCACCCCTTCCCTGTGGGGTCCTCCCAGGCCGACCCTCCTCTCACCTGCTCCTCCAACAGGGCCTGAAAGTTTTTTCGGAAGCGAAGTTTAAAATGATCACCTCGGGTTTTCTTCTTTTTCTTTCCTAGGGGTCAAGGGTGATCCGTTGCTTGGCACTTGCCCAGAAAGACAGCAGCTTTCTCTGGTTCATCACTCCCCATGCCCATGTGCCCTCCTGGTTCTTTTTGAGACAGTCTCACTCTGTCACCCAGGCTGGAGTGCAGTGGTGCGATCTTGACTCACTGCAACCTCCATCTCCTGGGTTCAAGTGATTTTCTTGCCTTGGCCTCCTGAGTAGCTGGGATTACAGGTGTCCACCACCATGCCTGGCTAATTTTGTTTTTGTATTTTTAGTAGAGATGGGGTTTCACCATGTTGGCCAGGCTGGTCTTGAACTCCTGACCTCAAGTGATCCGCCCACCTCAGCCTCCCAAATGCTGGGATTACAGGCGTGAGCCACCACACCTGGCCCTGCCCTCCTGGCTCTAAGTCGGCCCCTCGCTACCAGCCTCTGCCCTCCACCCCAATTCTCCAATCCCAGCTGACAGTCACCTCCATGCCCCCAAGCCTAAGGCTTCGTGTCAGAGCTTATCCAGTCTCTCTTGTTTATTTCACATACACGAGAGGAAACTGAGGCACAGAAAGGGGGTGTGGTTGCTCACAGCCATGGGAGCCAGTCACTGGCAGAGGCACCAGGAGCTCCTGGGTCCTCCCACAGCCTGAGTTGGGCGGACTCTCCCGCCCTCCTCTCAGTCCCATCCCCCGCTTCCTCCTCCATCCGCCTCACCAGTGTCCGCATCGTCATCAAACTGAGGCAGTCTCTTGCCGAGCTGAGGGAGTCCCGCGTGGGGGTCATCCTGGAAGTTGTCATTCTCCAGGGCCTCCAGCTGCCGGTTGATGCGACGCTGCCGGGCAGCCCGGTCCAGCACCCGCCGCTGCCCGGGGTCCTGGGAGCGAACTGGATGGAGCAGGGCACGCAAAGTTACAGGGCTTCCAAGAAAGAGCAGTGTGGCCGCCGCTCTGGGCAGGGCGAGGAAGGCACCCGGGGTGGAAGCTGCAGCTCTCTGATCTCATCCCCATTGCCAAGCCCTTGGTCCCCTTGTCTCCTCCCGGGCCAAGCCCTGGGCCCACACTTCCTGTCCCGCCAGCTGAGACCCTTTCAGTTTCTCCTGCCTGTTTTCTCCGCCTTCCTCTCAATCCCAGTCCCAGCCAGTGAGCCCCGGCCTGGAGACAGCTCACTGCTGACTGGGGAGGTCACAGCGCCCTGGGGCTTCCAGGCTGTCCTGGGCCCTCAATACACATGGCCCTCACACTCAGCATCTCACCTCCTACCTCAAAGGAACCAGGGGCCACCCATGCTTGGATACGCTCATCTTCCAGGCCACCTACCCACAAACGTGATGCCAAGTGGGCACACCCCTGCCCTGGAGCGCCCCAAGTCCCACCACTGACCCCGAGCCTTCACCTCCAGCCCATTCCCTCCCTCTCCCATCTTCAACCCCTCCTCCTCAACCGGCACTTTCCATCAAAGAGCTGGCGACGCTCATGTGTCTACTCGGCTTCACAGCTCCTTCTCCTTCACAGCAACTCACGTGATGTGTCACTTTTTCACCTCCCATCCTCTCCTTGAACCCCAAAATCTGACACCTGCCTGGTCATCCTGGGGGACCACCCACCCACGCTCTGGGCCCCAGAGCGGCTCCAGTGTGCCTTCCTCCTCCTCCTTGGACCTGAGCCCTGTCCACCCTGTGGCGGTGCCGACTACCTTCATCGAGTAGAAAGAGACCCTTTGCTTGCTTCCTTGACAAAACTGCAGGCCTTCTCCATGTCCAGGAATCCTCCGGCTCCAGCTCGGCTGCTCTCCCTGCCTCTATGGAGGTGGCTGGCCCTCTTCTCTGCTCAGTCTATGCACTCTTCCTGGGATTTTGACTCCAAACAAAGGGCTCTGATGATCACCCACAAGCAAATGACTCCCAGAGTGACTCCCTCAACACAGAACCTGCTCCCGGGCTCCAGAACTGGCCATGCAGCCAGCGCCTGGTGAGGCCGGGTGTGGTGGCGCACGCCTGTAATCTCAGCACTTTGGGAGGCCAAAGGATCGCTTGATGCCAGGAGTTAGAAACCAGCCTGGGCAGCATAGCCAAACCCCATCTCTACAAAAAATTAAAAAATAAGCCAGGCGTGGTTGCACATGCCTGTAGTCCCAGTTACTTGGGAGGCTGCGGTGGGAGGACTACATGGGCCCGGGAGGTTGAGGCTGCAGTGTGCAGCAAGCCGTGATCGCGCCACCACTCCAGCCTGAGTGACAAAGCAAGACTGTCTCCAAAAAAAAAAAAAAAGAAAGAAGGAAAAAAGAAATCACCCACTGGCCCTGTGGACACTGCAACTCAAAAAAAAAAAAAAATTCCCATCCAAGTCTGCTTCTCCTGCAGATTCTCTCTACGCAAATGGAACCGTCTATGCAGACATCCAAACCAGAAACCTAGAAGTTATTTTAAACCTCTTTCCTCGGCTGGACATAGTGGCTCACCCCTGCAATCCCAGCACTTTGGGAGGCTGAGGTGGGCTCATCACTTCAGGTCAGGAGTTCGAGACCAGCCTGACCAACGTGGTGAAACCATGTCTCTACTAAAAATACAAAAATTAGCAGGGTGTGGTGGCACATGCCTGTAATCCCAGCTACGCGGGAGGCTGAGGCACAAGAATCGCTTGAACCCGGGAGGTGGAGGTTGCAGCGAGCTGAGATCGCGCCATTGCATTCCAGCCTGGGCAACAGAGAGAGACCCTGTCTCAAAAACAAAAAACAAAAAACCTCTTTCCTCATTGCCTTATCAGCTGTTTGCCAGATTCTGATAATTTTGCATAATATATCTCTTTATTCATTAACCACCTGTTAAGCATAATAATAACAGCAGCAGCCCCAGTAGCTATCACTTGTTGGACACTTACTATGAGCCAGGCACGTGCTCAGCTCTTTGCAACACTTGAACCATTTAACCCTTACAACAGCTGTATGGGACAGTATCATCATCCCCAATTTACCAACATTCAGAGATTAAGAAATGTGTCCAAAGTTCACATAGCTAACAAGTGGCCAGGTCAGGAGTCAAAGAACTACCCAGCATCAAAAAGCATGACCTTGCCAGGCGCAGTGGCTCATGCCTGTTATCTCAGCACTTTGGGAGGCCAAGGTGGGTGGATTGTTTGAGCGCGGGAGTTCGAGGCCAGCCTGGGCAACATGGCAAAACCATGTTTCTACAAAAAAAATACAAAAATTAGCCAGGTGTAGTGGGACACACCTGTAGTCCCAGCTATTCAGGAGGCTGAGGCGCAAGGATTGCTTGAGCCCAGGAGCTCAAGGCTGCAGTGAGCTGTGTTTGTGCCACTGCACTCCAGCCTGGGTGACAGAGCAAGACCCTGTTTCAAAAAAAAAAAAAAAAAAAAAAAAACCCAAAACCAACCAAACAAAAAAAAATATGATTATGATCACTGTACTACTCTGTCTCCCCTCCAAATGCCAGGCAGTGCTCTAGGTTTTAGGGATGCCAAAGCTTACAGTCCAGTGGCAAACACAAATGATTAATGAAACAAACACAGTAAGTACAGCATGGAGTAGGCTAGGATACGGAAGTATAAAGTGCTGCAGAGCCCAGGACAGAAACACCCAACCTGGCCTTGGAGTAGTCAGGGAAGACTTCCCAGAAGAAGGTAAGTCTAGGTTAAGGCCTAACTGGTGAATGACCTGGCTAGGGGAGACAGCGGGGTATTTCAGACCTTGAGGCCAACATGAAAAAACTGATGGCTGGGAGACTGCGATGCCTTTGAAAAACTGAGAGGGCCAAGCGCAGTGGCTCATGCCTGTAATTCTAGCATTTTGGGGGGCCGAGGCGGGTGGATCACGAGGTCAGGAGATCAAGACCATCCTGGCTAACATGGTGAAACCCTGTCTCTACTAAAAATACAAAAGATAAGCTGGGTGTGGTGGCGGGCGCCTGTAGTCCCAGCTACTCCAGAAGCTGAGGCCAGAGAATGGTGTGAACCCGGGAGGCAGAGCTTGCAGTGAACCGAGATTGCGCCACTGCACTCCAGCCTGGGGGACAGAGCAAGACTCCGTCTCAAAAAGAAAAAAAAAGAAAGAAAGAAAAACTAAAAGGGCCAAGCGCAGTGGCTCATACTTGTAATCCTAGCATTTTGGAAGGCCGAGGCAGGAGGATCACATGAGCTCAGGAGTTCAAGACCAGCCTGGGCAACATAGTGAGACACCCATCTCAACAAAAAATATAAAAACTAGCCCAGCATGGTGGCCTGCACCCACCTGTAGTTCCACCTACTCAGGTGGCTGAGGTGGAAGAATCACTTGAGCATGGGAGGTTGAGGCTGCAGTGAGTTATATAGAACCACTGCATTCCAGCCTGGGTGACAGAGCAAGACTCTGTCTAAAAAAAAAAAGTCTTTGCTGGCTCTCCAGTGTTTCCCTACAGAGTTCAAACTCCTGGGCAGTGTGTATAATGCCTTTCAAAATGTAACCTTTCCCCAGCCTTCGATCCTTTCTTATTACTCTGTAAGATCCAAACTGTGAACTTGGCTTCCTAAGCGACTTGCTTTTTCTTGCTTCACTGCCTTTGCACGTGAGGTTCCCACTGAGAGAAACCCTAACTAGACTTTCAAGACTCAATTCAAGCTTTTTCATTTTTCCTTCAAGCTTTCACAGTCCCCTGCCTCCCAGAACCTGGGCTAGATGCCACGTCTCCCTGTTCCCAGGCGCTGTGCTTCCCTCTGCCATAGCACAAATCACAAATCACAGTAAAATACAGTGTTAGGTCTGCGTTTCTGCCCCCCTTCCAGAAAAAGCCAATGCTTGGATAAGAGGGGTCTTTCTCCTCTTCATCCCCAGCGCCCGGCTTGGAGCAGGCACCAATAAAACGTGAATGAAGGGTCAACGCCAGGACCCGAGGGCTGAGGAAGGGATTTACGAGGAATAGCTGGGGCCGGGCGCGGCAGCTCACGCCTGTAATCCCAGCACTTTGGAAGGCCCACGCAGGAGGATCGCTTTGAGGCCAAGAGTTGGAGACCAACCTGGGCAACATAGCGAGAGCCCGTCACCACATAACAAATTAAAAATTAACCAGGCGTGGGGCCTCATGCTTGCAGTTCCAGCCACTCCGGAGGCTGAGGTGGGAGGATGGTTTGATCCCAGGAAATCGAGGCTGCAGTGAGCTATGACTATGCCACTGCACTCCAGCCTAGGCGAAAGAGCGAGACCAAAAAAGAGGAATGACTAGGTAAGAAAATTCTAGGACTGACTTGGGAAGGGGAAGGGGGCGAACCGCGGGGGCTCACATACCCGAAGTTTTCTTCTCCACCATTGGCACAACACAACTGTCGGAAGAAACTGCTGCGCACGCGTACTAACCCCAAGGCTTTAGTAGGGGCGCCATCACTTCCGGTAGCTTGTACTTCTGCGCGTGCGCCACAGCTTTGACTCATTACGTGGCGTTTCCTTGGAGACAAGAAAGCTTTTCGCCATGTTTTATAGGGGCAAAACCACTTCCGGCCTCAGTGTGGAGGTGTAAATCTTGTGGGAGCCACGAAATGGGTCATTTTAAAGATGTGGTCACGGTGTTCTTACAAGAAATCTTATTTTCCTTTGGTCCTTGTGAAGATGCTGTGATCACAAAGGCAGCCCCTGGAGCTTCTCCGGGCAGAAGAGGAGGTGGGCTGGACTGTCAAAGAAAGTGGCTGGCTTCCGTGGGCAATCCGAGGTTCCTAGTGGCCCTCTGCAGAAAGCTGAACTCCCAGTTCCCCCAGGCCTCCGTCCCGCGGCGGACTCCTAGGCTTCCTCCCTCCCTGTCGCCGCCAGCCTCTCGCTCTCCCCGTCTTCCGCCCGCACTCTCTGGGCAGGGCTGCGGCCAGGACCCGCCCCCGCGTCCCGCCCGACCCTCCGCCAGGGGTCACTTCCCCTGTCCAGGTTTCAGCTTCCACATGTGTCAAGCGGCTGGCTCAGCCCAGAGTCCCTGTCTCCCGCCCGCCGGCCCGAGCCGCCGCCCCTCCCCCGCCTCCCGTGCGCCCGGGACAATCCTCGCCTTGTCTGTGGCGCCGGCATCTGGAGCTTTCTGTAGCCTCCGGATACGCCTTTTTTTCAGGGCGTAGCCCCAGCCAAGCTGCTCCCCGCGGCGGCCGCACAGCAGCCCGAGCGCCCCCTTTCCAGAGCTCCCCTCCGGAGCTGGGATCCAGGCGCGTAGCGGAGATCCCAGGATCCTGGGTGCTGTCTGGGCCCGCTCCCCACCATGACCTCCTCGGGGCCTGGACCCCGGTTCCTGCTGCTGCTGCCGCTGCTGCTGCCCCCTGCGGCCTCAGCCTCCGACCGGCCCCGGGGCCGAGACCCGGTCAACCCAGGTGAGATCCCGGGGAGGCCCGGCACGGCCGAGGGGGCAGAGGCTGGCGTGCCTGCCAGCCTGGCCCGGAGAGGGTCGGAGGCTCGAGGAGGTGTCTGGCCCGTCCCCCGCCCAGCGTGCTCTTGAGGCTGAGTCGCGCCAAGCCCCTCGCCCATCACTACCCTGAACTGGGGTTTCCAGCCTCCCTATGCAAAGGGACTCGGAATTCCTGGGCACCACTCCCACCCTGCCCTCCTTGGGGTCAGAGTGTTCCTGGGTGAGAAGAGTTTAAGAATGGGAAGGAAGAAAGGGAGGGAAGTCGAGTGAGAGGGAGGACAGCAAAGCACGTGAGGCCCGGAGCTGGGCGGTGGATCTCAAGTGCCATTTCCCTCTGGTAACAGAGAAGCTGCTGGTGATCACTGTGGCCACAGCTGAAACCGAGGGGTACCTGCGTTTCCTGCGCTCTGCGGAGTTCTTCAACTACACTGTGCGGGTGAGGAGAGGGAAAGGCCCCTGGGAGGGGGTCCCAGCAGGAGGGGTGGGCTGAAGTCTGGATGCCCAGGTCCCCACGGTAAGCCTGGTCAGGAGTTCCCCCCACAACTCCCCACCCCTTGCCTGGCACGGGGCAATCTTCTCCACAGACCCTGGGCCTGGGAGAGGAGTGGCGAGGGGGTGATGTGGCTCGAACAGTTGGTGGAGGACAGAAGGTCCGGTGGTTAAAGAAGGAAATGGAGAAATACGCTGACCGGGAGGATATGATCATCATGTTTGTGGATAGGTAACGGGGCTGGGGATAGGGAGCGGGGTAAGGATGCTGAGGTTCCCAGTGGACCCCTGCCCATCCTCCCCTTCCTCACCCAGCTACGACGTGATTCTGGCCGGCAGCCCCACAGAGCTGCTGAAGAAGTTCGTCCAGAGTGGCAGCCGCCTGCTCTTCTCTGCAGAGAGCTTCTGCTGGCCCGAGTGGGGGCTGGCGGAGCAGTACCCTGAGGTGGGCACGGGGAAGCGCTTCCTCAATTCTGGTGGTGAGTGGCAGAGTGCCCAAGGCAGAGGGGCCAAGAGCGGTGGGACACAGAGTGTTAAAGGCGCCTGAGGGCTGGAGACAGCCTGGGGGACAGGCCCTGGGACCCTGGGAGTCTCGAGGTCAACACTCCCCCTCCCCGCCAGGATTCATCGGTTTTGCCACCACCATCCACCAAATCGTGCGCCAGTGGAAGTACAAGGATGATGACGACGACCAGCTGTTCTACACACGGCTCTACCTGGACCCAGGACTGAGGGTAGGGAAGGCAGAGGAGTGGGCGCATCCCGCAGCTCTGTGGGAGTGGAGGCCTCAGGCTGAATGGGATTTGGGGAGCAAAGGGGGTTGCAAAGAGAAAAATGTGTGCCTGGGCGTGGTGGCTCACGCCTGTCATCCAAGACTTTTGGGAGGCTTAGGCAGGAGGATTGCTTGAGTCCAGGAATTTAAGACCAGCCTGGACAACATAGTTGAGACCTCATCTCTACAAAAAAAAAGAAAGAAAAAATTAGCCAGGCTTCATGGTGTACGCCTGTAATCCCAGCTACTTGGGAGGCTGAGGTGGGACCATCACTTGAGCCCAGGAGTTTGAGGATGTTTTGCACCACTGCATTCCAGCCTGGGTGACAGAATGAGACTCTGTCTCTCACAAAAAAAGGAAAACCATGGTGGCTCATGCCTATAATCCCAGCACTTTGGGAGGCTGAGGCGGGTGGATCACCTGAGATTGGGAGTTTGAGACCAGCCTGGCCAACATGGTGAAACCCCGTCTCTACTAAAAATACAAAAATTAGCCAGGCGTGGTGACACTCTCCTGTAGTCCCAGTTACTTGGAAGGCTGAAGCAAGAGAATCAATTAAACCGGGAGGCAGAGGTTGCAGTGAGCTGAGATCGTGCCATTGCACTCCAGCCTAAGCAACAAAAGCAAGAGAAGAAAAAAAGAGAGAGAAAAGTGAGAAATGATGTCCTTTCCACTCCTTCCATTTTAACCACTCCATCGCATCTCATTCCATTTAGGAGAAACTCAGCCTTAATCTGGATCATAAGTCTCGGATCTTTCAGAACCTCAACGGGGCTTTAGGTGAGGAGGAAGACAGCCGCAGGTGGGCGATGCGCAGCCTCTGCAGCTAGGGGTCTTGAGCTGGGAGAGGCTTCTGGAGGAGCTGGGCTGATCCAAGCCCACCTCTATGTGGTTTTGTCAGGCGTCTGAGTGGCTGGTTGTGTAAGTTGCACTGTGCTGATGGTACTACCAGAAGCAAGGGAAGCAAAAACGTGTCTGGCATCTGTTGCACACATGCTGTGCCTGGGCACCGGGCCAGGGACTTTTTTTTTTGAGACAGAGTTTCGCTCTGTTGCCCGGGCCGGAGTGCAGTGGTCCAATCTTGGCTCACTGCAGCCTCCACCTCCCGGGTTCAAGTGATTCTTCTGCCTCAGCCTCCCGAGTAGCTGGGATTACAGGCATGCGCCACCACGCCCAGCTCATTTTGTATTTTTAGTAGAGACAGGGTTTCACCATGGTGGCCAGGCTAGTCTCGAACTCCCAACCTCAGGTGATCCGCCTGCCTCAACCTCCCAAAGTGCTGGGATTACAGGCATGAGCCACTGTGCCCGGTCTACTTCTGTGATTCCATTTAACAAAGGGAAGGTCCCTGGTTATCCTTCTTGTACAGATGAGGAAAACAGCTTGTGGAGGGGTTGGTGACTTGCCTCAGGGGATGGGGAGAACGGGGAGAGAGAGAGGCCAGGCACGGTGCCTCACGCCTGTAATCCCAACATTTTGGGAGGCCCAGGCAGGAGGATCACTTGAGGTCAGGAGTTTGAGACCAGCCTGGCCAACATGGCGAAAACCCGTCTCTACTAAAAAAAAGTACAAAAATGAGCTGGGCGTGGTGGCGGGTGCCTGTAATCCCAGCTATTCAGAAGGCTGAGGCAGGAGAATCACTGGAACCCGGGAGGCAGAGCTTGCAGTGAGCCGAGATTGCGCCACTGCACTCCTGCCTGGGTGACAGAGTGAGATTCCTTCTCAAAAAAAAAAAAGGCCAGGTGCGACAGCTCACATCTGTAATCCCAGCACTTTGGAAGGCTGAGGCGGGCAGATCATGAAGTCAGAAGTTTGAGACCAGCCTGGCTGACATAGTGAAACCCAGTCTCTACTAAATATACAAAAATTAGGCTGGGTGTGGTGGCTCATGCTTGTAATCCTAGCACTTTGGGAGGCCGAGGCAGGTGGATCACCTGAGGTCAGGAGTTCAAGGCCAGCCTGGTCGACATGGTGAAACCCTGTCTCTACTAAAAACACAAAAATTAGCCGGGCATGGTGGTGCGCGCCTGTAATCCTGGCTACCCGGGAGGCTGAGGAAGGAGAATCGCTTGAACCCTGGAGGTGGAAGTTGCAATGAGCCAAGATCGTGCCACTGCACTCCAGCCTGCGTGTTGGGAGTGAGACTCCATCTCAGCATAAAAAACAAAAAATACAAATACAAAAATTAGCCAGGTGTAGTGGCATGTGCCCATAGTCTCAGCTACCTGAAAGGCTGAGGCAAGAGAATCTTTTGAACTCAGGAGGCAGAGGTTGCAGTGAGCCGAGACCACGCCATTGCACTCCAGCCTGGGTGACAGAGTGAGACTCCATCTCAAAAAATAAAAATAAAAAAAAAAAAAAACAAGGAGAGAGAGAATATGAGGAGGGGTAGGGATGCTGAGGCTCCTACTGGCCTCCCGCTCAGCTCACCCTCCCCTTCCTCGCCCAGCTGCGGTGTGATCACGCAGGTAGTAGGCAGTGGAGCTCTCTGGGCCAGCAGCCTGGTCAGAACCCAAAGGTTCCTGCCCACAACGAGCCACACTCCAGGATAGCCCTGGTGTCCCTTTATTCCCTGGAGAATTTGGGACCCCATATTTAGAAGAATGTGTTGCTTGGTAGCTCCCAGAGAAAGGGGGTCTGAAGCCTGGCCTTTTTCTTCCCCAGATGAAGTGGTTTTAAAGTTTGATCGGAACCGTGTGCGTATCCGGAACGTGGCCTACGACACGCTCCCCATTGTGGTCCATGGAAACGGTCCCACTAAGGTGCCACCAGTGGTCTCAACCCCCGCCCCGCCCTGCCCCAACCCCCAGGCACCTCCAACCCTTCTGAGAAGCTGGCCCTTCCCAGCCCCCATATCAGAGGTGCCTGACCCCCACCTCCACCCCTGGAGGCCTCAGCCACTCAGCCTCAGTCTGTCCCCAACAGCTGCAGCTCAACTACCTGGGAAACTACGTCCCCAATGGCTGGACTCCTGAGGGAGGCTGTGGCTTCTGCAACCAGGACCGGAGGACACTCCCGGGGGGGCAGGTGAGGTGGGGGTGCCAGGGAGGGGCACGAGAGGGCAGCGTGCTGAGCAGGAGGTACAAGGACAGCGGACTGGGGGGCGGTGGGGGCATCGCTCCTGGGTCCCTGCACCTGTCAGGGTGGAGGTTGGGTGGGGGCAGCAGGGAAGTCCGGGCTTCTCTCTGAGTCCCTGCGTGTTGCATCTTCCAGCCTCCCCCCCGGGTGTTTCTGGCCGTGTTTGTGGAACAGCCTACTCCGTTTCTGCCCCGCTTCCTGCAGCGGCTGCTACTCCTGGACTATCCCCCCGACAGGGTCACCCTTTTCCTGCACAACAACGTGAGACTCCCCTGTTGGAGCCTCTCCTGAGGGACCCTTTCCCTGCCCTGATCAGAACTCTCGTGCCCCCACCCCCATCTCCTTCCTGCACCCCCATCCCTCAGGTGCCGCCTCCCTGCCCTCTGAGCCCATCCCCCTATGTCTTCCCCTCCCAGGAGGTCTTCCATGAACCCCACATCGCTGACTCCTGGCCGCAGCTCCAGGACCACTTCTCAGCTGTGAAGCTCGTGGGGCCGGAGGAGGCTCTGAGCCCAGGCGAGGCCAGGGACATGGCCATGTGAGCGGGTGCTTGCGGGGAGGAGAGGGTGGGATGAGGCTGTAGGGTCAGGGGTGCTGCCACCTGCTGCCTGGCCCTTGCCTCACCTGTCACCCATCCAGCCCCTCCTGGGCCTCCCCATTCGCATCCTTGCAGCCCCCATGCTGTCACTCCTGCCCTTGCCAGCTCACCCAGACAGCAGAGAGCCTGGGGAAGGAAGGATAGACACTGCCTCCCTCCTCTTCTCCTGGGGGCATGGGCCAGTTACCCCATCCACACCGCCTCCCCACCTGCCGCCGTCTCAGCTCGCCTCTCACCTCCAGGGACCTGTGTCGGCAGGACCCCGAGTGTGAGTTCTACTTCAGCCTGGACGCCGACGCTGTCCTCACCAACCTGCAGACCCTGCGTATCCTCATTGAGGAGAACAGGTGGCTTACCCCCTCTCCCCGCAGCCGGAGGGCACCCCAACAGGCCCCGGGAACCCCACTCCTGCCCTGGGCACCGGGCTCCCCAGGCCTGCTCCCGTCTGCCCAGCCCTCACCCCCACCTGTCCGCAGGAAGGTGATCGCCCCCATGCTGTCCCGCCACGGCAAGCTGTGGTCCAACTTCTGGGGCGCCCTGAGCCCCGATGAGTACTACGCCCGCTCCGAGGACTACGTGGAGCTGGTGCAGCGGAAGCGAGTGTGAGTCCCGCCAGCCTGCAGCCCCCCGCCTCCTCCGACCCGGGGCCCAGGTAGACCCAAGCCCCCTACTCTCAGGGGTTTGGAGTGGTCACCAGTCAGAGGTGCCATGAGGCTGGCTGCAGTGGCTCACACTTTTGATGCCACCACTTTGGGAGGCTGAGGTAGGAGGACTGCTTGAGCCTGGGAGTTTAAGATCAGCCTGAGCAACGTAGCAAGAGCCTATCTCTACAAAAAACTTAAAATATTAGCTGGGCACGGTGGTGCGTGCCTGTGGTCCCAGCTACTACGGAGGCTGAGGTGGGAGAATCACTTGAACTTGGGAGGTTGAGGCTGCAGTGAGCCATGTTTCCACCACTGCACTCCAGCCTGGAAACAGAGGGAGACCCTTTCTCAAGAAAATAAAAAACAAGGGCCGGCCGCGGTGGCTGACGCCTGTAATCCCAGCACTTTGGAAGGCAGAGGCAGGTGGATTACTCGAGGTCAGGAGTTCGAGACCAGCCTGGCCAACATGGTGAAACCCCATCTCTACCAAAAATACAAAAATCAGCCGGGCATGGTGGCTGGCACCTCTAATCCCAGCTATTTGGGAGGCTAAGGTGGGAGAATTGCTTGAACCTGGGAGGTGGAGGTTGCAGTGAGCCAAGATCACACCACTGCATTCCAGCCTGGGTGACAGAGCAAGACTCCGTCTCAAAAACCAAAAACAAGAAACAAAAAAGAAGTGCCACAGCTTGGGGTAGGAACTGACCGCATTTTGGGAGGTGGGGTGGTTGGGACCAGCAGTGCTTGACAAGGGACATGCAGGGGCCTTATGTTCAGGGACTGGGATACCCTGAGGGAAGAAGGACTTCCCGGGATGAGCTGGGCAGAATTTGGGGGGCTGTCCTCCCAGCTGACCGCGGTGTCGGTGCCTCCAGGGGTGTGTGGAATGTACCATACATCTCCCAGGCCTATGTGATCCGGGGTGATACCCTGCGGATGGAGCTGCCCCAGAGGGATGTGTTCTCGGGCAGTGACACAGACCCGGACATGGCCTTCTGTAAGAGCTTTCGAGACAAGGTGAGCGCGGGTGCACGGTCTGGCCTGGGGGCAGTCCCCCAGACTCCAGGCATCGCCTGCATCACGGACACCCCCACCCCACTACAGGGCATCTTCCTCCATCTGAGCAATCAGCATGAATTTGGCCGGCTCCTGGCCACTTCCAGATACGACACGGAGCACCTGCACCCCGACCTCTGGCAGATCTTCGACAACCCCGTCGTGAGTGGGGACCCCACGCCCAGAGCACACAGGTTCCCCGCCTTGTGCTAAGGAAGACACCAAACGTGATGGCTGCTGCCAGCGCAGGACACTGAGTGGGAGGGGGCGGTCCCCTGGGGGCTGGGAGCGAGGGGGGCACAGATCTGATGTGCCCCCCACCCTCTCACAGGACTGGAAGGAGCAGTACATCCACGAGAACTACAGCCGGGCCCTGGAAGGGGAAGGAATCGTGGAGCAGGTGAGCCCACGCAGCCTCCCCACCCACCCCCTGCCCTCATGGCCATCGCCTCTTGGGGGCCCCCGCCTGGATTCAAAGTTTTCACACTGAGTTCCCCAGAGATCTGAGGGTTTTCTGTTCAGACAAGATGAAGGCAGAGGCCGAACAGAAAGGACTCTTGCCCCCAAAGCCAGCATTGATCAGACAGCCTCTTCTCCTGTATATTGGGTATACTGGTGTTATGCTTGAAATCACATCTTAAAAGAAGAATGGGGCTGGGCTCAGTGGCTCATGCCTGTAATCCCAGCACTTTGGGAGGCCAAGGTGGGTGGATCGGTTGAGGCCAGAAGTCCAAGACCAGCCTGGGCAACATAGCGAGAATCTGTCTCTACAACAACAACAAAAAAATTAAATAAGAAATGAGGCCAGGAGTGGTGCTCATGCTTGTAATCCCAGTACATTGAGAGGCCGAGGCAGGCAGATCACCTGAGGTCAGGAGTTCGAGACCAGCCTGGCCAACATGGCAAATCCTGTCTCTACCAAAAAAAAAAAAAAAAAAAACACAAAAATTAGTCAGGTGTGATGGCGTGCACCTGTAGTCCCAGCTACTCGGGAGGCTGAGGTGGGAGAATCGCTTGAACCTGGGAGGCAGAGGTTGCAGTGAGCCAAGATCACGCCACTGCACTCCACCTTGGGTGACACAGCGAGACCCTGTCTCAAAAAAAAAAGAAAAGAAAAAATTAGCTTGGCATGGTGGCATGTGCCTGTAGTTCCAGCTACTTGGGAGTCTGAGGCGGGAGGATCGCTTGAGCCCAGAAGGTCGAGGCTGTAGTGAGCTATGATTGTGCCACTGCACTCCAGCCTGGTTGACAGAGCAATACCCTATCTCAAAAAAAAAAAAAAGAGGTATGCACTGTTACGGAAGTTTGGAAACCACTGTCCCAGCACGAGGGGCTCCAGGACCCTCTGCCACCTCTCCTGTGCCAGAAACCGGTCCTCAGCCTTGCCACTCCCTCAGCCCCTACCTGGCGGGTCCCCGGCTGCTCTCACAAAGCCTTCCCTGCTCCTCCCTGCCCCTTCCCATTCTGCCTGCTGCCTGTCCCCTTCCCCGTTCTGCGGCGTCAGCTAGCCCTGTTCTCCCTCGCCCCATCCTCAGCCATGCCCGGACGTGTACTGGTTCCCACTGCTGTCAGAACAAATGTGTGATGAGCTGGTGGCAGAGATGGAGCACTACGGCCAGTGGTCAGGCGGCCGGCATGAGGTAAGGGCCTGGGCGAGGAGGGCAGAGGCCTTCCCAGAGGAGGAGGTGCAGGATCTGGTAAACAAACAATGGAATCAGGAAAATGGGAGCAAAGAGGGGTTCCCAGGGGGGAGGCAGACCCTGGGGTCACAACTGCATTCATTCATGTATTCAAGAAATATTTACTGCTGGGCACAGTGGCTCATGCCTGTAATCCTAGCACTTTGGGAGGCTGAGGCGGGAGGATTGCTCGAGCAGGGGGAGTTTGAGGCCAGCCTGGGCAACATAGCGAGACCCTGTCTCTACAAAAAATTTAAAAATTAGCCGAGTTTGGGCCAGGTGCGGTGGCTCACGCCTGTAATCCCAGCACTTTGGGAGGCCGAGGCAGGTGGATCACCTGGGGTCAGGAGTTCGAGACCAGCCTGACCAACATGGAGAAACCCCATCTCTACTAAAAACACAAAATTAGCCGGGCATGGTGGCGGGCGCCTGTAGTCCCAGCTACTCGGGAGCTGAGGTAGAATTGCTTGAACCCGGGAGGCAGAGGTTGCAGTGAGCCAAGATTGAACTCCAGGCTGGGCAACAAGAGTGAAACTCCATCTCAGAAAAACCAACAAATTAGCCGGGCATGGTGGCATGTCCCAGCTATTCAGGAGGCTGAGGCAGAAGGATCACTTGAGCCCCAGAGTTAGAGGCTGCAGTGAGCTATGATCATGCCGCAGTACTCCAGCCTGGGTGACAGAGCAAGACTCTGTCTCTAAAAAAAGAGAAAAGGAAATCATTCCTGGGCCACTGTCCTAGACTGCACTGCAGGAATGCCTCATGCCGGTCGAGCTCTGCCCTGCTGTGAGCAGCAGCCACCACACAGCTTCTAAGGCTGCGATGAGCAGCCTGGGTGCAATAGAAGCCACGGGGAAGCCTTGACCCAGACTTGGGAGGAGTAGGGAGCTTCACAGGACAGGTGACATCTTAGCTGAGACTTGAAGGGCCGGGAGCAGTGAGTCAGGCCGAGAAGTAGCAAAGAAGACTGTTCTGCACAGAGGAACACAGGTGTGAAGGCTGGAGGACGGGAGGAAGGAGGCTGGACTGCCCTGGGGTGGGGAGCGCCATGGCTGGAGGGGCGGGTGGCTCAGTGCCCGCCGCCCCCAGGATTCAAGGCTGGCTGGAGGCTACGAGAATGTGCCCACCGTGGACATCCACATGAAGCAGGTGGGGTACGAGGACCAGTGGCTGCAGCTGCTGCGGACGTATGTGGGCCCCATGACCGAGAGCCTGTTTCCCGGTTACCACACCAAGGTGCGCTGCCCACCTGCCAGCTGCCTCCCCACCTTCCCCACCCCAGTCCCGGACAGGAAGTCTCCACGCAGACCCCTTTCGGCCCCGGCAGCATTTGGGCTCCATGCATTTTAGTTCCCAGGGGAATGAGACGCTGCAGGAGGCACCCCAGGGGAGGGAGGGCGCCAGGCTGAGACCCAAGGTGAGGCTTGGCCCTAATTTAATGCCAGTGAGCAGCGAGAGCCTCCTACGCAGGGGTCCCGCCGCCCCTCCCCTCCCCTCCCTGGACAGGGACCGTCATCTCCCTGAAGACACCCTGCGATGGCCGGGCGTGGTGGCTCACACATGTAATCCCAGCACTTTGCGAGGCTGAGGTGGGTGGATCACCTGAGGTCAGGAGTTCAAGACCAGCCTGGCCAAGATGGTGAAACCTCGTCTCTACTAAAAATACAAAAATTAGCCGGGTGTGGTGGCAGGTGCCTATAATCCCAGCTACTCGGGAGGCTGAGGCATGAGAATTGCTTGAAACCGGGAGGCAGAGGTTGCAGTGAGCCAAGATCGAGCCAAGATCGCACCACTGCACTCCAGCCTGAGTGACAGAGCGAGACTATCTCAAAAGAATAATAATAATACAAAATAAAAGACCCCCTGCGCCCGCAGCTGTCCCTGCAGCCTCTTCCCTCCTCTCCCCCAGGCGCGGGCGGTGATGAACTTTGTGGTTCGCTACCGGCCAGACGAGCAGCCGTCTCTGCGGCCACACCACGACTCATCCACCTTCACCCTCAACGTTGCCCTCAACCACAAGGGCCTGGACTATGAGGTGCGCCCCAGTCACACTACCCACCCACGCTTCACCTCAGGACCCTCGGGTCCCCACCTAGAGCCCCTGCGTGCATCCCCCAGCTCCCCTCCCTGCCCATTTCCCAGTGACTTTGTGGGTATCAGCTCCTGGATCGCTTCTGGGCAGGCGGCCTCTGCTTCCTCCTGGATCTTCCTGTCTGCAGGCACCCCAGCCTCCGGTGTCTGCCATATCTGCCATCTCCCTTGTCACCCCGGTCTGCTGCACCGTGCCCCCCGGTCTGGCCGCCCTGCCCCGTGTATCTGCCTGCTCCCCAGGCCCCACGTCTGCTCACTCCATGTTTCCTTTCCCTTCTCTTTCCAGGGAGGTGGCTGCCGCTTCCTGCGCTACGACTGTGTGATCTCCTCCCCGAGGAAGGGCTGGGCACTCCTGCACCCCGGCCGCCTCACCCACTACCACGAGGGGCTGCCAACGACCTGGGGCACACGCTACATCATGGTGTCCTTTGTCGACCCCTGACACTCAACCACTCTGCCAAACCTGCCCTGCCATTGTGCCTTTTTAGGGGGCCTGGCCCCCGTCCTGGGAGTTGGGGGATGGGTCTCTCTGTCTCCCCACTTCCTGAGTTCATGTTCCGCGTGCCTGAACTGAATATGTCACCTTGCTCCCAAGACACGGCCCTCTCAGGAAGCTCCCGGAGTCCCCGCCTCTCTCCTCCGCCCACAGGGGTTCGTGGGCACAGGGCTTCTGGGGACTCCCCGCGTGATAAATTATTAATGTTCCGCAGTCTCACTCTGAATAAAGGACAGTTTGTAAGTCTTGAGTCCATTGGTCTGCCCATTAACCCCATCTCCCCTCCTGCCAGCAGCGTAGAGGGGAGAGACCCAGAAAAGCGAAGACAAGAGGAAAAGGGAGAGGCAGAATGTTAGACCCTCGTGGGAACCTGGGAGCTTCCCTGGCTCCCACTTTCCCCTTCCCCTGTATTGCCTGAGCTGGAGACAGTGTGTGAGAGGGGCCGGGCGCGGTGGCTCACGCCTGTAATCCCAACACTTTGGGAGGCCAAGGGGGGCGGATCACGAGGTCAGGAGATCCAGACCATCCTGGCTAACACGGTGAAACCCCGTCTCTACTAAAAATACAAAAAATTATCCAGGCGTGGTGGCGGGCATCTGTAGTCCCAGCTAATCAGGAGGCTGAGGCAGGAGAATGACATGAACCCGGGAGGCAGAGCTTGCAGTGAGCTGAGATTGTGCCCCGGCACTCCAGCCTGGGCCACAGAGTGAGACTCCATCTCAAAAAAAAAAAAAGTGCATGAGAGGGCACAGACCAAAAGAGGGACTTCCCAGGCTGGGCACAGTGGCTCACACCTATAATCCCAGTACTTTCAGAGGCCAAGGCAGGCGGAGGATCACTGGAGGCCAGGAGTTCAAGACCAGCCTGGACAACATAGCGAGACCCCCCCCATCTCTACAAAAAATAAATTAGCTGGGCGCGATGGCTCACGCCTGTAATTCCAGCACTTTGGGAGGCTGAGGTGGATGGATCACCTGAAGTTGGGAGTTTGAGACCACCCTGGCCAACATGGTGAAACCCTGTCTCTACTTAAAAAATACATAATTAAGCTGGGCACGGTGGCCCATGCCTGTAATCCCAGCACTTTGGGAGGCTGAGGCGGACAGATCACGAGGTGAGGAGTTCAAGACCAGCCAGGCCAAAATGGTGAAACCGCATCTCTACTAAAAAATACAAAAATTAGCTGGGCATGGTGGCGGGCGCCTGTAATCCCGGCTACTTGGGAGGCTGAGGCAGGATAATTGCTTGAACCTGGGAGGGGGAGGTTGCAGTGAGCTGAGATCGCGCCATCACACTCCAGCCTGGGCAGCAAGAATGAAACTCCAACTCAAAAAAATAAATAAGCCGGGCTCAGTGGCTCACGCCTGTAATCCTAGCACTTTGGGAGGCCGAGGCAGGCAGGCAGATCACTTGAGGTCAGGAGTTTGAGACCAGCCTGGCCAACATGGTGAAACCCTGTCTCTACTAAAAATACAAAAATTAGCCAGGTGTGGTGGCACAGGCCTGTAATCCCAGCTACTCAGGAGGCTGAGGCAGGAGAATTGCTTGAACCTAGGAGACGGAGGCTGCAGTGAGCCAAGATCGTGCCACGGTACTCCAGCCTGGGTGACAGAGCAAGACTTCGTCTCAAAACAAAAAAACAAAACAAAAAAAGCTTTCCACGCTACCCACAGAGGGCTCCATCCGGCGTTGTTCTGGATTCCTGTTGTAACTTAAAGAGAAACTTTCACAACATCCGGAGCCCTTGATGTCCTGCAAATGAAGGAGGAAGATGTCCTTAATTTCCTTGCAGCAGGAAACCAATTAGGTGGCACCAACCTTGACTTACAGATGGAACAGTACATGTATAAAAGGAAAAGTGATGGCATCTACATCCCAAATCTGAAGAGGACCTGGGAGAAGCTTCTGCTGGCAGCTCGTGGCATTGTTGCCATTGAAAACCCCGCTGATGTCAGTGTCATACCCTCCAGAAATACTGGCCAGAGGGCCGTGCTGAAGTTTGCTGCTGCCACTGGAGCCACTCCAATCGCTGGCCGCTTCACTCCTGGAACCTTCACTAACCAGATCCAGGCAGCCTTCCGGGAGCCACGGCTTCTTGTGTTTACTGACCCCAGGGCTGATCAGCAGCCTCTCACAGAGGCATCTTATGTTAACCTACCTACCTTGCTCTGTGTCTCACAGATTCTCCTCTGCGCCATGTGGACATTGCCATCCCAAGCAACAACAAGGGAGCTCACTCAGTGGGTCTGATGTGGTGGATGCTGGCTCGGGAAGTTCTGCGCATGCGTGGCACCATTTCCTGTGAACACCCGTGGGAGGTCATGCCTGATCTCTACTTCTACAGAGATCATGAAGACATTGAAAAAGAAGAGCAGGCTGCTGCTGAAAAGGCTGTGACAAGGAGGAATTTCAGGGTGAATGGACTGCTCCGGCTCCTGAGTTCACTGCTACTCAACCTGAGGTTGCAGACTGGTCTGAAGGCGTGCAGGTGCCCTCTGTGCTATCTAGCAGTTCCCTACTGAAGACTGGAGCATTCAGCCTGCCACAGAAGACTGGTCTGCAGCTCCCACCACTCAGGCCACTGGATGGGTAGGAGCAACAACTGAATGGTCTTAAACACCTGTACTGTGAGCTCCCCCTGCCCCATCTTCCAGCCCAGGTGCACCTGGCAGCCTGGCTCTTGCATTCCTCGGCTGGGCTTGGATGCTGGCGGTCCTCTACCTGGTCTGGCTCTATTGGGATAGAAACATACCCAGGGCTGGAGCCCGCAGATCTGCCTGGGTTTGCAACTGGGCAGTTTGAGACATTTCTGTGACTACTTCCCCCTCTCAGTGAGGACCTGGGCTGTGGGGTGCTGGGTGCGGTTGGGGCTTCAGAATAGACTCTTGGGACCACCATCTCCCAAAGTGCAATCTCACCGTTGGGGTGGGGTGCGCCCGTCTGCTCCCCAGCTAGTTAAAACTGCAAAGTTGGGCACCTCCTGGAACTACCTCTTTGACTTCCACCCTCACAGGGTCCTGGTCGTGGGAGCCTTCGCCAACTTCTGCACAGAGCCCACGGGCTGCTCCTGCCTCTTCCCCAAACTCCCGCCACACCTGCTCATGCTGCCTTGTTGGTTCCATCTCCTCTTCTTCCAGGACTACATCATGTCAGGTGGTGAGAAGAGGAGGACCTTGCTGCTGTCTCCCGCCCCACCATCCTCTTCCCAGGGGACACTGGGGCCCAGCTCTCCTTTCCCCATGTCCTCTCCACTCTTCTTTCCAAGTCCCAGGCTTTGGCTGGGTGCGGTGGTTCACACCTGTAATCCCAGCACTTGGGAGGCGCAGGCGAGAGGATCGCTTAAGGCCAGGAGTTCAAGACCAGCCTGGGCAACACAGTGAAACCCCATCTCTACACAAGAAAAAACAAAAACAAAAATTTAGCCAGGTGTGGTGGTACACACCTGTGGTCCCAGCTACTGGGAGGCTTGAGGTGGGAGGGTCACTTGAGCCCTGAAGGTCAAGGATGCAGTGAACCAAGATCAGGCCACTGTACTCCAGCCTGGGCAACAGAGCAAGACTCCGTCCCTAAATAAATAAGTAAATAAGACCCAGGCGTTGGGTCCCCCAGCTTCTGCCCTCCCCCCAGGTTTGGTCTCCTTTGTCAAGGCCCCGCTGCCTCAGTGGTGGCCAGGTGGCTGTCCTGGCGTGGGAGGGCCCCTGCAGGCGCTGGAGGCAAAACCCGGACAACTGAGCTTGCCGATTCGGAATCAGAAGAGATTGGTTAAGTCAGCTCTGGAACTCGGGTGAGGACCCGAGCGTGACCCGGTGGGGACGCCCCAGGGCTGCCGGGCCGGGGAGGAGGAGAGTGGCGCCACCCGCGGACCCCGGGGCCAGGAGTCAGCCGCGCCATGCTCTCCTGCGGCCTCCCTAGTGCCTGTCTTCTCCAGGGAGAATGAGCTCTTCCAGCAGTTCCCGAACCCGCAGAGCTCGTGGGTGCAGAGGACGCAGGAGGCTCTGCGTCCGCTGCTAAGCGTGGCCCTGCAGCTGTTCCTGGGCCGCCGGGGCCTCCCGCTGCCCTTCCGCGCGCCCATCCGCACCGTAGGTGAGCCCCGGCCTCCGCCCCGCGATCCTGGCCCAGGGCCCGCTCCCTCCCCGTCCCGGGTTGGGGCCACCCAGACTGGCCTTTGGCCACCGCGCCAGCCCTGAACTCTGTTCCCGCCTATCCCCAAGGAGGAAAAGAGGAGGAGAACCGGGGATCCCAGCCCAGATCGCCTCCCGTCCCGCCCGCAGTGGGGTCGGCGATTCCCGTGCAGCAGAGCCCCCCGCCCAGTCCGGCCCAGGTGGACACGCTGCAAGCGCGCTACGTGGGGCGACTCACGCAGCTCTTCGAGGAGCACCAGGCGCGCTATGGTGTCCCCGCCGACAGACACCTGGTCCTCACGGAGGCGCGCCCCACCGCCTGGCCTCGCCTGTCCGCTGGGTGACTGCAGGTGGGGAAGTGAAATTAAAGACTGGCGGCAGGGCACGGTGGCTCACGCCTGTGATTCCAGCACTTTGGGAGGCCGAGGCGGGTGGATCACTTGAGGTCAGGAGTTCGAGACCAGCCTGGCCATCATGGTGAAACCCCATCTCTATTAAAAATCCAAAAAAAAAAAAAAAAAAAATTAGCCAGACGTGGTGGCGCGCCTGTAATCCTAGCTACTCGGGAGGCTGAGGCAGGAGAATCGTTTGAACCCGGGAGGCGGAGGTTGCAGTGAGCCGAGATCGTGCCACTGCTCTCCAGCCTGGGTGACCGAGACGTGTGAAAAAAAAAGAAAAAAAAGAAAAGAAAAGAAAAAGAAAAAAATTAAAGTGGGAAACAGACCTGCAGCCTGTGTGTGTTTGTGCATGGCGGGGGAGGTCCAGGCAGGGGTGGTGACCTTGACATTCCTGGAGATGCCCCGGACCAGGCCCTGCCCCCACCCCGACTGGAGGTCAAATAGTCTCAGCAGGGCTTCTGGCCCCTTCCAGCACCTGGGACCCAGTGGGTGGGGCTAGCCAGATCACTCTTGTCCACTCCAACATCAATTCCTGAGGCACTCGGGTGTCACCTCTCCCTTGCACACCCCTTACGCCTCCCAGCCCCACCCAGCAGCCAGCCCAGACTGGTGACTGACAGGAAGTTCAAAGATCAGGCTGAGAAAAAACCCAGAGACATCTGGGGCTCTGGATCCAAAGATCTCCCCACTCACACACCTACGGACACACGCTACTCTGGGAGGTGATTTGCGACTTAGCCAGGCCCCCAAAGCTGGGCTCCTGTAGGGAGAAAGTCTGCCCAGGTCCACATCCAAGCCTTCATCGTTTGTCCTCCGGGTTCTGGGATCCTGCTGGAAGAGGGGAGCTTCTGCAATGGGAGTTGCCACAACCCTGCAGCCCCCAACCACTTCCAAAACCTTGCAGAAGCAGCATCTAGAAGCAGTGGGCGCCTACCAATATGTGCTCACTTTCCTCTTCATGGGTGAGAGCTGGGGAGGCGTGGGTGCCTGGGGTCTGCCAGGGGAGTAGGGCTTGGAGGGAGAGTGGCTGGGCTGCTGGCTTGCATGCCTGAGGACAGTGACCAGGTGACTGGTCTGGGAGAGGGCCAGAGGAGAGAGCTGGTTGTTCTGAAGGGGAGGAAGGGAAGGGAGCAGCTGGAGGGAATGATGGAGTTTCAGAAGTGAACTCTTTTCTTTCTCTCCCTTCCCCCAGGCCCTTTCTTCTCCCTTCTTGTCTTTGTCCTCCTCTTCACGTCACTCTGGCCCTTCTCTGTTTTTTACTTGGTGTGGCTCTATGTGGACTGGGACACACCCAACCAAGGTGAGCTCCGGATGGGGGCCCAGGTAGCCAGAGATGGTGGGGACATGGGGGGTGAGGGGAGGTGACTCCGGGGGTTCGTCCACCAGTATCTCATTGTCCGCAGGTGGAAGGCGTTCGGAGTGGATAAGGAACCGGGCAATTTGGAGACAACTAAGGGATTATTATCCTGTCAAGGTGATGGGTCACCCTGCAGAAAAACTGCTTCCTACCTCTCCCCATCTCCCTCCCACACCTAGGAGCCCTTCCTTGTGCTGGGGCCTGAGCTCCCCGCTGCCTAAGCTCAGGCAGTGGGACAGGGAATGGATTTTTTTTTTTTTTTAGACTGAGTCTCCTGTCACCGAGGCTGGAGTGCAGTGGTGCAATCTCAGCTCATTGCAACCTCCGCCTCCTAGGTTCAAGCTATTCTCATGCCTCAGCCTCCCTAGTAGCTGGGATTATAGGTGCCCGCCACCATGCCTGGCTAATTTTTGTAGTTTAGTAGAGACAGGGTTTCAACATGTTGGCCAGGCTGGTCTCAAACTCCTGGCCTCAAGTGATCCAGCCACCTCGGCCTCCCAAAGTGCTGGGATTACAGCCTTGAGCCACCGCGCCCGGCCTGGGAGTGGATGATGTTCAAGAGCGGGGCCTTGGTGGGGCACCATGGCTCATGCCTGTAATCCAAGCACTTTGGGAGGCCGAGGTGGGAGGATTGCTTGAGCCCAGGAGTTGGAGGCTGTAGTGAGCCATGATTGCGCCACTGTACTCCAGCCTGAGCAACAGAGTGAGACCGTCTCTAAAAAAAAAAAAAAAAAAAGGCGGTTGTGGTGGCTCAAGCCTTTAATCCCAGCACTTTGGGAGGCTGAGGTGGGTGGATCACCTAAGGTCAGGAGTTCGAGACCAGCCTGACCAACATGGAGAAACCCCATCTCTACTAAAAATACCAAACAAATTAGCCGGACATGGTGGCACATGCCTGTAATCCCAGCTACTCTGGAGGCTGAGGCAGGAGAATTGCTTGAACCAGGGAGGCGGAGGTTGTGGTGAGCTGAGATGATGCCATTGCACTCCAGCCTAGGCAACAGGAGCAAAACTCTGCCTCAAAAAAAGAAAAGAAAAAAAGAGAGAGTGGGTGAGGTGGCTTACGCCTGTAATCCCAGCACTGTGGGAGGCCAAGGCAGGCAGATCACGAGGTCAGGAGTTCAAGACCAACCTGGCCAATATGGTGAAACTGCGTCTCTACTAAAAATACAAAAATTAGCTGGGCATAGTTTCGCATGCCTGTAATCCCAGCTACTCGGGAGGCTGAGGCAGGAGGATAGCTTGAACCGGGACCAAGAGGCGGAGGTTGCAGTGAGCCGAGATCGTGCCACTGCACTTCAGCCTGGGCTACAGAGCAAGACTCCATCTCAAAAAAAAAAAAAAAAAAAACCTGGGCCCTTAACCCTATCCTAAGAACCTTTAACTCGGAACTCTGCTGGGGTGGCCCTTGACCCTATCCTAAGAACCTTTAACTCGGAACTCTGTTGGGGTGGAGGGCCCCTCTTTTCAGCCGGTGTCTTGCCTTCCATCCTCCCTTCATCCTGCTCAACACCCCGAAGCTGGTGAAAACAGCAGAGCTGCCCCCGGATCGGAACTACGTGCTGGGCGCCCACCCTCATGGGATCATGTGTACAGGCTTCCTCTGTAATTTCTCCACCGAGAGCAATGGCTTCTCCCAGCTCTTCCCGGGGCTCCGGCCCTGGTTAGCCGTGCTGGCTGGCCTCTTCTACCTCCCGGTCTATCGCGACTACATCATGTCCTTTGGTGAGCCGAATGGGAGGAGGAGAACGGGAGGAGACTCCTGACCAGATGTTCCCCAGCCCCTCTGGGACCACCCCCCCCCATAATAAGTCCCCCACCCAGGACAGGGGCCAGCCTGAGCACTGCCCAGACTTGCAGTGAGCATTTGGGTAGGTTCCCCGCCTTGGAGATGGGGGTAGGGGGCTTGGAACTAAAGGCTGGGTGAGGGGCGGGGGTGCCGTGGAGGCAGATGGGAACTACTTTCCACCTCCTCCTGCCCACAGGACTCTGTCCGGTGAGCCGCCAGAGCCTGGACTTCATCCTGTCCCAGCCCCAGCTCGGGCAGGCCGTGGTCATCATGGTGGGGGGTGCGCACGAGGCCCTGTATTCAGTCCCCGGGGAGCACTGCCTTACGCTCCAGAAGCGCAAAGGCTTCGTGCGCCTGGCGCTGAGGCACGGGTGAGTGCGCGTGCAGGCCCTACCTGTCAGTTCTCTGCTGGTTTATGCCCTCTCTCAGTCCCCAGACATCTAGGTCCCTGCATGGGGGATCCGGGTGCCCAGAGACCAGCGCCCTGCCCTGCACCGAGGCCCACGTGGGCTCTCCAGGGCATGACTCGGTACCAAACATGGGGCCCGCTTACCCTAAGCTCCCTCCCACATCCGTGGAGACAGGACCATAATGCAAATAGCAGGGCCCTCGGTCTCAGAAGCCCTGGCTTCCCTCTCTGACCCCAACTCAAAGGCAAGACCTTGCACTTGTTTCTTTTTTTGTTATTGTTGTTGAGACAGAGTCTCGCTCTGTCGCCCAGGCTGGAGTGCAAAGGCGTGGTCTCGGCTCACTGCAACCTCCGCCTCCCGAGTAGTTGGGACTACAGGCGCCCACCACCACTCCGGGCTAATTTTTGTATTTTTAGTAGAGACGGGGTTTCACCATTTTGGCCAGGCTGGTCTCGAATTCCTGGCCTCAAGTGATCCGCCCACCTTGGCCTTCCAAAGTGCTGGGATTATAGGCGTGAGCCACCGTGCCCGGCCGGACTTGTTTCTTTACTTGCGAAGAGGGCTGATACCTACCTTGCCACGATGTTGTTATTGCAAAGACCGAATGAGAAAATGACTATGAGAAGGCCCACTACACAACTGTGTCTCAAGAAATGTGAGTCCCGGCTGGGCGTGGTGGTTCACACTTGCAATCCCAGTGCTTTGGGAGGCCAAGGCAGGAAGATCACTTGAAGCCAGGAGTTCAAGACCAGCCTGGGCAACATAGGGAGACATCATCTCTACAAAAATAAAATAAAATAAATTAGCCAAGTGTGGTAGTGCACGCCCGAAGTTTCAGCTATTCGGGAGGCTGAGGTGGGAGGATGGCTTGAGCGGAGAAGGTTGAGGCTGCAGTGAGCTATGATTGCACCACTGCCCTCCAGCCTGGGCAAGAGAGCAAGGCCTTGTCTCTTTTAAAATTTTTTAAATTATTTATTTTTTAAAATTTTCTAATTTTTAATTTTTGGAGATGGAGTCTTGCTCTGTCACCCAGGCTGGAGTGCAGTGGTGTGATCTCGGCTCGCTGCAACCTCCACCTCCCGAGTTCAAGCCTCTGAAGTACCTGGGACTACAGGTGCACGTCACCACGTCTGGCTAATTTTTGTATTTTTAGTAGAGATGGGGTTTCACCATATTGGTCAGGGTGGTCTCGAACTCCTGACCTCAGGTGATCCACCCACCTCAGCCTTCCAAGGTATTGGGATTACAGGCATGAGCCACCGCACCCAGCCTATTTATTTTTTGAGACAAAGTCTCACTCTGTCACCCAGACTGAAGTGCAGTGGTGTGATCTTAGCTCACTGCAACCTCTGCCTCCCAGGTTCAAGCGATTCTTGTGCCTCAGCCTCTGTAGTAGCTGGAATTACAGGTACCCACTTCCACACCTGGCTAATTTTTATGTTTTTGCAGAGACGGGGGTTTCACCATGTTGGCCAGGCTGGTCTCCAACTCCTGACCTCAAATGATCCTCCCACCGTGGCCTCCCAAAATGCTGGGATTACAGGTGTGGTTACAAGACCCTCTCTCTAAAACAAAGAAAAAGAAAGAGAAAGAAATGCGAGTCCTGTCTTCTAGATCTTTCTTTGTAGCCATAGTCATGTGCTTTGAATGACCCTGGGAGGTAGCATCTGGACGTAGTGGGAAGGACTTGTAGCCCCTGGGGGTGCCCATCTCGGAGCAGTCCAGCAGCCTGAGCCCCCTCTTCTCTCTTGCTCCTTCCCAGGGCGTCCCTGGTGCCCGTGTACTCCTTTGGGGAGAATGACATCTTTAGACTTAAGGCTTTTGCCACAGGCTCCTGGCAGCATTGGTGCCAGCTCACCTTCAAGAAGCTCATGGGCTTCTCTCCTTGCATCTTCTGGGGTCGCGGTCTCTTCTCAGCCACCTCCTGGGGCCTGCTGCCCTTTGCTGTGCCCATCACCACTGTGGGTGAGTGCCCACCTCCGGGGGGACGGCCACCAGCAGCTGCGTGGGCATCAGGGATCCCTCGCCCACCTGTCTCCCTCTCCCTGCAGTGGGCCGCCCCATCCCCGTCCCCCAGCGCCTCCACCCCACCGAGGAGGAAGTCAATCACTATCACGCCCTCTACATGACGGCCCTGGAGCAGCTCTTCGAGGAGCACAAGGAAAGCTGTGGGGTCCCCGCTTCCACCTGCCTCACCTTCATCTAGGCCTGGCCGCGGCCTTTCGCTGAGCCCCTGAGCCCAAGGCACTGAGACCTCCACCCACTGTGGACTCCATGCCTCCAATAAAAGGTAGTTCTGGGCCCAGCGCAGTGCCTCATGCCTGTAATCCCAGCACTTTGGGAGGCCAAGGTGGGAGGATCGTTTGAGCCCAGGAGTTGAAGACCAGCCTGGGCAACACAGTGAGACTTCATTTCTACAAAAATTAAAAAATAATGTTGTTAATTAGCCGGGCATGGTGGCATGTGCCTGTAATCCCAGCTATTTGGGAGGCTGAGGCAGGAGACTTGCTTAAACCCAGGAGGCGGAGGTTGCAGTGAGCTGAGATCACACCACAGTACTCCAGCCTGGGCAACACAGCGAGACTCAATCTCAAAAAAAAAAAAAAAAAAAAAAAAAAGACTGTTAAAGCTGTAGTAGGCTGGGCGTGGTGGCTCATGCCCATAATCCCAACACTTTGGGAAGCCGAGGCAGGTGGATCAACTGAGGTCAGGAGTTCAAGACCAGCCTGGCCAAAATGGCAAAACCCCCTCTCTACTAAAACTACAAAAATTAGCCGGGCATGGTGGCTCATGCCTATAATCCCAGCTACTCCGGAGGCTGAGGCAGGAGAATCGCTTGAACCCAGGAGGCAGAGGTTGCAGTGAGCCGAGATCACACCACTGCACTCCAGTCTGGGCAACAGAGCGAGATTCCATCTCAAAAAAAAAAAAATGTTGTTAAAGCTATAATCGTTCTGGAAGTGAACATGGCCAGGCATGACCTGCCCCCATCCTGATGTGCTACAAAGCTGCTGCCTTAGATTGGGTATCAGGACCCTGAACTGTCCTCCCAGTGAGAGTTCAGTCTGTGGCATGACCTTGGACAAGCCTCTTCCTTTTGCCTGTTTACTTCTTTGTCTGTAAATAAAGGCATCTGCTTAGCAAAGAGCTGTTGGGCATTGGGATGGAGTTAGGAGGGAGGATGCGTGGAGAGGCAGGCTTTGAAGAGTGAGCAGGATTTAGATGGAGGTGAAGTTAGGGTAGATGGCGGAATTCCAAGAGCTAAAGGTAAGAGCAGTCAAGGGCACTTAACAGGACGGGGAAATGGTACCATCCCCAGTGAAGGAAAAATAGAGTTAAGAACACAGCTGAGGCTGGGCGCGGTGGCTCACGCCTGTAATCCCAGCACTTTGGGAGGCTGAGGCGGGCGGATCACGAGGTCAGGAGATCGAGACCATCCTGGCTAACAAGGTGAAACCCCGTCTCTACTAAAAATACAAAAACTTAACCAGGCATGGTGGCGGGCGCCTGTAGTCCCAGCTACTGAGAGGTTGAGGCAGGAGAATGGCGTGAACCCGTGAGGCGGAGCTTGCAGTGAACCGAGATTGTGCCACTGCACTCCAACATGGGAGACAGAGCCAGACTCCGTCTCAAAAAAAAAAAAAAAAAAAAAAGCTTATGTCCTATGGCCGGCTGCTGTGGCTCACACCTATAATCCCAGCACTTTGGGAGGCTGAGGCAGGTGGATCACGAGGTCAAGAGATCAAGACCATCATGGCCAACATGGTGAAACCCCGTCTCTACTAAAAATACAAAAATTAGCTGGGCGTGGTGGTGCTCTCCTGTAGACCCAGCTACTCAGGAGGCTGAGGCAGGAGAATTGCTTGAACACGGGAGGCGGAGGTTGTGTTGAGCCAAGATCGCACCATTGCACTCCAGCCTGGGCAACAAGAGTGAAACTCCGGCTAAAAAGAAAAAAAAATGAAAAAAATGAAAAAAAAAATTCTAGAAATTAGCCAGGTGTGGTGGCTTATGATTGTCATCCCAGCTACTTGGGAGGTAGAGGTGGGAGACTCTCTTAAGCCTAGGAGGTCAAGGGTGCAGTGAGCCGAGATCGTGCCACGGCACTCCAGCCTGGGTAACGAAGCGAGACCCGTCTCAAACAGACAAACAAAAAGAGCCCTGGGGTGGTCACAGCATCCTCTGACTTTGGTCAATCCTATTTGCTGGCTGGCTTTGTGTATCCAGGACTTCATCAAGAATAACTCATTGAAATGTAATTGGAATGCCCTATATTTGCTTCTACCGTCCTATAAAATTTATTTGTGGGAAGAATTTTCCCTTTATTGCATGAAAATATGGGCAGTCCCATGACTTCCCTGGGTCATTCTCAGATAATAAGTTCTACATTCATTTTAAGTTGGAGCATAGAAATGTTTCGTTCAGGCCAGGCATGGTGGCTCATGCCTGTAAGCCCAGCACTTTAGGAGGCCGAGGCAGGAGGATCACCTAAGACCAGGAGTTCAAGACCAGCCTGGCCAACATAGTGAACCCCGTCTCTACCAAAAATACAAAAATTAGCTGGGCGTAGTGGCAGGTGTCTGTAATCCCAACTACTCCAGAGATTGAGGCAGGAGAATCGCTTGAACCCGGAGGCGGAGGTTGCAGTGAGCCGAGATTGCACCGCTGCACTCCAGCCTGGGCGACAGAGTAAGACTGTGTCAAAAAATAAAAACAAATAAAAATAAAAATAAATCAGCTCTGGGTTTGAGCAACCTCGGCCTGGATACCCTTGGAGTTCAGGCAGGCCTCGACGTGGCCACTTGTCCTTCCCCCTTTCCTGCCGTGGGAGCATCCAACCAGTCACAATCCGGCCAATAGATTTCTCCAGTGGGCACATTTTCCAGACACTGGGGATGGGCGGGGTATGGTAGTATGCATCTGTCATCCCAGAGTTTGAGAAGCCAAGGTGGGAGGATCGCTTGAGGCCAGGAGTTACAGGCTGAGCCAAGATTGCACCACAGCACCAGCCTGGGCAACAGAGCAAAACCCGTCTTTTATTTTATTTTATTTTATTTATTTATTTATGTTTTTTGAGATGGAGTCTCGCTCTGTCGCCCAGGCTGGAGTGCAGTGGCGCGATCTCCGCTGACTGCAAGCTCCGCCTCCCGGGTTCACGCCATTCTCCTGGCTCAGCCTCCCGAGTAGCTGGGACTACAGGCGTCTGCCACCACTCCTGGCTAATTTTTTGTATTTTTTTTTTAGTAGAGATGGGGTTTCACCGTGTTTGCCAGGATGGTCTCGATCTCCTGACCTCGTGATCCGCTCGCCTCGGCCTCCCAAAGTGCTGGGGTTACAGGCGTGAGCCACCAAGCCCGGCCCAAAATCCGTCTTTTGAAAAAGAGGAAGAAGGAACAGCATTCGCAGCTTTATGAGCTCAGCCTGCCGCTTTTCTTTCGGCGCCATTCTCTCCTGCCATCCTCCATGTGGCCACCAGAGGGCGGTCTCTACACAGAAGGCAAATCTGTCCCTCTCTTGCTTGAAGTCCTCGGGGGCTAGCCAGCCTCTGCCTACAGGCTGGGTCCAAGGTGCAGCCCCACCCAGGGCAGACGACCCAGAACTGCTTGTTCTTGCAAACCAGGCTGTGTTTCAGCCCTGGGCTTTACTCAGGCTGTCCCTTCCCACCTGAGGGACCCAGCACCTCTTATCTGGAAGGGGAGTTTCAAGACTCAGTTTAGGTTCCATTTCCAAGACACCTTCCCCAACCTGCCAACCTGCCAGGCTGGTCCAGGGCCCTCCTCGCCATCCCCATAGCTCTGCTTAAAGATCTATCACGACCTTCTCCAGCCTGGCCAACATGGTGAAAACCCATCTTTACTAAAAATACAAAAATTAGCTGGGCATGGTGACAGGTGCCCCTGATCCCAGCTACTTGGGAGGCTGGGGTCCGAGAACCACTTGAACCCGGGAGGCGAAGGTTGCAGTGAGCAGAGATTGCGCCACTGCACTCCAGCCTGGATGACAGAGTGAGACTCCATCTCAAAAAAAAAAAAAATCTGTCACGACCTTCTGTGTTTTTTTGTTTGTTTTGTTATTTTGTTTTTTTGACACAGGATCTAGCTTTGTCACCCAGGCTGGAGCGCAGTGGTTCTACCATGTTGCCCAGGCTGGTCTTGAACTCCTGGGCTGGAGTGATCATCCCACCTCGGCCTCCCAAAGCGCTGGGATTACAAGAGTGAGCTACCGTGCCCAGCCAACAAGAGTGAAGAGGCTGACCAACATGGCAAAACCCTGTCTCTACTAAAAATACAGAATTAGCCGGGCGTGGTGGTGCATGCCTGTAATCCGAGCTACTCAGGAGGCCGAGGCAGGAGAATCGCTTGAACCCGAGAGGCAGAAGTTGCAGTGAGCCGAGATTGTGCCATTGCACTCCAGCCTGGACAACAAGAGCGAAACTCCGTCTCAAAAATATATATATATAGCTCTCAAAGTTTTGGAATCTGGGACGTCCGAGATCAAAGCACCAGCCGAAATGTCGTCTGGAGAGGGTTCACTTCATCACGTGTGTCATCTTCTTGCCCTAACCTCACACGGAGAAGAGAGGAGGGTCTCTCTCAGGTCTCTTTTTTAATGGCACTGTGCTATTATCTATATATCCATTTATAGATCCTATATATAGGTCCGAGGTTCTTGGCTCATAACTCCCAAAGCCCTTGTTATTTCCTAAGTAACTAAAACAATCGGCCCTTCTCTTGTTAGAGTAGTTGGCCTATGTCCTCAATTCCCGAAGCAACTTCGGAACAGCTTCAGAGCGATAAAAGTGAAAGACAGTCTTTTGTTAGAACGTGGGGGCACTTTTGGCCTCAGAAGCAGGCTTCAGAAAACACAATCTGTCTGTCTCTGACCTCCTCCTGGCCTCCTCTCTCCTGCTCCTTTTTCTCACCTAGGCAGGCCATAGAAACTAAAAATATACGGAATCTTCTTCCCTCGCCGTTCTGTCTGAAGCTGGTTATTAAGAGATGCTCTGACCTACCTTGTCTGCTTGTGGGTCATGAGACCCTCATTTCAGAAAGGGTCCTGCCCCATCCCCTGGAGGAAGGAACACTACACAGAGAGAGGCCGAGGAGAATCTGAACAGACAGGCCTGGCTGGGCTTCCCCACTCGGTGTGTTAGTATTAGGTGGTACCCTTTTTGTCCAATCACATTTTTTTTTTTTTTTGAGACAGAGTTTTGCTCTTGTTGCCTAGGCTGGAGTGCAATGGCACGATCTCGGCTCACCACAACCTCTGCCTCCCAGGTTCAAGCAATTCTCCTGCCTCAGCCTCCTGAGTAGCTGGGATTACAGGCATGCACCACCACACCTGGCTAATTTTGTATTTTTAGTAGAGACAGGGTTTCTCCATGTTGGTCAGGCTGGTCTCGAACTCCCGACCTCTAGTGATCCGCCCACCTTGGCCTCCCAAAGTGCTGGGATTACAGGCGTGAGCCACCACGCCCCAGCTTCCAATCACACTTCTACACTGGTGTCAATCATGCCTATCCAAGGAAGCCCCTGTAAAAGACCTGAGGACTGGGTTTGGAGAGCTTCTGGATAGGTGAGAATGTGGAGGTTCTTGGAGGGTGGTGCACTCTGGGAGGACATGGAGTTCCAAACCCCACTCCCCATGCCTCACCCTAGGCATGTCTTCATCTGTATAGTTTTGTTTTCTTTTTTCTGAGACAGGGTCTCACTCTGTCACCCGGGCTGAAATGCAGCCTCCACCTCCCAGGTTCAAGCAATCCTCCTGCCTCAGCCTCCCAAGTAGCTGGGATTACAGGCATGTGCCACCATGCCTGGTTAATTTTTGTATTTTTAATAGAGATGGGGTTTGGCCATGTTGGCCAGGCTGGTCTTGAACTCCTGGCCTCAAGTGATCTTCCTGCCTTGGTCTCCCAAAGGGCTGGGATTACAGGCATGAGCCCAGCCCTGTTTTTGTTTGTTTGTTTTTGTTTTTGAGACAGGCTGTCACTCTGTCTCTCAGGCTGGAGTGCAGTGGCACCATCACAGCTCACTGCAACCTCCGCCTCCCCGGCCTAAGTGATCCTCCTGCTTCAACCTGTCAAGTAGACTGGACTATAGGCGTGCACCACCATGCCTGGCTAATTTTTTGTATTATTTTTTGTACAGACAGGGTTTCACCATGTTGCACAAGCTGGTCTCGAACTCCTGAGCTCAAGTAATCCTTCCTCCTTGGCCTCCCAAAGTGCTAGGATTACAGACTTGAGCCACTGCCTCTGGCCGATCCGTATCCTTTGTTTTTGTTTGTTTGTTTGTTCATTTTATTTATTTATTTTTAGAGATGGAGTCTTGCTATGTTGCCCAGGCTGGTCTCAAACTCCTAGCCTCAAGCAGTCCTCCCACCTCAGCCTCCCAAAGTGCTGAGATTACAGGCATGAGTCACCACACCTGGCCCATCTGTAACCTTTGTAATATCCTTTATAATAAACAGGTGAATATAAGTGAGTGATTCTCTGAGTTCTGTGAGTCGTGCTAGCAAATTAATTGAACCCAACAGGGGGTCATGGGACCCCCAGTATATAGCCGGTCAGTCAGACGTGCAGGTAGAATAACCTGAGGCTTGTGAGTGGCATTGGTAGTGGGGGACAGTCTTGTGGGACTGAGCCTCCACGTGGGATCTATCACTACCTCCAGGTAGTGTCCAGATTGAACTGGGTTGAAAGACACCGGCTGCAGAATTGATTGCTTACTTGGTGTGTGGGGAAAAAACCCCCACACATTTGGCCACAAGATTCTTTTTTTTTCTTTCCCTTCCTTCCTTTTTCCTTCCTTCCCTTCTTCCCCTCCCCTTCCTCTCTTTCTCTCTTTTCTTTTTTCCTTTCTTTCTGTCTTTTCACTGAATCTCGCTCTGTTACCCAGGTTGGAGTGCAATGGTGGGATCTCGGCTCACTGCAACCTCCTCCTGCCGAGTCCAAGCAATTCTCCTGTCTCAATTTCCCGAGTACCTGGGATTATAGGTGTATGCCACCACGCCCGGCTAATTTTTTTTTTTTTTTGAGATGGAGTCTCACTCTGTTGCCCAGGCTGGAGTGCAATGGCCCAAACTTGGCTCACCGCAACCTCCGCCTCCCGGGTGCAAGCGATTCTCCGGCCTCAGCCTTCCGAGTAGCTGAGACTACAGGCGCACACCACCACACCCAGCTAATTTTTGTATTTTTAGTAGAGATGGGGTTTCACCATGTTGGCCAGGATAATCTTGAACTCCTGATCTCGTGATCCACCCGCCTTGGCCTCCCAAAATGCTGGGATTACAGGCGTAAGCCACCGCGCCCAGCCGGGCTAATTTTTGTAATTTCAGTAGAGATGGGTTTTCACCATGTTGGCCAGGCTGGTCTCGAACTCCTGATCTCAAGCAATCTGCCTGCCTCAGCCTCCCAAAGTGCTGGGATTACAGGTGTGAGCCACCGTGCCCAGCCTTAATTTTCTTTTAATCTGTAGATTTCCTCTCCGTCTCTCTCTGTCTCTTCTTCCAACTTATTTGTGGAAGAAATGAGATTGTTCTGTAAATTTTCACTGCAACCTCCGCCTCCCAGGTTCAAGCTATTCTCCTGCCTCAGCCTCCCAAGTAGCTGGGATTACAGGTGTGCCCCACCACGCCTAGCTAATTTTTGTATTTTTAGTAGAGATGGAGTTTCACCATGTTGGCCAGGCTAGTCTCGAGTGATCCACCCGCCTCAGCCTCCCAAAGTGCTGGGATTACAGACATGAGCCACCACACCTGGCTAAAACTATATATATTTATCATATACAAAGTGATACTTTGAAATATGTATTCTCTCTGGTTTTGTGTATGTTAAATATTCTCCAGATAAAAAAGTGTTGGGCTTTTTTTTTTTTTTTTTTTTTTTTTTTTAGATAGGATCTCGCTCTGTCACCCAGGCTGCAGTGTGCAGTGGCACGATCAGGGCTCACTGCAGCCTTGACTTGTTGGGCTCAAGCAATCCTCCCACATCATCCTCCTGAGTAGCTGGGACTGCAGGTGTGCACCACCACACCTGGCTACTTTTAAAATTTTTTTGTAGAGACAAAGTCTTGCTATGTTGCCCAGGCTGGTCTAGCCTAGGCCAGGCATGGTGGCTCACACCTGTAATCCCAGCACTTTGGGAGGCTGAGGCAGGTGGATCACCTGAGGTCAGGAGTTCGAGACCAGCCTGATCAACATGGAGAAACCCTGTCTCTACTAAAAATTCAAAATTAGCTGGGCATGGTGGCACATGCCTGTAGTCCCAGCTACTCAGGAGGCTGAGGGAGGAGAATTGCTTGAACCCGGGAGGCGGAGGTTGTGGTGGGCCAAGATAGCGCCATTTGCACTCCAGCCTGGGCAACAAGAGTGAAACTCCATCTCAAAAATAAAATAAAATAAAATAAACAAATAAATAAATAAAACAGTGGTTTTTTTTTTTTTTTTTTTAGACCGAGTCTCGCTCTGTCGCCCAGGCTGGAGTCCCATGGTGCAATTTCGGCTCACTGCAAGCTCCACCTCCCGGGTTCACGCCATTCTCCTGCCTCAGCCTCCTGAGTAGCTGGGACTACAGGCACCTGCCACCACGCCCAGCTAATTTTTTGTATTTTTAGTAGAGACGGGGTTTCACCGTGTTAGCCAGGATGGTCTCGATCTCCTGACCTCATGATCCGCCCGCCTCGGCCTCCCAAAGTGCTGGGATTACAGGCGTGAGCCACGGCGCCCGGCTCAAAACAGTGTATTTTTAACAGCCAGCTAAAGTGAGCTACTTGTAAGAAGAAGTGGAATTAACCAGGCCCTGAGAAGATGACAATAATGCTTGCTGAATAAATGAACAGACCTTGTAGCCAGTATTGGTTTATGTGCATGGGAAAGAGGAAGCTGACAATTGGAGGAGCACAGATGTGAAACTTCATGTACATCTAAGCACGCTAGTCACACTTCTAACCTTCAGAAGTATAGTGTGAGGCTGGGCTATGGATTGGTTTGGGATTAGGATACTAGGAATCAGGGTGCACAGTGGCTCATGCCTGTAATACCAGCATTTTGGGAGGCCCAGATAGGCGGATCACTTGAGATCAGGTGATGATCAACATGATGAAACCCTGTCTCTACTAAATGTGATGAAACATGTGAGATCAACATGATGAAACCCCATCTCTACTTAAAAAAAAAAAAAAAAAAAAAAAAAAAGCTGGGTGTGGTTGTGGGTGCCTGTAATCCCAGCTACTTGGGAAGCTAAGGCAGGAGAATTACTTGTACCCGGGAGGCAGAGGTTGCCATGAACTGAGATCCCACCACCATGGCACTCCAGCCTGGGGGACAGAGGGACAGAGGGAGACTCTGTCTCAAAAAAAAAAAAAAAAAAAACAGACCGGGAAGCCAACGCGGGCAGATCACTTGAGAGCCCGGCCAACATGGTGAAACCCCATCTCTACTAAAAATACAAAAAAATTAGCTGAGTGTGATCTCAGCTACTCGGAAAGCTGAGGCAGGAGGATGGCCTGAACCCGGGGGGCAAAGGTTGCAGTGAGCCAAGATGGCACCACTGCACTCCAGCCCAGCCCAGGCAACAGAGTGAGATTCCGTCTCAGAACAAAAACAAAAACAAAACAAACAAACAAACAGAAAACAGGGATACCAGGAGTCAGGTTTTATCTTTACCTCAGGTCAACTGGGTGACCTGAGATAAGTGATCCGTCTGTCTCACTGTCCCCAACTGCAGACATAGGCTGGAGGCATTCGTGCATTCAGAAATACGAATTGAGCACCTACTATGTGCCAAGAACCGAACTAAGTACCTAAGTACCAGTGGCATAAAAATAACTGTGACATCATCCCTGTTCTAAAAGAGGTTTATATTAAGCCTGGCGTGGTGGCTCACACCTGTAATCCCAGTACTTTGGGAGGTCAAGGTGGATGGATGACCTGAGGTCAGGAGTTTGAGACCAGACTGACCAACATGGTGAAACCCCTTCTCTACTAAAAAATACAAAATTAGCCAGGTGTGGTGGTGTATGCCTATAATTTCAGCTACTTGGGAGGGTGAGGCAGGAGAATCTCTTGAACTTAGGAGGCAGAGGTTGTAATGAGTCAAGATCGTGCCTGGGCAACAAGAGCGAAACTCTGTTCAATAAATAAATAAATAAGTAAATAGTTTATAGCCAGGTGCGGTGGCTCACACCTGAAATCCCAGCACTTTGGGAGGCCGAGGCAGGAGGATCACTTGACCCCAGGAGTTCAAGACCAGTCTGGGCAACATGGTGAGACTCTGTGTCTACAAAAACTTTTTTAAAAATTAGCAGGGCTTGGTGGTGCGCATCGGTGCTGCCAACTACTTGGGAGGCTGAGACAGGAGGATCACTTGAGCCCAGGAGTTTGAGGTTGCAGTGAGCTGTGTTTGTGCCACTGCATTCCAGCCTGGGCAAAAGAGCAAGACCCTGTCTCCAAAAATCAAATAAAACAGTTCATGGTCACACGTAGTGATTTTCCCTCTTTCTCTTGCCTGATTCCTGAAGTTCCTGTGGGTGTTCCTCGAGCCCTGACAGTCCTGACTGCAGAATAAACAAGAGGCTTCTGTTATGCCTGAATTCCAAAGTACAGGCTGTGATACACCCCATGTGAGAATTGCTGCTCCAGTTGGCTGGATAATAATACCTACCATCAATTGAAATGTTGTGCCAGGAATGCTCTGCCAGGCACTTTACACACATTACTTTATTTCATCCTTACTGGAAGTTGGGTGCTACATCCTCTTTGAGGCTGAGAAAGCCGTGACTTCATGACTCACCAGGAGAGTGTGGCATCTCTGATATCTGCCTTGTGGGATGATCTAGATGATTCCTTTTAGTCTATCATTCTGAGCAAGCCTTTTAGGAGCTCACTGGCTCTGTGACTTGGAGCCAATTACTTAACCCTTTCATCTCTGGTCTCCTTCCTCTGTCTGCAAGAGGAGCTGATTGTGAATGTTGTAAAGCATGCAAGGTATTGGCCAGAGGTGGTGGCTCACGCCTGTAATCCCAGCACTTTGGGAGGCCAAGGTGGGCGGATCACTTGAAGCCAGGAGTTTGAGACCAGCCTGGGCAACGTAGCAAGATGGTGTGTCTATGAAAAATTTAAAAAATAAAATAAAAAGAGAAAAAGCTTATGAGGGATCCAGGTCATTTCCTGTAAATCATTCACATCTTTTATTTCACTGCTCTCATCACAACACAGATGTTCCACAGATAGTTGGAGACAGCCTGGAAGGTCGAGACTTGATTCATAGATTGGGGAATTGTCCAGATAGGTCACCGAATGGGGTGTGATAAGGGGGATGGCAGAAGACTTCGCAATGATTTCACAGTGGGACAGGGAGAAGAGGGGTCTAAGAGGGAAACACTCAAAAGCAAAAATCCAGAGGAGGAAGTCTTGGTCACCAGAATCCTGAGATGCCCAGGCTTTCAGCTTGGCGAGTATGAAGATTCAAGGTGGCTTATTATGGCCTGGCGAGGTGGCTCATGTCTGTAATCCCAGCACTTTGGGAGGCCAAGGCAGGAGGATGGCTTGAGACCAGGAGTTCAAGCCCAGCCTGGGCAACATAGCAAGACTCTGCCTCTACAAAAAATACAATAATTAGCTGGGTGTGGTGACATGTGCCTGTAGTCTCAGTTACTCAGGGGGCTGAGGTGGGAGATCTCTTGAGCCCAGGAGTTTGAGGTTGCAGTGAGCTATGATTTGTGCCACTGCACTCCAGTCTAGGCGAAAGAGCAAGATCCTGTCTCTTAAAAAAAAAAAAGTTTTTTTTGAGACCGAGTCTCTCTCTGTTGCCCAGGCGGGAGTGCAGTGGCACTATCTCGGCTCACTGCAACCTCCACATCCTGGGTTCAAGTGATTATCTTGCCTCAGCCTCCAGAGTAGCTGGGATTACAGGCACGTGCCACCATGCCCGGCTAATTTTTGTATTTTTAGTAGAGAAGGGGTTTTGCTATGTTGGCCAGGCTGGTCTTGATCTCCTGACCTCAAGTGATCCACCCGCCTCGGCCTCTCAAAATGCTGGGATTACAGGCGTAAGCCACGGCGCCTGGCCTATCTCCATTATTAATGGCACTAATACTGATTGGCGCTTTATTCTTTCTCTCTCTCTCTCTATATATATACACACACATATATACATATATATATGTGTGTATATATGTATGTATGTGTATATATACACACACATAGATACACATATATATACATATATACGTGTGTGTCTGTGTGTGTGTGTGTGTGTGTGTAGAGAGAGACAAGGTCTCGCTCTGTCACCCAGGCTGGAGCACAGTGGCACCATCAGAACTCATTGCAACTTCAAACTCCTGGGCTCTAGCGATCCTCCTACCTCAGCCTCCTGAGTAGCTGGGACCGCAGGTGCACACCACTGTGCCCGGCTAATTCTTTTATTTTTGGTAGAGACAAGGTCTCACTATGTTGCCCAGACTGGTCTCAAACTCCTGGCCTCAAGAGATCCTCCTGCCTCGGCCTCCCAAAGTGTTGGCATTACAGGCCTGAGCCAGGAGGATCACTTGAGGTCAGGAGTTCGAGACCAGCCTGGCCAATATGGTGAAACCCTGTCTCTACTAAAAATACAAAAATTAGCTGGGCATGGCCGGGTGCGGTGGTTCATGCCTGTAATCCCAGCACTTTGGGAGGCCGAGGCGGGTGGATCACCTGAGGTTGGGAGTTCAAAACCAGCCTGACCAACATGGAGAAACTCCGTCTCTACTAAAAATACAAAAATTAGCTGGACGTGGTGACACATGCCTGTAATCCCAGCTACTTGGGAGGCTGAGGCAGGAGAATCTCTTGATCCCGGGAGGCGGAGGTTGCGGTGAGCCGAGATCACGCGACCGCACTCCAGCCTGGGCAACAAGAGCGAAACTCCGTCTCAAAAAAAAAAAAAAAATTTAGCTGGGCGTGGTGGTGCAGCTACTCAGGAGGCTGAGGCCGGAGAATCGCTTGAACCCGGGAGGCGGAGGCTGCAGTGTGCCAAGATCGCGCCACTGCACTCCAGCCTGGGCGACAGAGAGAGACTGTCTCAAAAAAAAAAAAAAAAAAAAAAAAATTCCTATGGGATCTGGTCCATAGCCTTCTCAGAATATACTTTGCTCTTCTGTAAAATGGCTAAACAATCCGCCCTCCCCTACAGCGTTATGGAGATTAAGCTACAGTGCTTAGTAAACATTGGGTGGTTCAGTGGTTCACCCCACATCACCACCACTCTACTGGGTAGAGGGTAATCCTGGAACCTAGGCCAGCCACGCCAGGGCTGTCTCCTCTCAGCCAGATCTCTCCTCCATCCCAGAATAGGCCGCCTCCCTGCAACCTCTGAGCACTCAGGCAGCTGAAAGCCACTTGTTCTCTAGCTGAGAGGAAAACCGGCTCTCCTAGATGTGTGAGAATGAAGCCTGGAACAAGATGGCTTTCCATTGGCCCAGTGAGCTGTTTGGAGGCGGGACTTACAGTGACAACTTGCTTCTGAGTGGCTTGGACTTAAGGGGAGGGGCCGAAACGTTGGTAAACTTTTAATTCTGAATGGCTGATGGAACTGGAAGTGTGTGAGGGTTGGGCCAATCCAAGAGTTTCTGTTGGTGGAAGGTGTGGCTTCTGGCGAAAGGGGCGGGATTAGCATATGATGGTCTCTCCCTTTGGCCACTAGTGATTTTTTCCTTGAAACCTGTAACTTTTTGAAGTTCTTTCCCATCATGAAGCATATGGCACCTTAACTGCAATCTGCAGTTTGGTGAGACGCACAGTGTGTTAGCACTTTCAGAGATCAGAAATGGGGGGAAGTCCTATTAAAAAATGTTGAGTAACTTGTCAGTTGCATTTTGCCCTGCCTCAGCCTAGAAGTCGGGATTCTCATCCCTTTAACCCTTGGTGTTATTCCTGTTTAGCCCTTTAACCCTCGGTTGGAATTCCTGTATGTGGGATTCCAGGAACATGACCTTCCTTCTTATTGCATTGGCACATCCAATGGGATCAGTTTGCCTGATTATGAAGTTATCACCTCGGAAAGTAAAGAAAGAAAAAATGGAATAAGATGGGTGAACAATGAATTTTGGGGTGGGGGAGAGGGTAGGGGGAGCATGAGAGCTGGGCGGCCCCTGGAGAGAGGACTCCAGCAGACCTTGAAAGGCCTTAACATTATTCCCTGCATCGGCCGGGCACGGTGGCCCACGCCTGTAATCCCAGCACTTTGGGAGGCCGAGGCGGGCGGATCACGAGGTCAGGAGATCGAGACCATCCTGGCTAACACGGTGAAACCCCGTCTCTACTAAAAATACAAAAAATTAGCCGGGGGTGGTGGCGGGCGTCTGTAGTCCCAGTTACTGGGGAGGCTGAGGCAGGAGAATGGCATGAACCCGGGAGGCAGAGCTTGCAGTGAGCCGAGATCGCGCCACTGCACTCCAGCCTAGGCGAGAGTGAGACTCCTCTCAAAAAAAAAAAAAAAAAATTATTCCCTGCATCTCCAAAGCAGTTTACAGTTGCTAAAGGGCTTTGTCCATCACTTTCCTGGCTCCTTACAGGGTAGAACTGAAGGTGTTCTGATCTCACTTTATTTATTATTTTATTTTATTTTGAGTTGGATTCTCGCTCTGCCGCGCAGGCTGGAGTGCAGTGGCACGATCTCGGCGCATTGCAATCTCTGCCTCCCGGGTTCAAGCGATTCTCCTGCCTCAGCCTCCCAAGTAGCTGAGATTACAGGTGCAGGCCACTGTGCCCGGCTGATTTTTGTATTTTTAGTAGAAACGGGGTTTCGCCATGTTGGCCATGCTGGTCTTGAACTCCTGACCTCAGGTGATCCTCCCACCTCGGCCTCCCAGAGTGCTGGGATTACAGGCATGAGCCACCGTGCCCGGCCAGGCCAGGCTAATTGTTGTATTTTTAGTAGAGACGGGGTTTCACCATGTTGGCCAGGCTGGTCTCGAACTCCTGACCTCAAGTGATTCCCCCGCCTCGGCCTCCCAAAGTGCTGGGATCACAGGCTTGAGCCACCGCACCCAGTCTTGAGCTCACTTTATAGGTGGGATGGAGAACCTTGTAGGAGTTAAGAGCCTGGGCCACCGCCTTATTAGAGCAGGGGCAGCGCTGCACCCACCCGGGTCCCAGCTCCACACTTCCCTCTTCCTCCCCAGCCACCAGGATCAGCGTGGGGTGCAGCGCCTCCTGAGTGCAGAGGTCTGTGTGAATGTGCCTGGGTGTGCGCTGTGTACCTGGAGGTCTTTCTGCCTGCTGTCCCGTGGGGTACATTGTGGATTTAGGGGCCTTGTGCACCCGGGGAACCAGGGTGCTCAGGCACCCACGCAGTGGTGAGAAGATGGAGAGATCTTGGCCTCCCTCTGCCCTTTTCAGCCTTTCAACTTCTGTCTCTTGATGTCTCTTCGCCTTCCCGGTGTTCTAGGGTTTCTGATTCCCTCTATCAGTTTCCGGGGACGAAGGCTCGGAGTCCCCTTCCCAGCCGCTCTTATAATGGAGAGAGGAGATTCCATTGAGGGGTGGCTCCTGGAGGAGGGGTACTTCAGGGCAGTGGGGGACCCCCGGACAGAGAACGGAGGTGCTGGGCGTGGGGTGGGGAGATAACTAAGCCAGCAACACCAGCATCACCACCACCAAAACCCGAGACACCACCATCCTCAGTCCCACTCCCCAGCCGGGACACAGGGCGGAGTCTCGCCAGTAGGGCTTGAGGCCACCCAGCTGCCCAGGGCGCACCCCGACCCCCGGCCCCGCCAGCAGGGCACGAGTCCGCTCCGGATCCGTCCCGGGTTTCTTCCGCGTCGCCGGGGTCTCCGCCCCTCGAAGCTGCCGCCGGAGCGTCGCCGGGGGAGCCACGCGTGCCACCCGAACCCCTGAACCGATGGGCGCCCCGGCCCGCGTCGCCAACGGAGCTGCGGCGCTGCCCCAGCGCTGACCGACGTTAGAGTCGGGCTCCGACAGCGCGGCCGAGTCCCCGCGCGTCATCCTCCTTTGACTCTTGGGGGCTCCAAAGGGACCTCTCTCTTGGCACCGGGGGTGTCTGCGCCCGCCGCCCGCCCCGCTTGGCTTTGCGGCATCTCGGCCCTGGCTCCAGCTCCGGCTCCGGCGAGGTAGGGGGGCGGCCGGGCCTGGGGACTGGGGAGGGGGCTAGCGTGCTCCTCCACCGCAGAATGGGGCAGCAGAAGGCCACCGCCCCTCAGGGGGACCAAGCGGCTGCGCCCCCTTCTGCCCAGCCCCTCCCAGTCCGAAGACCCAGAAAACTGAGTCAGAGGCTGCGCTTCAGGTGTCCAGAAGCGCTCCCCCGCCCCCCTCTGTTGCCATGTCGCTCCCACCTGTCCCCAGGGTCCGGCGCCCAGGGGAACCCCCGCCAAGCAGATCGCTCCCTTTGCAATCTCCCTCTCCCCCAAGCCCAAGCCCCCAATCCGGGGTAGAGGCAGAGGGAAGACCCTCACTCGGGAAGACCCTGCAGGACAGCCCCCCCTTCTCCACTACTGTGGCCCTCTGGGGCCCTCCCCCCACCCCCTTTGGCTGGGCCATCTTCCTCGGCCCCTGCCTCTGCCCACCCCCTAGGCCTTCTCTCCCGCCCCCACTTCATCGCCTCTCCCCGTCTCTGTTTCCAAGGTTGTTCTCTTACGGCCTTTTTTCTGACTTTCTTTTCCCCTTGACCCCTTCCCCTCCACGGATCCCCGCCCCCCATACCCCGGGGCGAAGGGGGTGTGTCACGCTGCTTTCTATTTACAGTGTCCCAGGGGAGGGGGTGCGTGCTAGGATTTTTTTTTTTTCATCTGCTGGGCCCAGAGTCACGAGGTGTCATGTCTGTGATTCGGTGTCGAAGCCTCCTCCGGCTTCCCTGCCTGTCCCCTGCGGCCGCATCTCCTGTCCGCTTTTGTCTGCTCTCTGCCTCCATTCCCGTCCTTTTCGCTCTCATCTTTGGGCGCTTTGTGCAGCTGCCTTCTTTGTCTCCGCCTCTCCGGCGACTGGGCTCTCCCTTCCCTCCCTCTCCTCCCTCCCCCAGTGTCAAGAAGCCATCGGCCTCAAGGGCATCGATATTTCAGGTGTGTGGGGTGTGGTGGGAGTGGGGTGCGGGTGGGTGGGCTGCCGGCATTCCCAGCTCTGACTCCGATCATGCCCAGCTATGACTCTGATCACCCCCTCCCCAAAGAGATCATTCATATTTATGAGATTTAAAGAATGTCCCCAAGGATGTGGGGATAGACATGAAGAGAGAAATGTTATTCCTCTTTTTTTTTTTTTTTTTTTTTGACAGCGTTTCACTCTTGTTGCCCAGGCTGGAGTGCAATAGCGTGATCTCGGCTCACCACAATCTCGGCCTCCCGGGTTGAAGCGATTCTCCTGCCTCAGCCTCCTGAGTAGCTGGGATTACAGGAATGCGCCAGCACGCCCGGCTACTTTTGTATTTTTTTTTTTTTTTTTTTTTTTTAGTAGAGAGAGGGTTTCTCCATGTTGGTCAGGCTGGTCTCCAACTCCTGACCTCAGATGATCCGCCTCCCTTGGCTTCCCAAAGTGGTGGGATTATAGGCATGAGCCACCACGCCCGGCCAAGAAATGCTGTCCCTCTTTTAGGAGGGCGCTTGGTCCAGGAGATACCTGGACTACATTTCTGACAGTGCCCTGGACTCACCAGCTGCCTCCGCCTCTGCCTAGACATCTGATGAGAGTTAAGAGTTCCACGGAGCCAGGCTGGAGGGTGCTGGACTGGAGGGTAGGAAGTGGTCACCATGTGAAGCAAGGGTTACAGGCTAGCCCACAGCTTTGGCTTGGCCTGGAGTCGCTGACCTGTTTTATTACTCGCCTCCTCCAAGGTTTAAGGACCTGGGAACCTTTGTTCATGTCCCCCAAAATGGAACAGGGGTAGAGGTGGTGCCTGGGTTGAAAGATGGGGGATGCATTGGAAAGTTCTTCCCTCCCCATGACTCTGGGAACTCCCCACGTCCACCCCTACCCTTACCTCCCACGACAAACAACCTTATCTGAGACGTATAAATGCCATTTGGAAAGGGTCTCCCCACTGTAAGCAAGGGAAGGAGACTGGAGCCAAATGTCTTGAATGAGTCAGGTGGGTTCCAGTCTACCGGTTGCTCACAACTTATCACCTTTGGGGGTAGTGAGGGTATTGCTGGAAGCACCACTGAACCACTAGCTTGCATTTTCCTGGGACCCATGAACAGCTGGTTCATGTTGCCTGGAGCTGCAGATGGAGTCAGGAGCTAACTTGCTGTTCTCTGGGACCCATTGTCCTCAGAGCGTGGTGCAAGAGGTCTGGGGCTTGGGCTGGTTCCAGGCATGGAGGCTTGTGTGTTGGCATAGGGATTGCTGACAGTGTGGGCCAGACAGTGAGGGAGTTCCTAGCAACCGCATCTCTGGTTCTTCATCAGCTTATCCCACCTGGGCCCTTCAACTCCTGTTCAAGGACCCAGTAGTTCCCCTCCTTGCTCTTCAGGCTGGGGTCAGAGATCCAGATACACTAAAAACAGATCTTGGCTGGGCATGGTGGCTCACACCTAATATCCCAGCACTTTGGGAAGTGGAGGTGGGAGGATCACTTGAGCCCAGGAGTTCAAGACCAGCCTGGGCAAAATAGTGGGACCCCCATCTCTACAAAAAATTAAACATTTTAGAAAGTAGCCAGGTGTGGTGGCACATGCCTGTAGTCCTAGCTACTCGGGAGGCTAAGGTGGGAGGATCGCTTGAGCCCAGGAGGTTGAGGCTGCAGTGAGCTACGATGATGCCATTGCACTCCGGCCTGGGTGACAGAGCGAGACCCCGACTCAAAAGAACAAAATAAAATAAACAAATAAGCAACAACAATAATAATAAGAGGTCTCCCCCCTGGCCTGGAAGCCAAGGAAACTTAACTTTTAGCCTGGCTCTGCCCAGACTGAGTCACCTCGGGCAAGGCTCTTAATCTCCTTGATTATGAAATGAATGGGTTGAACCTGATGGTCTCTAATGGCCCCAGCAGAGGATCTAAATCCTCTGAGCCTGGCTTCCTCCTCTCTGATAATTCTGGCTCCATATCCAGGTAATCTCCAGGTGTTGGAATCAGATGAGAAAGAATCAGAAAACAAAGAGGGAGATAGAACTCTTGTCTTGAAGCTTGGTTTGTATAGCAAGCATACCGCGTTTAGGCAAGCTCTGTTTATGGCTTGGAAGTGCAAACCACTCCTTGGTCCCACTGCTGGTCAACCTTCCCCAAACCTAGGTAAGACTTTTGTTAAAAAAAAAAATAAAAATTCCAGTTAAGTCAATAAGTCAATATCACCCCCACAGAATAGCTGGTCTGTGTGCCCTTGGGATGTTGGTTAATGAGGCTTAACGTAGGTTATCTGAGGTGAGCATTATCATTGGCTGAAAGAGAGAGGGGGGATTTGATTGGTTGATTTGGCTGATCTGGAAGAGACAGGCCCAGAAATAGAAGTTGCTGGGACTTGGATAGGGGGCTTTCTCTTTCATTTTGGTGGAGCTCCGACAGAACACTTTTCAAACAATTCCTAGTCCTGGAGTGGACAGAGCCCAAGTCTCCCTATGGGGAAGAGGGGCAGAAGGAAGGAAAGGGGCGGGGGCGGGGGGCATTGATTGGCTTAGAAAGAATGGTTTGACATTTTCTTCTTCTTTTTTTTTTTTTTTCTTGAGACAGAGTCTCACTCTGTTGCCCAGGCTGGAGTGCAGTGGCTCAACCTCGGCTCAGGCTCACTACAACCTCTACCTCCCGGGTTCAAGTGACTTTTGTGCCTCAGCCTCCCTAGTAGCTGGGATTACAGGTGTCCACCACCATGCTTGGCTAATTTTTGTATTTTTGGTAGAGATGGGGTTTCATCACGCTGGCCAGGCTGGTCTCGAACTCCTGACCTCAGGTGATCTACCCGCCTCGGCTGAGCCGCCATGCTAGGCTGGCTTGACATTTTCTAGTGGAGCTATCTATCTTGTTTATATTTGAATGTGTATGTCAAGAGGTGGAGGTGGGGGGACAGGGAACTGGGGCAGCAATATGGAGGATATTTGGGGTCTACACCCTCCCCCTTGGCCCTGGCTGGGATTGTAGCTGGTAGTGGCAGGAAATGGGGTGAGGGTGAGCCCTCCACTGTTCTCTGGGAACTTTCTTGTGGACAGAGGGGTGACAGTGGGAGTTTCTTTCTCATGTTGTCCTTGCAGAGGTCTTAGAGAGGTGATGGGATCCTTGAAGGAGTGTGCCTCTTTTTTTTTTTTTTTGACACAGGTTCTCTCTCTGTCACACAGGCTGGAGTGCGGTGGTGTGATCCCGGCTCACTGCAACCTTTGTCTCCTTGGCTCAAACGATCCTCCCACTTCAGCCTCAGAGCAGCTGGGACTACAGGCCCACTGCACCACCATGCCTGGCTAATTTTTTTTATAGACAGAGTCTCACTATATTGCCCAGGCTGTTCTTAAACTCCATGACTCAACCAGTCCACCTGCCTTGGCCTCCCAAAGTGCTGGGAGTACAGGCATGAGTTTCCGTGTCCAGCCTTCTTCTTCTTTTTTTTTTTTAAAACTACCCCCAAGTGCCTTTTTTCTTTTGCCTGGGTCCCTGGATCTGGGGCTGGTCTATGGGGATCTCACAGGGTTCTAAGTTTCTGACTGTTAGGGAGCATCCCATAAGAGTGGGGTGGGTAGAGCTGAGATTTCTGAAAGCTGGTGGGAAGAGGGAGGGAGCTGGGAGACCTCCACTCCCAGGGTCTGTGTGGACAGCAGAAAAGAAAGGGTGTGGGCCAGGTAGAGTGGCTCACACCTGTAATCCCAGCACTTTGGGAGTCCAAGGTAGGAGGATCTCGAACCCAGGAGTTCGAGACCAGCCTGGGCAAAGTAGTGAGATCCCTATCTGTATTAAAAAAAAAATAAGAAGAAGAAATGAAGAAAGGGGCCAATGTGGTGGCTCACACCTGTAATCCCAGCACTTTGGGAAGCTGAGGTAGGAGGATCGCCTGAAGTCAGGAATTCAAGATCAGCCTGGACAACATGGTGAAGCTCCGTCTCTACTAAAAATACAAAAATTAGCCAGGCATGGTGGCACGTACCTGTAGTCCCAGCAACTCAGGAGGTGAAGGCAGGAGAATAGTTTGAAGCGGGGAGGCAGAGGTTGCAGCGAGCCGAGATCGCGCCACTGCACTCCAGCCTGGGCGGCAGAACGAGACTCCGTCTCAAAAAATAAATAAATAAATAAGTAAATAAGTAAATAAATAAAAGAAAAGAAAAAGAAAGGCTATTTGTGTAGGAAGGGGCATTAGGACCGTTTGTGTGCAGGGGCCCAGATGTGGAAACAAAGGGGCTGATCCAGGTGCTGAATTCTCTTTTTTTCTGCAGGGTCATGAAGCTGGAAGCCAGCTGTGGCACAGCCACCTCAGAGGTCCCTAAGCCGGAAAAGAAGACTGCCCGAGATGCAGAGCCAAGCTCTGAAACCCGGCCACAGGAGGTGGAGGCCGAGCCCAGGTCGGGATCGGGGCCTGAGGCTGAGGCCGAGCCATTGGACTTCGTGGTGGCCACGGAACGGGAGTTTGAGGAAGTGCTGGCCATCTCGGGGGGCATCTACGGCGGCCTGGACTACCTTCCTAGCCGCTACCACAGCTGGCTCCGGGACCCCGACCGCACGGTGGTGCTGGCCAAGCGCAACGGAGGCGTGGTGAGCCCGGGGGCACGGCCCAGGTGACATGGGGTGAAGCCACCTGCGGGTGCGTGGATCTTAGGAAGAGGAGGATGAGAGCTTCTCCCCAGCCTTCCTCTGGAGGCTGCGGAAATAGAGCCTGCTTTGGGACCAAAGTGCAGGGCGTGCAGTGCGGATCCAGGGGCTATGTCAGTGAGGGTGGGGTGGAGGACTCCTAAAGCAGAGGAACCAGAGGGACAGGTGAGCGTTTGAAAGTTCGAGGATCCACCGGAGGAATTTCTGGGGGTAAAAGCAAAGGAGGTGGGGAGCAGGAGAGAGAGGGTAGGCTAGGGGTGGGAGCAGGAAGAGCTTAGATTTGGGCTGGGGGAGGAGCTAAGAGGAAGTGGGGCGTGGCAAACTCCCGGGGGAGGAGCCAAGGAAGGGGCGTGGTGAGCGGTCCGGAACTTGACACACTCGGAGCTGGAGCATCTCAAGAGGTGGAAGGGGCCGGGCGCGTCGGCTAACTCCTGTAACCCCAGCTCTTTGGGAGGCCGAGGCAGGAGGATCACTTGAGGCTAGGAGTTCCAGACCAGCCTGGGCAACATGCGAGACCCCTGTCTCCAAAAAATAAAAATAAATAAAAAGCCGAGAGTAGGGGTGCGTGCCTGTTGTCCCAGCTACTAGGAAGTCTTGGGGGTGTAGGGGATCGCTTGAGCCCAGGAGTTTGAGGCTGCAGTGAGCTGTGATAGCACCACTGCGCTCCAGCCTGGGTGAGGAGACCCTGTCCTAAATTTAAAATAAATAAAAATAAAAAGGTGGACGAAGCCCCGGCGAATGACTGTTCTGCCGGCTCTGTAATCTGAGGCCCAAGTGCCGTGCTACCCCAGGCCTGGCCTGGTGCCCGGGTGGTGACGCGGAGTGCTCAGCGTGTGGGAAGAGGAGAGCCCAGTGAACCGACAGCCCTGGCAGGGGCGCAGGCGGGGAGGGCCCCGCGCTAACGGCCTCGGTCCGCAGATCGCGCTGGAGTCGGTGAACGTGATCGACGCCGGGGAGACGGTGCTGGTGGAGGGGCTGCGCGTGGCGCCCTGGGAGCGCGGGAAGGGCGTGGCCGGGCTGCTGCAGCGCTTCTGCTCGCAGCTGGTCAAGAGACAGCACCCGGGGGTCAAGGTGGCACGGCTCACCCGGGACGACCAGCTGGGCCCCCGGGAGCTGAAGAAATACCGCCTAATCACCAAGCAGGTGAGAAGGACAGGGAGCTCGGATGGCTGGGCCTCTCTGCTGGGGCATATGGGGAGACCCTCCCCACCCCCAGCAGAACACGGGCTTGCTCTCTCTCTGGGCTTTACCGAGTGGCGCGGCCCATGAGCCTTGCCCTGGGACTCCCAGTCCTTACCAGACCCTTTGACCCAGGGGAAGTCAAACTCCCGACTCCCAGCCTGAAACCCTAGTCCTTACTTCCCAACTTCGGGGACCCTGCCTCCCCTAGGATCCTGCCTCTGTTCAGGGCCCCAAGCCATCTCCTCTGAGCCTTTGTCCTCCCTCTGCTCCTCCCAATCCTACTGACTGATCGGCCTCCCTGGCTTTCACGTCCCTGGAGACCCGGGGACCCGTACCCTCAGTTCCCTGGCTACTCCATACTGATCCCACCTCTTCTTGGGGATCCACGTACTGGGAGCCCGTGCCCCTGGTCCCTGTCTGGTACCCTTGAAACCCAGGCTTTCCCATACCCCACTCGGCCCGGAGCCCTCACGGTCGCTCCTCCAGAGGGACCCAGGTGGGAGCCCGTGGGCGTGAACGTGGGAGTGAAGATGCCTGCCGAGAGGCGCCGGGCTCGCCAGCCCTGCTGCGCCCCCCCTCCCCGCGCTCACTCGTGCCCCCCGCAGGGCATCCTTTTGGTCCGATTCAACGCGTCCGCGCTGCTGGCCGGGCTGGGCGCGCGGCTGGCGGCGCTGCGGACCTCTGGCACCTTCTCGCCGCTGCCCACCGAGGCCGTGTCCGAGGCAGGCGGCGACGTGGCACGCCTCCTGCTGTCACCCTCCGTGCAGCGCGACGTGCTTCCAGGCGGGACCATCATCCAGGACTGGCAGCCCTACCGGCCTAGCGAAAGCAACCTGCGCCTGCTGGCGGCCAAGGGCCTGGAGTGGCGCGTGGACAGCCGCGCGCGCCCGCGCGTGCTCACGCTGTGCACGCGCCCCTTCCCCATCCCGCACGGAGGGGACGGCACTTGGCGCTATCTCAACATCGACGCCTTCGGTAGCGACGGCGCGCAGGTGCAGAGCCAGCTGCTGTGGCACCTGCAGCGCCAGGCCCCGCGCCTCGTTGGCCTCAACGTCATGTGCCAGCTCTTCCTGGAGCCCCAGCTGTGGTCACAGCTGGCTGACTTCTGCCAGGTCGGGCTGGGACTGGAGCTGGTGAAGGGTTATACTGAACAGTACCTGCTGGAGGCCGACATCTGAGGCCTCTCCTCTGGCGGGGAGGGGGAAAAAGACCCGCCCCCTTCCGCAGTTTCCCCAGCCAGCCTCTTTCCTGCCATTTCCGACGCTGCGTCTCCTGGGAAGTCCCCTCTGACTCCTGCCCTCCTGCCCTTACCGGCGCAGGTCCCCCCACTCTGTCCCTTTTGCCCTTACTATCTTGCCTCTAGCTCCCCCAAACACCATTGCCCACTCCCTGACCTGAACTTGCGGACTATTAGGTGGGGGCTGGGGGTGGGGGCCTTGAGCTGCTGTTATCCACCCTCTGTTTTTCCAAAGAACTGGTCCCCGCACAGGCTTCAGAGTCCTTCCTTCCCTCTCCATCACCTCACCCGGGGCGTGAACTCCCCCTTTCCTGGCTTCTCCCTTCTGCCCCCTCGTGGGTGGAAGAACTCAGGAGTGTGTGGGATGCCCAGCCTCGTTCCCGAGCGCAGCCGCCCAATCCGCGTTTCTTTTCTTCCTTCTGCCCTTTCTAAAGCCCTAAAAACTGGTCCTGCATTGCCCTCCACACCCCAATCCCCTCCCCCTGCTCAAGCTTCTGGTGCCAGAGATCAGTGCCCTCTCCCCACTTCTCTCTAGCCCCTCATCCTCATCCTCGCTGGATCTCTACGACGCTTAACACCGCAGTGCCCATTTTTCTGTCCCTGTTTTCCTTCCCATCACCAGCCCAGTGTGCAATCCAGAGAGAGAGAGAGTGATACTGTAAAATGAAATGTATTTAGAATGCTCCCCCATTTGGGTCCTTGTTCATCTGGTGATGCACTTTCTGAGCCTGCCTCTCTCACTGGGGTTTCCTCCTGCTTTGCACAACTTTGCTATTTCGCAGGCTCCCCCGTGCCCCAGCTCACCCGAGCCGGGCGGGGTGGTGGTGGTGGTGGTGGTGTGTGTGTGGTGTGGTTCTAGCTGAAGAGTTTGGTACAGTGGAGGGCGGGTCCCTCAGCCTGGCATAGGGGCTGTCTCCTGGTTCCAACCAGGCCGCCTTCTAGTGCAACTGGAATTCCCACCTCCTGGTATTTCTGGACACCACTCCCTTTCTCTGGATCATTTATGCTTTTAGAACTTTGAGAGTCTTCTATTTAATTGCAAGTAGTAACAGCTGCATCTGCACAGCGCTGTCTCCAATACTGGTTCCCCACATCAAAGGCAGAGGGAGAAAACAGAAGGCTGGGAAAGATCAAAGTGACTTCTAAGTCATTCAAAGTAGCTAGGAGCCTCCCAGCGAATAGAACCCGGGTGTCCCAAGCCTAGAGCATGACCTAGAACTTCACTCTGTGGGATGATGTTAGCTTGAACTTCTTGTTGGGCAATGCGTAGGTGCTAGGAGAATGTTGACAGTGAGTTTGGGGTTCGCTGGGATGGGATCCGAGATGTGGGCAGAGGTGGACACCAGCAGGTGGAAGAATGTGGACAAGGTGGGGGGTAGGGGCAGCCGCCGCTTCGCCACTTTCCGCAGCTCTGGTTTTGCTACTGTGCTGCTCTCCTTGGGTGCATCCTGTGCCTGGCCACGCTGCCACCCTCCTTGTCACGGTGACCACGATTGTATGACAATAAAATGGACCTTTTGGCCACCCTCTGTGTCTGTTTCACTTCCCAATGGGGAGAAATGAGACACATTATCTTCCCCTTTCCCCAGCAGCCTGTATCAGAGAGGATCTCTAAGCCCTGTGGCAATGGGGCTAATGACTTCCCGGGGAGAGGGGGGAGGTGGAGAGGGGTTCTGAGGAGGGCTGCTGGCTGTGCGCCCCTACCCCACCCCTGCCAAGCGGAGGAAAGAAGCCGCTGCTCAGGACCGAGGTGGGCAGCAGCACGGCCTCCTGACTCGCCCTGGGCCTCGCTTTTCCCTGGACCTGGGAGTCGGCTGCTACCCAAATTCTGTGAGTTCTTCTCCCAAGTCCCACTTGGCATCCAAGACCAGCTTCCATCAGCCAGGATCCAGGCATCTAACCCCCAGTTCCAGACTTGCCCGTGGCCAGCCGGTATCGCTTTCCCCTTTTCTAGGTGGGCAACCCGTGGTGGGTGGAGGAGGTGGAGAGAGCCTGGGCACCGCCCCCGCGAAGCCTGCTCTGGATTGGCGGAGACTGCGATCCCCCAAAGTAACACACGGGGGCGCCAGGACGTGCGCGGACGCGGGCAAGGCAGCACAAGGTGGTTTTCGTCCGTGTGAGTGTGTCCGTGGGCGTCTTTGTGTGTCTGCGTTTCTGTACATGTGTGTACGAGTCAGGGGGTGTCTGGGTGGGATGGATTCGGGACAACGTGCCTGGTGTACCCCAGAATCAGGTACCTCAAGTGGTTTTTTTTCTGTTGCTTTTTGATGAGGACGATGCTTGATATGTTACTATGTGCGTGTGGACGGGGAGGCAGGCGACTTGTGTGTATTGTCGAGTGTGCACAGCGCAGCCTGTGAGTCCCTGCAACCGCGTCTTGGGTCTCTGAAGTCGCATTCCTTGAGGGTTTTGGCGCCCCTCCCTCCACCTGGTAAAAGGAATGAGTGAGAACACTTAGAGCACACCTCCATTGCCCTGCACACATCTCCAGCCTAGGTCTGGGTAACTGCTAGGCTAGGTGTGACATTGTGTTTGTGTAAGTGGGTGTGTCTCCGAATCTCAGTGTGATTCTGTAGGACAGTGTGTTATGTGTGTGACAGGTGGAAGTTGAAGGAGGCTGGTTCAGGATGACAGAAGTGGTTTTCTTTCTCTTGGTGGATACCACCTTGATGGTGTGTGTGTGTCTGTGTGTGTATTTGAGTGTGTGTGTGTGTGTGTGTGTTAGTCTCTCCAGTGGCTCTCTCTTCGTGTCTCTCCCCATCTCTGTCTCTTTCTCTCTCTCTTTCTTGGTGACTCATCTCTGCGGCGTTGCCCTCCCCCGCTTGCTGGGTCTCCCCTCCCCCACTCAGGAGTGGGTGGGGGTCTGAGGGCGAATGGGACCTCAGGACTAAAAATCAGGGTGGGCACCCCCTTCCCATCACTCATCATTCCAGACCCTCCCGTAGCCCCCAGCCCACCCCTCAGTCCCTTCCCCAGGATTCCCCAGCTCTGGGATGGGGAGAGGATAGGGCAAGAGTGTGTTCTAAATGGGGCAATTTTCAGGGGGCCTTCAGCATCTTCTGTAAGTTCAAAGTGGAGACCCCTTCCCCTCTCATAAAGTGCCCCCTCCCTGCCTGCCCCTCCACCATGGCTGACGCAGTTAAAGGCTGCAGAGGTGAGTCACCGGTTGGGGGGAGGGGGAGGAGAAGAGGGGACCGGTGAGCTTCGGGGTCCACAAGCCCCTGCTCTCTCTTTCTCTCCCAGACCTTCTCAGGGAAAAGACCCAGTGCTCTTCCCCACTCTCCTGGTTTTCCACATCTTCAGCTTGGAACCCTACGATGCTGGACCCCATCTTCTCCAGCTACCCTCTTGGAGGGAGATTTAGAAACAAATACAAAGAGAGATGATGGATTCACACAAACAAGTCAGAACCAATACCAGGCATCCCCAACTAGGTCCCCATATGGGCTCTGCCTTTTCCAGCACTCTGTCTCTCCCAGTCTCTTCACTTCTCTTTCTTTTTCTACTGTCTCCCTCCTTTCCCTATCCCAAGAACCTGTGCCCAGTCCAGAAGCCCCTAGAGGCAGCAGGGTATGAAGGGCACAGCTCACCCCCAGTAGAGGCGAGTAGTGTGTGAATGAGCTGACCCAGGTAGGGAACTGGGATGGAGAGAGGCAGAAACAGAATGAGTCCAGAGACCATGCAGACAGAGTCAAGACCCAGATTGTGGAATCTCCAAGCCTTTTGTGCCCCAGGCATTCATATCCACCCCGCTCCCTCACGACAGGACGACTGGAGCCTTGGGGATGCTGATTTCTGAGAAACTCTCCTGGGCTTGTGAGCTTAAGTGGAGGAAGGGAGGGATGTGGAGTGGGGGCATGTGTGTGCTTACACACACATTGTTGTGTACCACCAAGCCAGGCACACTTTTTGGACACCAGCGGATGCCCAGAACTGGGTGTGCTCAAAGACTCCAAACTGCATGGGCATACAGGCATGCAGAAGAGATAAAAAAAAAAAACAAAAAAAAACAACCCAGCACACACACACGCGCGCGTGCACACACACCCACACCTGGAAGCAAACACAAACACAGCCACACAGACTGGAATAGAACATCACATAGTTAAATTGGAAACACTACCATGCCCATCCACTCTTGATCTGATTAAATACACAATTGCTTCCCCCCATTCCCTTTCTTTTTCTCCCCGCCCCGGCCATGTATCTCATTCATCTCCATACACACATAAACACACATGCACAAGCCATGTACATGTACACGCAGGTGTGTGTGCATACACAAGCCAACAGGCAAATACAGTTTCTCCAGGTGCCCGTCTTCTCTCATCTTGCAACTTGGTCTCTGATCCCCATCAGCCACTCAGTCAGCCCCCTTGGCTCCCTCCCTCCCCTCTCCCTTCTCTCTTGGATGGCTTCCCCTCCCCCTCTCCAGATGTCTGAGCCATCTCTCTCTGATTCATCCTCCTCAGGAAGGTAACGTGACCCCCTCCCCATCCCACTGCTCTCTGTATCCAGGCTGGGAAGATGAAGGGGACATGGGGGCGGGGAGAGGAAGGAGGGGAGGCCGTGGTTAGTTGTGCGTGGGGATGGGAGGCATCGCCTCGGGGTCTCCTACCCCCTCTTTTCCCTCCTTTCTTTGGAATCTCCACTGTCACCTTGGTTCTCAGTTTTTTTTTCTCCTTTAGCCTGCTCCTTCTACCTGTTCCAGATCCCTTCATTCCTTCCTCCTCCCCTGCCCCCATCTCTTCTCTCTTTTCTCCCTCTCCACTCCTCCCCATTTCTTTCCCCGCAGAGCTGATGGGCTTTCTTCTGGGAAAGTCGAGCCACTGATGGAAGCGAGAAGCCACTGCTGGTTATAGAGAGAAAGCACGTGAGTGTGTGTGTAGGGAGGGGGAGGTTAGAAGGAGGGTCAGTGCCAGGAAGAGGTGAGGAGGGGGGCGAGGACCGTTTCTGAAAGAGTCTCTAAGACCCTGACAGACAGCCCTGACCTTGGTTTCCAGAGTCTCAGGGTGCGGGTGCCCTGCGTGTGCCCACGAGCACCCCTATGTCCGCAGTTCGTGTGTGTCTGGCGTGTGTCATTGTCATTCCCCCCTTCCCTGCCCACGCCCCCGCACCGCTCTCTGCCAGCACCGCAGCCCCCTCCAGGCTTCCTCCCTCCCTCCCCTTCATTCCTGCAGTGGCTGCCCCCCTTGCCACCCTCTCCTCTCCCCTGCCCCCTCCCCATTTCCGTCCTCCCCCCCACCCCCGCCCACGGCTGGTCTCCCTTCACCGGACCCAGCTCTCTGATGGATTCTCTTTGCGCAAATCTGTGCGTCATCGCCCCCCACCCCCGGAACCTCTAGCTGTCCAAGCCCCCAGCCCCAACCTCTCTGGCAGGAGATACGGTCGAAGGGGCTGGTGGCAGAGAGGGGCTATCTCTGACGTTGCAGGTCCCCCTCCCATCGCGTTCAAACCTTCCCTTTAAGCGGTGGAGAGAGCTGGAGTTGAGTCACCCCCCCCCCACCTGCGCAACCCCCTCCCCACCTGCTCTGGTCTCGCCCTCCAAACGTCCTTGGGGGAGGGGAGCGGCAGGAGGGAAAGCGACTGGGGGAGTGTGGGAAGAGATGGGCCGAAGGGGGCACAGCGGGGGGCCTTGACACAAGCGGCAGTCAGGGGACAGAAGGACAGACACACCTTTTTCTCCAGACACAGCACGGATCGTGAAACAGACACGACCCAGAGGCACACACATCCTCATTCTTTCCCTTTTCTCTTCCGACTCGGACCCTTCCCGATGGGATTACCAAAACCGCAAGATCCACCCATCTGCCCCTGTCAGGGGGCTGCCACCCGCACTGCCGATTCGCGGACAGCGCCCGCAGGCGTGCAGATCTGTCCCTCTGCACTCAGGTTCACGCCGTCCTTGGGCGCGTGGTCTCGGGGTGGGGAACCCGGCCCCCTGGTCGGCTCTTGAATCTTTATCCTTCCCCTCCCCAGTATTGAGCTCCCACTGGTGCCCAGTCAGACGCTGGGACTACCCTTTTTCTATTCCACTCAGCAACGCGGGCTCCATCCAGCAGCTCCAAGTTGCTCTGCAACCCACCCTCCCGCCTTCCAGCGCCTCTGCATCCACCCTTCCATTCATTCTCCCATTCATTCATTCATCCTTTTCTCCTCGTCCCTCCTTCATTCATTCATAGCCCCCCGCCCTGCCCGCTTCAGCATTTCATTCATTCATTCATTCATTCATTTCCCGGAGCTCCGCTAGCGCACACCCCTTCAGCCGAAGGCCCCAGCGCGCAGGCGCAGGCCGGGAGAGGCAGGCACCCTCCAATCGTCGGGCGTCCTTCCTCCTCCGGGCGGCCGCCCGCTTCCCCATGAATGAACATTGACGTCAATGGGGCGGGGCGCGCCCACGTGACCCCGCGCGCTCCCCTTTATAAGGCGGTGGAGGCGCGGGCGCTGTCCAGCGTGCTGAAGCCGGAGCGAGCTAGCCGCCCGGAGCCGCGCCGACCCAGCTGAGCCCAGCCCACGGGACGCCAGACCTCGACCGTCGCTCCTACCCCGGCCACCGCTCGGAGCCGAGGCGGACGCGTCCCGATCTTCCCCTGTCCCCACCCTGCCCCGACCCTCCTCTCCACCTCTCGCGTCGTGACACCAGCTGGTAAATACTCCGCTGTTCGTCCCTCAAACCCTCGGCAGCCAGCCGTGGGCGTGAGGGAGGGTTCTCTCTCCTCTCGATGGGGGTGTTGCAAACACAGCGGGGAGCCCCCTGGTAAGGGTCCCCGGTAAACGGGGGAGTCGCAGCTTTTTCTCTTGCTGCTGAAGTCGCCCACGCACCATCCGGGGAGTCCTACGGGGAGGGAGCAGAGATTTTTTTTTCCCCCATATTGCTGCTGCTTAGTACGTGGGCGATGGCAGTGAGATGGCTCAGGGAAGGGGCCGAGGAGGCCCTGGGTAAGCGAGGGCTTCGGGGGTTATTTTCCCATTTACACGGCTCCAGAGATCGGCACAACATCTTCCTCCTTTGCTCCTAAACGTTCCTCTTCTGGGTAAGGTTTGGGGGATCAGGGAAGCCCCGGGTTTCCTGCTGAAAGGTGGGGGAAGGGAACGTAGACCTAGAGAGGGGAATTCTTACAGAAATCCTCTTTTTTTGGTCCCTTCTATTTTTCAGTCTCCGGCAGCCTCTTGGTCATGAAAGCCCTCAGATTGTCGGCTTCCGCCCTCTTCTGCCTTCTGCTGATCAACGGGTTAGGGGCAGCACCCCCTGGTCGCCCTGAGGCGCAGCCTCCTCCTCTCAGCTCTGAGCATAAAGAGCCGGTAGCCGGGGACGCAGTGCCCGGGCCAAAGGATGGCAGCGCCCCAGAGGTCCGAGGCGCTCGGAATTCCGAGCCGCAGGACGAGGGAGAGCTTTTCCAGGGCGTGGATCCCCGGGCGCTGGCCGCGGTGCTGCTGCAGGCACTCGACCGTCCCGCCTCACCCCCGGCACCAAGCGGCTCCCAGCAGGGGCCGGAGGAAGAAGCAGCTGAAGCTCTGCTGACCGAGACCGTGCGCAGCCAGACCCACAGCCTCCCGGCGCCGGAGAGCCCGGAGCCCGCGGCTCCGCCTCGCCCTCAGACTCCGGAGAATGGGCCCGAGGCGAGCGATCCCTCCGAGGAGCTCGAGGCGCTAGCGTCCCTGCTCCAGGAACTGCGAGATTTCAGTCCAAGTAGCGCCAAGCGCCAGCAGGAGACGGCGGCAGCAGAGACGGAAACCCGCACGCACACGCTGACCCGAGTGAATCTGGAGAGCCCGGGGCCAGAGCGCGTATGGCGCGCTTCCTGGGGAGAGTTCCAGGCGCGTGTCCCGGAGCGCGCGCCCCTGCCGCCCCCGGCCCCCTCTCAATTCCAGGCGCGTATGCCCGACAGCGGGCCCCTTCCCGAAACCCACAAGTTCGGGGAAGGAGTGTCCTCCCCCAAAACACACCTAGGCGAGGCATTGGCACCCCTGTCCAAGGCGTACCAAGGCGTGGCCGCCCCGTTCCCCAAGGCGCGCCGGCCGGAGAGCGCACTCCTGGGCGGCTCCGAGGCGGGCGAGCGCCTTCTCCAGCAAGGGCTGGCGCAGGTGGAGGCCGGGCGGCGGCAGGCGGAGGCCACGCGGCAGGCCGCGGCGCAGGAAGAGCGGCTGGCCGACCTCGCCTCGGACCTGCTGCTCCAGTATTTGCTGCAGGGCGGGGCCCGGCAGCGCGGCCTCGGGGGTCGGGGGCTGCAGGAGGCGGCGGAGGAGCGAGAGAGTGCAAGGGAGGAGGAGGAGGCGGAGCAGGAGAGACGCGGCGGGGAGGAGAGGGTGGGGGAAGAGGATGAGGAGGCGGCCGAGGCGGAGGCAGAGGCGGAGGAGGCGGAGAGGGCGCGGCAGAACGCGCTCCTGTTCGCGGAGGAGGAGGACGGGGAAGCCGGCGCCGAGGACAAGCGCTCCCAGGAGGAGACGCCGGGCCACCGGCGGAAGGAGGCCGAGGGGACAGAGGAGGGCGGGGAGGAGGAGGACGACGAGGAGATGGATCCGCAGACGATCGACAGCCTCATTGAGCTGTCCACCAAACTCCACCTGCCAGCGGACGACGTGGTCAGCATCATCGAGGAGGTGGAGGAGAAGCGGAAGCGGAAGAAGAACGCCCCTCCCGAGCCCGTGCCGCCCCCCCGTGCCGCCCCCGCCCCCACCCACGTCCGCTCCCCGCAGCCCCCGCCCCCCGCCCCCGCTCCCGCACGAGACGAGCTGCCGGACTGGAACGAGGTGCTCCCGCCCTGGGATCGGGAGGAGGACGAGGTGTACCCGCCAGGGCCGTACCACCCTTTCCCCAACTACATCCGGCCGCGGACACTGCAGCCGCCCTCGGCCTTGCGCCGCCGCCACTACCACCACGCCTTGCCGCCTTCGCGCCACTATCCCGGCCGGGAGGCCCAGGCGCGGCGCGCGCAGGAGGAGGCGGAGGCGGAGGAGCGCCGGCTGCAGGAGCAGGAGGAGCTGGAGAATTACATCGAGCACGTGCTGCTCCGGCGCCCGTGACTGCCCTTCCCGGTCCCGCCCCCGCGCGCCCCCGCCGCGCGCGCGCGCCGGCGCCCCCCTCCGTGTTGCCCGCTCCCCCTCGGTGTTTGCATGCGCCCCGGCCCTGCCCCTTGGCCCTGCCCCTGTCCCCGGGCTGCGTCGGGACCTGCCAGACCCCCCTCCCGGGTCCTGAGCCCGAACTCCCAGAGCTCACCCGCGGGTGACCGGGGGCCAGCCCAGGAGGGCGGGTGGTTTGTGCGAGTTCCCTTGCCACGCGGGGCCCCGGCCCCATCAAGTCCCTCTGGGGACGTCCCCGTCGGAAACCGGAAAAAGCAGTTCCAGTTAATTGTGTGAAGTGTGTCTGTCTCCAGCCCTTCGGGCCTCCCACGAGCCCCTCCAGCCTCTCCAAGTCGCTGTGAATTGACCCCTTCTTTCCTTTCTCTGTTGTAAATACCCCTCACGGAGGAAATAGTTTTGCTAAGAAATAAAAGTGACTATTTTATTAGGACTTTGTTCTCGGTTATTCACCCGTCCCCTTGGGCCTGTGTGGTCCTTCCCAAGGGGCGGTGAGGGAAGCGCCAGCCACAGTCCCCGTCTCCTCCTGCTTCCTGCCCCCAAACTAAGGCAAGGGGTAAGTGGGGAAAGTCCTCAAACTGTTTTTAGAGGAGAAGAATGTGGCTCGCACCCATTAAGAAACCCGAAATTCCACTTCCAGCTTGGGGGCTGGTGGTAAAGTCATCTTTCCCCAGGGCTTGACAGAGAGAGGCCCAGCGGAATGCAATAAAAGAGCCAATTGTCTGCGATCAGTCCAGCGACCTCTGGTTCAAAAGAAAAAGGCGACCCGCAGAAGGTGCCACAACTCTGGGTGCCAGTGGGCTCCTTTTTCCCAAGATCCTGGGGCCGCGCGGGTAATGCCGGAGTTTCCTGTGTTCACCCACCCACCTCCCTCCACTGATCCCTACATTCCTGGTCCTAGGTACTTTGCAAGAAATGCGGGGAGGAGGGAGTGGCAGCCACAGAGACATGCTGGCTAAAGCCACTTCTTAACTTTTTTTTTTTTTTTTTTTTTGAGACAGGGTCTCACTATGTTGCCCAGGCTGGAGTGCAGTGGTGCAATCACAGCTCACTGCAACCTCGACTTCCTGGGCTCAAGTGATCCTCCTACCCCAACCTCCTGAGTAGCTGGGACTACAAGTGTGCACCATTATGCCCAGCTAATGTTTGCATTTTTTGTAGGGATGAGGTTTTGCCAGCTTGCTCAGCTGGTCTGGAACTCCTGGGCTCAAGCGACCTCCCCACCTTGGCCTCCCATCTTAAGCCTTTTCTAATCGCAGGTACTTGTGAACTGATTCAAATAAAACTAAACTGGGCAAACGAAATCACCCACAACAGACCCGCATCCTGAAGAGTTGCTCCTCCTTCCATAAAGGCAGCTCAGGGAGTTGGGGGCAGCCCGTTTGGAGACGCATTGGGCATAAAAATCCGTTTAAGGTAGGGTGGCCAGATAAAATACAGGAAATGAAATCTGAAATTCCAGATACACAACAGATGCAGTTTTAGAGTTAAATGTGTCCCAAACACTGCATGCAACACATTTATCCCTAAAATGATTTGTTGTGTATCTGGAATTCTCATTTAACTGCGTGCTCTCCGTTTCTTCCCAAGGCTGGCAGGATCCCCTTGGCCTCCCGATGATGCCAGCAGCCCTGCCTTCCTTCACAGAGCCCAAGGCCAGCAAAGTCCAGAAATGCTTTTACTTTTATTTCAGAAGAAAGGACATAAAGGCAGACACTTCCCCCTCCCCCTCCCCACCCCTCCCAGCTCCTGCCTCACCCAGAACTGGAGTGAAAGGCCAGGGCCAGGACCAGGGTCCCATAAAGCTTGCCCTTCCCCCAACCCTTCCTTCCCTCAAAGTGGCAAGGTTAGAAAAAAATTAACTATGTTGTTCCTCCCTGGCACTGGATAAAGGCCCCACTGCAGCCAAGGAGAAAGAGGGGGGTCCAGGCTCCCCTCCCAGGCAGAGAAGCTGCCTGGCTGGCTAGGGGGAGGGTGGAGGTAGGTTATGGGACAGAGAGGACAAGAAGTGCCCTGAACACCTTTTCCCTTTAACCTGACATATTTATATATTTACAGTTATTAGGGAGGGAAGGACATCTGGGGTGACATCAGTTCTGCAAAGGCAGGGAATAAAAGCCAAATAGCACCCCCATCTGGGTCACATTTTCCTGCCTCCTAGCTTCTAAAACCTTCAGTGGGAAAAGGGGAAAGTGGAGGTAGGGGGTGGAGGGAGGGAATGTTTGAAGGGCCTGAGCCCACAGCTCACTCCGAAAGGTGAGGCAGCAGAGGAGGGGCAGCCGAGTCCCACCAAGAACAGGGCCCTGGGCAGAGGAGAAGCAGCCGTTCCCGCCACGCTGCCAGGACCCCATCGCCACACCCCGGCCCAGCAGGGGCTATGCCAAACCCATCTCCTCCAGCACACTCCGTGGCGACTCATCCTCCTAAGGCAGAGACAGACAGAGGGTGACGCAGAGACACCAGGAGAGGCCGACAGGGTGGGCAAGACAGCAGTCACGAGGAAGAGTCAGACGGGGGAGGCACAGACACGGGGGAGGGGGAGAGAAGCCAATGTGAGCCCAAGGCCGGACCAGTGAGCCCTTCATGGGGCACCCACCAGCCTCCCAGGGCCAGCCCCAGAGCCAGCCAACAGTGGCAGGGGGGGTCCAGGTTGAGTCCGTCACCACCCAGAGAACCCAAAGCCAGGACCTTGGTAAGCAGGGGCCCCGCCTTGACACCTGGGGGTAAAGGGAGTGAAGCCGGGACAAGGAGGTGGGGGATCTTTCTGGGGCCCTGGGGGGTACAGCTGACTGGGTCCTGTTTTTCAGAGTGGGGAAAAGGCAGAGGGAGGTGAGTGCCAGGTCCCTGAGGGAAGGTGAACCAGGCTGCAGGGAGATGCGTCATTAGGGTCTGAGCGCAACACTGGTGACACGATGGGTGTGTGTGCCAGGGCATGTGTGTGTGTGTGTGTGTGTGCGCGCCAGGGTGTGTGTGTGTGCGTGTGTGGGAAGGTGAAGCTCGACCAGTGAGGTGGCAAGTTCAGTTCTGCCCTCTCTCCCACTGCAAAGATGAGCCCTCCCTCGCCCCCCATCTCTCCCCCTCCTCAGAGCCAGCTCAGGCCGGGCTCGCTCATCACTGCAGATTCCGGTGACTCATCTCCCTGCACCAGGGCTCGGTGATGGCACAGCAGAGAGGGGGCAGGCAGTAATGGGGTGAGGGCGGGGGCGCTGGGGAGCAGGGAGAACCAACATCCAGGTGCCCTCTGCCAGCCCCCAAATCCCCATAGCCTTTTCCTCCTGAGACGCAGAGGCTTTGGAGTATGTGTGTGTTAAAAAAAAAAAAAAGAAAAAAAAAAGAGAGGTGGGGGAAGAAATCAGGGAAGAAAAGAATGACCTACCAGGTGCCCCTTCTCCAATTCTCCAAGCAACCCTTAACTCCAGAGCAAACCCTTAACCCTTTGGTGTTAAGCCTTGCTCAGAGAATTGGACAAAGGAGACTGGGTGGCCACGAGACATCTGGGGGCTTGGGAGAAGGACAGAGCTTGGAATGAGGGGTGCACAGGTGGGCTATCTGCCACCCTACCTCCCACCCCATGGGGTCAGGGCTTGAGAGTAAGCTGGAGAGCTGGGCGTGGTGGGGGTCAGATACCACAGGGAGGGGGGGCTCCTTGGCGACGGTGGGCAGGGCAGGCCGGGTGTCCAGGGGAGGGAGGACCCTGTCCGCCACTGTGCGCTTCCTCCTCCTCCTCACTGTCCCTGGCCCGTACCTCTTGCAGTAGGTCAGCCTGCTCGATGGCTTTCAGCACACTCTTCTTGGAGGTGTCCTGGACATCCCCCCCCATCAAAAACTCATCCAGGATGAAGTAGGCCTTCTCAAAGTTGAAGATGATGTCCAGCTCGCACACCTGGGAGGGCGGGGAGAGGCTAAGTTGAGCATGGAGGGGCAACTGGAGCCACTTCCTTTTCAAGACCGTGCCTCCCACCTTGGGTTCTGCCCCCAACCTCCAAGCCTTAGTCATTGGTCAGCTTTTTCAGTTTTTTTGTTTCGTTATTTTGTTAGAGACAGGGTCTCTTGCTCTGTCGTCCAGGCTGCAGTGCAGTGGCATGATCACAGCTCACTGCAGCCTCAAACTCCTGGGCTCAAGTGATCCTCCTGCCTCAGCTTCCTGAGTAGCTGGGACTACAGGTGCATGCTATCACGCCCACCTCATTTTTAAAATATTTTGTAGAGATAGGGTCTTGCCATGTTGGCCAGGCTGGTCTCGAACTTCTGGCCTCAAGTGACCCACCTGCCTCAGCTTCCCAAAATGCTGGGATCACAGGCGTGAGCCACCGCGCCTTGCCTTGGATCAGTTTTTTTCCCTCTTCCTCTTGCATCTTTCCTCCTGATCATGAAACATTAGTTGCCTTATCTACCTTTGTCTATGGTTCCCCTTGCCTTCCCCCCAAAATCTGTGACGTTCTTCCCACCAAAGGCTGTGGTAGCCCCGCTTCCTGGACACTGTGGGGCAGGGAAAGAGGGAATTCTGGACCATGGGGTGGAAGACTTGAGTTCCAAGCAGGGCTCTGCCACTAACCATCTAGCTAAACAAGTCATGAAACATCTCTAAGTCTCAGTTTTCTGGCCTCAAAAATGGGGATACCAACACCTACTGCTAGGATGGGATAAGGAGCAAACGAGAGGACGCAAAAGCACTTTATAACACAAATTATGGAGTTACTACTACGCCCCATCTAAGATCTGAGCTGTCCCTCAGATAAGTTAATTCAGAATCTCTGGGAGTGGAACCTGGACATTGCCATTCAAAAAAATTCTCCAGAAAACTCCAATGCAAATCCAAGATCAGCAACCAGTGATAAAAATCTGAATATGGGGCTGGGTACAGTGGCTCACGCCTATAATCCCAGACTTTGGGAGGCTGAGGTGGGAGGATCACTTGAGCCCCAGAGTTAGAGACCCAGCCTGGGCAACATAGCAAGACCTCATCTCTTAAAAAAAAAAATACAAAAATTAGCTGGGCATAGTGGTGTGCACCTGCAGTCCCACCTCCTCAGGGGACTGAGGCAGGAGGATGGCTTGAGCCCAGAGGTTAAGGCTGCAGTGAGCTACGATTGTGCCACTGCACTCCAGCCATAGGCGGCATTCCTCCAGGTGATAGGGTGAGACTGTGTCTCTAAAAAAATAAAAATTTGAACTAATCAAAACATCTGAACTTGGTCTCTGTGTGAAAAGTCCGAGCTAAGCTCTAAGTGGAGATTAAGTGCCTGATCCTGCCCCCAGTTTCCCCACTCAGGGACGATTATGGGACATGGTTAATAGGCTTAAAGCTTAAAAAGGGAAATTAATTACTGTTCTTACTGCTCCAACTTCACCTCTCCCCTGAAACTTCCAGGGCAGAGACTGGAGGGGCCTCAAAGTTTGGTGGATTACCAAAGGGGATTGCTGGGAATGGAAACTGGTGGGCAGAGGAGACTTACACTGCCAAAGTATTTGTCTAAGAGCTCCACGTATCGGTGGATCAGCTCCAGTGTGATGAGCTCATTGTCTTGGCCCTCGATGGCGCAGCAGAAGTAGAGGCTGGCATATCTGCGGAGAGGAGCGCATGAGACATCGCTACAAGCTTGCTTCAGGACCCAGGCATTCTGGTCTCAAACCTCTCACCAGCCTGGAGGTGGTCTGTGCCCTGGCTGGCCACAGGTGAGGTGGCCCTAGGGCATGTAAAGAGTAACTCACCTGCCTCTTTGTGCTGTCTTAAAAACATGCAAAGAACGCATGCTTTTTCCTTCCTGCCCTCTGACCTCCTAAGTTTGACTCAGCAAAAACCTGAGCCAAGTAATTTACCTGCTCCGAGGAGAAGGAACCGGAAAGGGTGTGTGTGTGCGTGTGTGTTAGGAAAAGTAGGGCAGGACCTTTGACTGCAAGGGACATGCGCAGTGGGGCAAGACAGGGCCCAAAGGGACACGTGAGTGAGGCAGGTGTTGCACGTGAGCAAAACCAAGTGGTAAACAAGAACTTCTTTAAGAGTTTGGGGAGAAAAAAAAAAAAAAAAAAGGAAGCTGACATTCATTACTGTCCTCCAGATGTCCTCAGCTCCCAGGTCTCCCTGACCTACAGGACGACCATTTCTCAGACATTTTAACCCACTGCCCAACTTGAATCTAGGCAGGTCTGAAAGTAGGTGGGGAGTCACCTCTTATAGACAACTTTGAGGTCCCTCCACTCCAGGAAGCTGCACATCTTGGGCTTTCGAGCCAGGACAACCTGCATGAGCTCGCGCACCATCTTCTTCCGTTCCTTGTCCGAAGTGGCCAGGTACCATTTTTGCAGCCGCAGTTTTCCCTGCCGGCTGAATAATAGCATGAACCGCATCTGTGGGGGATGGGAGGGCAGAACCGAGGGTAACCACACATTCCCCAAACTTATCTCCAGCTAATTCTTCTCTACTTTCTTCCAACATCCAGCCCCTTGCTCTCAAGGCTGGGTGTTTCCACCAGCAGGGGGAAGTCAGAGCTTCTGAGTCTGTCAGCTGGGTTCAAATCCTGGCTCTACTAGTTATGCAAGGCCTTGGCCCAATTACTACTGTAAGTCTCTGGGCCTCAGTTTCCTTATGTGTAAAATGGACATTGTACCTGCCTTGCACAGTTGTTAGGTGAGACTAAATGATTTGATATATGCAAGTCCCTAGCACAGGCAGGCAGTATAACATGTTAGCTATTATTATTATTATTTTTGAGACAGAGTCTCTCTCTGTCGCCCAGGCTGGAGTGCAGTGGCGCAATCACTGTTCAGTGCAATCTCCGCCTCCCAAGTTCCAGCGATTCTCCTGCCTCAGCCTCCTGAGTAGCTGGGATTACAGTCACGTGCCATCACGCCCGGCTAATATTTGTATTTTTAGTAGAGATGTGGTTTCACCATGTTGGCCAGGCCCTGGTCTCGAACTCCCGACCTCAGGTGATCCACCCACCTAGGCCTCCCAAAGTGCTGGCATTAAGGCATGAGCCACTGCGCCCGGCCGTTAGTTATTACTATTATTACCATGATTCCCTGACCTCTTGCTTTCTGGTCTGCTTTCTAAAGGTAAGTAAAATGCCTAGCACAGTGACAAGACGACAGTAACCGACGCCAAAGAAATGCCTGTTCTCTTCCACCCTCTCTCTATCCATCACCATGCTGAAATCTGGTATTTTGTCCCTGGAGAAGCTACCTCAATTTTCCACCCCATCATAGCCATAAGATCTTAATGATCTCCCAAACATATCATCCTCCAGTGCCAGGCCTATGCCCAGGGGTATCCTCCTCTGTAGTATGTATCTCCAACACCACACAGGGTATGCAGATGCCCAAATCCTATCTTCCTCTCTGCAGGCACCCAGGCATTTGGTCTTCGACATTTCTCTTTAACTTTTCTTCCTTTTAGGGTGCCTCCTGCTAAGCGCCCACTCCTCCCCAGACACCAGGTGACCAATTTCCCTCAGTTAGGGCCCCGCCACCCAGGGGGTTCCCCTAAAAGAATGTCTGCAGAACAGACAGCAAGCTGGGTCAAGTGGGATGGAAGACAGAACCCTCACTGCCCAGTGTACCCCAGCTTCCCAGTTCCGGGGGGTCTGGGCCACATCCTGGAGTCTTCTCCTTACCCCAGTAGCTCTTCTATTCATGGACATGCCCAGGCTTGGAATCCCTGGGTGTGTGGCACTGTACTAGCTTAGTAAGTGAAAAATCAGAATTCAGGAGAACTGATTTTTTTGGTGGAGGGGAAAAGAGGGGCGCTGGGGAGCCTCGTGCGGCGCTCAAATAGGGGGGTGGGGAGCAAGCAGGAAGACGGAAGGCCTGGATTCCGGAAAGAGAATGGGAAGGGGGGCAGAGAGCCCCGGAGCCCGGGATCCCAAAGCCTGGGTCCCTCGGAGAAAAACCACGAGTCCACTTCGCTTCCCTACCTGGGCCCAGCCTCTAGGCAAGCACGGCCACGAACGCAGTAGGGCGCTCCCTTTTCCGACCCGGAAACTCCCCTCCCACACCCCTCTCCCCACCCGGGTCCCCGCTCCCGCCTGTGCAGCCCGGGAAGGGGGTCTCGGTGACTGGTGACCCCCGCTCCCTCCCTCAGCAAAGAGACTCCCGCAACCCTCTGCTTCGGGCGGCTTCCCTGCAGCGGGGATCGAGGGACCCCAGGGGCCAAGACCAGAGCGCCCCTCCCGGCTCGGGACGGCCCCGCCGCCCCTTCGTCAGCCCCCGCTCGCCCTGCAAATGCGCCCCCTCCCCGCCCCTCTCCCGAATGCCACCTCCCCCTCTTCCTCCCGAGCCCGGCTCGCCCACCCGCCGAGGCAAGGGAGGCCTCTGAGGACCAGAGGGAAGACAGGGCGGTTCACCCCGAGGGCGGCCCCCGAGGACCCCCGCAGGTGCAGCCCACGCCCCTCGCTTCCCCCTCCCCTCCCTCTTCGCACAGCCTACCATCCTGCAGCCTCCGGCTCGGCGCGTCCCACTTCGGCCACCGTAGGCGCCAGTCCCACTCCCTTTCTTATCCTTTCTCCTGCTGCCCTCCCTCTCGCCCGAAGCCCCGCCCCGTCCCGCCCAGGCTCTGACTCCCGGCGCGCCACGCACTGCGCAGGCGCCGACGCCGCGGGGAGCGCGGGCGGGGCTGGAGGCGGAGAAGCGGAAACCATGGCAACCAGGTCCTTGACTGCAGCTTCTAGGAGCCCGGTCGTCATGGTAACGCGGCTGTCCTGTGGGCTGGTTGGAGGATGGGGGAGGAGGACAATAAGGTCCTCGCGCTTTGGAGCCTTGTGGGGCAAAAAGGCGGGAAAAGGGGTGAGAGGTGAATGGGACGATCATTGGAGTTCGAAGCAGCAGGCAGGACTCCTGGAAGGGGAGTGGGCCGTGAAAAGGGAGCAGGGTGGGAATTAAGTGTAGGGGAGGAGGAGTGACCTGGAAAACAGAAAGACAAAGGGTCATGAGAAAAGTATAGAACCCAAGCTGAATATCTATTGAAAGCGTGATAGATACACCCCTCTAGTTTTTTTCTTTTTAGAGACAGGGTCTGGCCGCGTCACCCAGGTTGGAGTGCAGTGGTGGGATCGTGACTCTCTGCAGCCTTGAACTCCTGGCCTCAAGCGATCCTCCCGCCTCAGCCTCCTGAGTAGCTGGGACTACAGACGCACACCGTCATGCCCAGCTAATTTTTAATTTTTTTTTAGTAGAGACGGGGGTCTTACTATGTTGCCCAGGCTGGTCTCGAACTCTTGGGTTCAAGAGACCCTCCCGCCTCGGTTTCCCAAACTGCTGGGATTACAGGCGTGAGCCACCGCGCCTGGCTTCTGATTTTACAGTAAGAGAAATGTGTAGAAAAAGAATAAAAGAGAAAAGGAGAGGCTGCTATAAAAGGCATGTAAGGAGAAGGGGGAGGAACGTGAACTGAGGCAAAAGGGGAAGAAATAAAGAGCGTCTTAAAAGGTTAACTTGGGTCAAAACTCAAAAAGGGACAGATGTCACCCAAATCTCAGTGTGAAGATGAGGTGGATGTACGTTGTAATATGGGCTTTTAAACTGAATGTGTGTGTGTGTCTACATGTTACTGGAAAAAGGGGTCCCGATCCAGACCCCAAGAGAGAATTCTTGGATCTCATGCAGGAAGGAACCCAAAGCAAGTCGTAGAGTGCGATGAGAAGAGAGAGTTTATTGAAAGCTACACCCTTACGGAGTAGGGCGTCCTCAGAAAGCAAACAGAGGAACACACTGTCTTAAGTTTTTCTTTTCTTTCTTTCTTTTTTTTTTTCTTCTTTTTTTGAGACAGGGTCTTACTCTGTTGCCCAGGCTGGAGTGTAGTAGCATGATCATAGTTCACTGCAGCCTCCACCTCCTGAGCTCAAGCGATCCTCCCACTTCAGTCTCCCAAGTAGCTAGGACTACAGGCATGCACCACCACAGCCAGCTAATAGTTGTATGTTTTGTAGACACAGGGTATTGTCATGCTACCCAAGCTGGTCTGGGACTCCTGGACTCAAGGTATCCACACTCCTCAGCCTCCCAAAGTGTTGGGATTACAGGTATGAGCCACCGCCCCTGACCTTTAAGTTTTTCTTATATAGGGGTCTTGTTTTTGTAGAGACTAAACTAAGCCGAGTCAATGTGCAGATGGGCCAATGGCATGACAAAATTTATTATTCTGTTAATTTAACTATCCTTGACATTCTAGTAGGTAAGTACATCAAAGCAAAACTTAATTATCTTTCTTCCTTTTTTTTTTTTCTTGAGACAGAGTCTTGATCTGTTGCCCAGGCTGTAGTGCAGTGGCGTGATCTCAGCTCACTGCAACCTCCACCTCCTGGGTTCAAGCCATTCTTGTGTCTCAGCATCCCTAATAGCTGGATTACAGCTACATCCTTTCACCTCAGCCTCCCAAGTAGCTGTGACTGCAGGCATGAACCAGTGCATCCAATTAATTAAAAAAATATTTTGTTGTAGAGATGGGGTCTCACTACTGGGATTGTAGGCATGTGCTACGACACCCAGCTAATTTTTGTATCTTTAGTAGAGAGGGGGTTTTGCAATGTTGGCCAGGCTGATCTCGAACTCCTGGCCTAAAGCAATCCTGCCTTAGCCTCCACACCCAGCCAGAACTATAATTATCTTAAAGGCACATATTGTTATGGGTATTGGGGCATCTGGATTTTCTGTAGTTGGAGGAGTCTGTCCTTGCAGGTATCTTTAAGCTGTTTCCCCAACTGTAAACAGCTTTGGGTTGTGACTGACAAGGAATGTGCCTTGTTAGTTTCAAGATGGAGCTGAACTTAAAATGGCTTTATGCTGGCTCTCTGAGGCTCCTGCTTCCCTAGCACAAATGATAAAGTAAAGAGGTCTGGATAGAAGGATAAGAGAAAATCTTAAATTTTGTCATGCAGAAAAGTTAATGGTAGATAATTGTTGGCAACTAATGTGCTATTATTTTTGAGTAGCACATGATGCAATTGTTGGTAAGGCCTCACCTCCTGTCTCCACTTTATTTATTTATTTTGTGTATTTATTTTTTTGAGATGGAGTCTTGCTCTGTTGCCCAGGCTGGAGTGCAGTGGCACAATCTCGGCTCACTGCAACCTCCACCTCCCGGGTTCAAGTGATTCTCCTGATTCAGCCTCCTGACTCAGCCTTCTGTCTCAAAAAAAAAAAAAAAAAAAGAGGACAGTAGTACATATCTTGCAAGGTGGTTCTGAGGATTAGAGGTAATGTATAGCAAGTATCTGTAAACACTTCATAATGGTACCTATCATTTCCTCTTCCCAGACTCTTCCTTTTTTTTTTTTTTTTTTGTTGTTGTTGTTGTTGTTGAGACGGAGTCTCGTTCTTGTTGCCCACGCTGGAGTGCAGTGGCACGATCTCGGCTCACTGCAGCCTCCACCTCCCCGGATCAAGCAATTCTCCTTCCTCAGCCTCCCAAGTAGCTGGGACTACAGATATCTACCACCACACCCCGCTAAGTTTTATTTTTTTAGTAGAGATGGGGTTTCACCACGTTGGCCACGCTGGTCTCAAACTCCTGACCTCGAGTGATCTGCCTGCCTTGGCCTCTCAAAAGTTCTGGGATTACAGGTGTGAGCCACCGCGCCCGGGCCCAACTTCTTTCTTCTTTTACTTTTTCTTCTTCCTTTTGCTTTTGTTTTCTTTTCTCCTCTGCCTCCACCTTAGGCTTTTCAACACCATCGTCTAAGATATATGACATATACTAGTGGAATATCTTACCAGTGGCATAGATTATTGGCTGCCTGAACTATTGTGGTGCTACTTATTTATTTATTTATTTATTTTTTTTTTTTGAGACAGACTCTTGCACTGTCGCTCAGGCTGGACTGCAATGGTGTGATCTCGGCTCACTGCAACCTCCACCTCCTGGGCTCAAGTGATTTTCCTGCCTCGGCCTCCTAAGTAGCTGGGATTATAGGTGCATGCCACCACGCCCAGCTAATTTTTGTATTTTCAGTAGAGACGGGGTTTCACTATGTTGGCCAGGCTGGTCTCGAACTCCTGACCTCGTGATCCACCCGCCTCGGCCTCCCAAAATGCTGGGATTACAGGTGTGAGCCACCAAGCCCGGCAGCTATTTATTAGGTCAAGAATAAGATGGCACAGACAGTTAGCTGGCTGGACTATCCTGGTTGTGGGGAAAAGCAAGACAGATCAGATTGTTACTGTGTCTGTGTAGAAAGAAGTAGACATAGGAGACTCCATTTTGTTCTGTACTAAGACAAATTCTTCTGCCTTGAGTTTCTGTTAATCTATGACCTTACCCCCAACCCCGTGCTCTCTGAAACATGTGCTGTGTCAAACTCAGGGTTAAATAGATTAAGGGCGGTGCAAGATGTGCTTTGTTAAACAGATGCTTGAAGGCAGCATGCTCCTTAAGAGTCATCACCACTCCCTAATCTCAAGTACCCAGGGACACAAACACTGCGGAAGGCCGCAGGGACCTCTGCCTAGGAAAGCCAGGTATTGTCCAAGGTTTCTCCCCATGGGATAGTCTGAAATATGGCCTCGTGGGAAGGGAAAGACCTGACTGTCCCCCAGCCCGACACCCGTAAAGGGTCTGTGCTGAGGAGGATTAGTATAAGAGGAAGGCATGCCTCTTGCAGTTGAGACAAGAGGAAGGCATCTGTCTCCTGCCCGTCCCTGGGCAATGGAATGTCTTGGTATAAAACCCGATTGTACGTTCCATCTACTGAGATAGGGAAAAACCGTCTTAGGGCTGGAGGTGGGACATGCGGGCAGCAATACTGCTTTGTAAAGCATTGAGACGTTTATGTGTATGCATATCTAAAAGCACAGCACTTGATTCTTTACCCTGTCTATGATGCAAAGACCTTTGTTCACGTGTTTGTCTGCTGACCCTCTCCCCACTATTGTCTTGTGACCCTGCCACATCCCCCTCTCGGAGAAACACCCATGAATGATCAATAAATACTAAGGGAACTCAGAGGCTGGCGGGATCCTCCATATGCTGAACGCTGGTTCCCTGGGTCCCCTTATTTCTTTCTCTATACTTTGTCTCTGTGTCTTTTTCTTTTCCAAATCTCTCGTTCCACCTAACGAGAAACACCCACAGGTGTGGGGGGCAACCCACCCCTTCACCTGGTATCATTTGTAGGTCAAGAATAAGATCAATAAAGCAAGTTGTTAGGATTAGAAAGGATAAATCATATGGAATGAAAGCAAGGACTAGAAGTATGGCCGGGCGCAGTGGCTCGTGCCTGTAATCTCAGAACTTTGGGAGGCGGAGGCAGGTGGATGACCTGAGGTCAGGAGTTCAAGACCAGCCTGGCCAACGTGGTGAAACCCTGTCTCTACAAAATACAAAAAAATTAGCTAGGGGTGATGGCGGGTGCCTATAATCCCAGCTGCTCGGGAGACTGAGGCTAGGGAATCACTTGAACCCGAGAGGCAGAGGTTGCAGTAAGCCTAGATCGTGTCATTGTACTTCACTCCAGACAGAGCAAGACTCTGTCTCAAAAAAAAAGAAAAAAAGAAAAAAAGGAAATGTGCTTAGGAGAGAGATGAGAAGGTATAAGGAAGGAATGAGTGGTATGAGTGGTGAGATAAATAAAGCAGGCTGGGTGTGGTGGCTCAGGCCTGTAATCCCAGCACTTTGGGAGGCCGAGGTGGGCAGATCACCTGAGGTCAGGAGTTCGAGACTAGGCCTGGTCAACATGGTGAAACCCATCTCTACTAAAAATACGGGTGCCTGTAATCCCAGCTACCTAGGAGGCTGAGGCAGGAGAATTGCTGGAACTCAGGAAGCAGAGGCTGCAGTGAGCAGAGATCACGCCACTGCACTTCAGCCTGGGCTAAAGAGCAAGACTCTGCCTCAAAAAAAAAAAAAAAAAAAAGGAAAAGAAAAAGAAATAAAGCAGAGGGCCGGGCAGCAGCTTGCAGAAGTTTGGAAGCTCGAGAGATATCAACTCCTACACTTCTTGGAAAGCCGACACTCTTTAAAATTCCTTGCCTCAATGTGATACGCCTAACTGCAGAAAAGATAGGCTTCATGAGAGAATTGTTAGAAATGTGGGTTTTGCAGCCAGGCACAGTGGCTCACGCCTGTAATCCTAGCACTTCGGGAGGCTGAGGTGGGAGGATTGCAGGAGCCAAATAATTCAAGACCAGCATGGGCAACCTGGCAAAACCCTGTCTCTACAAAAGATACAAACATTAGTCGGGCATGGTGGCGCACACCTGTGGTCCCAGCTACTCAGGAGGCTGAGGTGGGAGGATCGCTTGAGCCTGGCAGGTGGAGGTTGCAGTGAGCCGATATCTTACCACTGCACTCCAACCTGGATGACAGAGCAAGAACCTGTCTCAAAAAATTAAAGAAATTACAAATGAAAAGAAATATGGGTTTTGCTTGTAGGGAGTCATAGAATTCAAGTGGTTGAAACTAGAGTCTTGCCCTGTCTCCCAGGCTGGAGTGCAGTGGTATGATCTCGGCTCACTGCAACCTCTGCCTGCCAGGTTCAAGCGATTCTCCCTCCTCAGCCTCCTGAGCAGCTGGGGCTATAGGCATGCGTCATCACACCCAGCTAATTTTTTTGTATTTTTAGTAGAGACAGGGTTTCACCATATTGGCCAGGCTGGTCTCGAACTCCTAACCTCAAGTTATCCACCTGCTTTGGCCTCCCAAAGTGCTGGGATTACAGGCGTGAGCCACGACACCCAACTTGGATTTCTTCATTGTTAGTGAATGATGAATGTGGAGGATCTATGAGTTAGTTGATCCGATACAGCTTGTGCATGGAGATGAATTGAGATTTGATGCAGTTGGCAGTTTAGGGTCATTATGGTTGTGTGAACCAGTGAATAACTTGGTGAAAACAGTGTTAATAAAGTTAATCTTGGCCAGGCACATGGTGGCTCAGGCTCGTAAGCCCAGCACTTTGGGAGGCTGAGGTGGCAGAATTGCTTGAGCTTAGGAGTTTGAGACCAGCCTGGGCAACGAAGACCCTGTTTCTAGAAAAAATAAAAAAAATTAGCCAGGCATGGTGGCACGTGCCTGTGGTCCCAGCTACTTAGGAGGCTGAGGTGGGAGGATCGCTTGAGTGCAGGAGGTAGAGGCTGCAGTGAGTCGATTTTTCCACTGCACTCCAGCCTGGGTGACAGAGCGATACCCTGTCTCAGAAAAAAAAAGATTAATCTTATAGTCATATGTGGAAGAATTTGAAAGGACAATTGGAAAGCTGAAAGATCGTCTGAGAGTTTTGGGAATCCTGACTCCAGGATGAAATGCGAGGGACAAATCAGGAGAGATGCCTCAAAGGAGCTGGTGATCTGAAGCTGATCATCATCTAAGTAGAGAGGAAGGGAGAAAAATCCTGGAGGGTTAGTGGTGCCACTTGTATAAATGGAAACATGGAAGAGGTGAGATTCTTCTTCTTCTCTTTTTTTTTTTTGAGATGGCGTCTCGCTCTGTCACCCAGGCTGGAGTGCAATGGCGCGATCTCAGCTCACTGCAACCTCCGCCTCCTGGGTACAAGCAATTCTCCTGCCTCAGCCTCTTGCGTAGCTGGGATTACAGGCGCATGCCACCACACCTGGCTAACTTTTGTATTTTTAGTAGAGACGGGGTTTCACCATGTTGGCCAGGCTGGTTTTAAACTCCTGACCTCAAGTGATCCACCCGCCTCGGCCTCCCAAAGTGCTGGGATTACAGGCCTGAGCCACTGCACCTAGCTGAAGAGGTGAGATTCTTCTTCACTATTAGGAATGGTGTTTGTACTGTCATCTTACAAACCACACTGACACCTCCCCATGCCTTTTCTCATGTGGTTGTAGAGGTGGTTCCTGCGGTGGTTGAGAGGTGGCCAGATGGATTCTGAAGCCTCTCATCTTTGTGAGTCTATGATCCATGTTCCTCCCCACCTTTTTTTTTCAATTTTTTTAGAGTCAGGGTCTCACTCTCTTGCCCAGGCTGGAGTGCAGTGGTGTGATCATGATCACTGCACCCTCAAACTCATGGGCTCAAGTGATCCTCCTGCCTCAGCCTTCCAAGTAGCTGAGACTGTAGGCATGCACCACCATACCTAGCTATTTTTAAAAATTTGTTTGTAGGGCTGGGTGTGGTGGTTCACACCTATAATCCCAGCACTTTGGGAGGCCGAGGTGGGTGGATCACTTGAGGTTAGGAGTTCAAGACCAGCCTGGCCAACATGGTGAAACCCTGTCTCTACTAAAAATACAAAAATTAGCCGGGCGTGATGGCGCACACCTGTAATCCCAGCTATTTGGGAGGCTGAAGCAGGAGAATTGCTTGAACCCGGGAGGCAGAGGTTGCAATGATCTGAGATCTCGACACTGCACTCCAGCTTGGGCAATAGAGTGAGGCTCTGTCTCAAAAAAAAAAAAAAAAATTGTTTGCAGACACCAGGTCTCGCTATGTTGCCCAGGCTGGTCTCAAACTCCTGGGCTCAAGTGATCTTCCTGCCTTGGCCTCCCAAAGTGCTGGGATTACAGACGTAATCCTATACACCACACCCGGCTGGAACACTCTCTGTGGTTGATGTTTGTCATTCTTTTCAGCACTCAGGTTCTAACCCCCCTTCTTGGAGTGTGGGAATCCCATGTCTTATGAATTTAGGGAGCAGATAGACCAACCTCCCAGAGTAGTATTTGCAATTTCCAGATATTCACTTTTGCAGCGTTGTTTCTGGGCATAGCATGGGCATGTCAGCTGGACTCTGCCCATCTGTGCACCTGCCAGACTTTGCTCCAGGAGAGACTGGGGTGGGCATGAGGAGATGGAAAGTAGTTAAGACCCTGGCAGAAGGACAGAGGATCAAGTTCCTAGGGTGGCAGTGGAGTGGCGCTATTAGCGGTGTCTTGCATCCACAGGACAGGCAGGGGCACAGGTTTGATGTGGGGCATTGTTCCTAGTGCAATAGTGTGAGACCTCCCTCCAATTTGGTTCTCTGGCTGCCCCAGCAATTCCCTGAAATGCCCAATTTCCTTCCTTCCTTCCTTCCTCCCTCCCTTCCTTCCTTGCTTCCTTCCTTCCTTCCCTCCTTCCTTCCTTCCTTCCTTTCCTTCCCCTTCTCCTCCTCCTCCTTTTTTTTTTTTTTTTTTTGGAGCCTCACTCTGTCGCCCAAGCTGGAGTGCAATGGTGTGATCTCGGCTCACTGCAGCCTCCGCCTCCAGGGTTCAAGCAATTCTCCTGCCTCAGCCTCCCGAGTAGCTGGGTTTACAGGTGCCCACCACCATGCCCGGCTAATTTTTGTATTTTTAGTAAAGACGGGGTTTCACCATGTTGGCCAGGCTGGTCTCAAACTCCTGACCTCATGTGATCCACATGCTTGGACTCCCAAAGTGCTGGGATTACAGGTGTGAGCCACTGCACCCAGCCGGTTTCCATTTTTTAAAAATAAAATGAAATAAAGTAAGTATTCCATTGTCATCTCAAACTTCACTTGCCAAAAACGTGTTGCCACTTCCTTCCCCTGAAATTATCCCCTCTTGGTTTTCCATTGTGGTTGATGTTACTGCCTTTTTCTAGCCTTGCAAGCTGTAAGCCTGGGACATGAGGGGGGTAACACGAAATTGTGGCTTATTCAAGGGCCCCAGGGAAGACTTGCTGGACTAGATTAGGTGAGGGCCTAGAGAGGAATGGCTGGGTTATCAGGAGGGAGGAGGGGACAGGCTGAAACCAGCTGGAGATCTGAGAGTTCATTCTCACGTGTCCCTTGCATCTGCCCTGCTATACGTTTTCCTTCGTGATTTTGTTCATGCTGTTTTCTGGAATGCCCTGCCATTCCCTCCCTATAGACCCCAAACCCATCTGATTTATCCTTTATGGTTTCTTTTTTTTTTTTTTTTTTTTTTGAGAAGGAGTCTCGCTGTGTCGCCCAGGTTGGAGAGCAGTGGCACAATCTCGGCTCACTGCAAGCTCCGCCTCCCGGGTTCACGCCATCCTCCTGCCTCAACCTCCTGAGTAGCTGGGACTACAGGCGCCCGCCACCACGCCCGGCTAATTTTTTGTATTTGTAGTAGAGACGGGGTTTCACCGTGTTAGCCAGGATGGTTTCGATCTCCTGACCTCGTGATCTGCCCGCCTCGGCCTCCCAAAGTGCTGGGATTACAGGCGTGAGCCACCGCGCCCAGCCTATCCTTTATGGTTTCAAACAGCCCCTCCTCTGATGAGTCTACACTCTATTTCAGACTATAGCGATCATTTATACAGTGTTCCTTTCCATTATTTTTGCAGTGACTTGCATAGCTTTTCTTCCTTTTCTTTTCTTTTTTCTTTTTCAAGACAGGGTCTCACTTTGTTGCCCCAGCTTGAATGTAGTGGTGCAATCACAGCTTACTGCAGCCTCGACTTCCCAGGGCTCAAGTGATCCTCCGGCCTCAGCCTCCAGAGTAACTGGCATGCACCACCACGCCTGGCTAAGTTTTTTTATTTTTAGTTGAGTGTTTCGCCATGTTGTCCAGGCTGGTCCCAAACTCCTGGCTGCCTCAAGTGATCCTCCCACCTTGGCCTCTCAAAATGTTGGGATTACAGGCATGAGCCACTGCACCTGGTCAGCATAGCTTTTTTTCCCCAGCTTTTTGATGTCCCTTGTCATTAGATATCTGCTATTAAGAATAGCTGACACTTTCTTTTTAATGCTTCACAGTACCCAGTCTAAAGGTCAGCTTTTAAATAAATACTCGTTAAATTGAATGGAGTTCCAACTTGGCAAGATTTTGGTGGAAGCCACAGCTGCTTTGCTTCAGGGAAGAGCTTTCCACTGGAGCGAAAGCGACCTCTGGTGGCGAGGAGATCAAAGACCTGGTTCAGGAAGCAAGTGTTCAGGCTGGCCCCGCGGCTGGTGGCAACACACAAGCTGCTGATGACTGGCACGTGAGGGCAGCACTTTTTTTTTTTTTTTTTTTGAGCCGGGGTCTTGCTCTGTCACCCCAGGCTGGAGTGTAGTGGCGTGATCTTGGCTCACTGCAACCTCGACCTCCTTGGCTCAGGCAATCCTCCCACCTCAGCCTCCAGAGTAGCTGGGACTACTGGCGCCCGCCACCACGCCCAGCTCATTTTTGTATTTTTTTTTGTGGAGACGAGGTTTTGCCATGTTGCCCAGGCTGGTCTCGAACTCCTGGACTCAGGTGATTCACTTGCCTCGGCCTTCCAAAGTGCTCGAATTACAGGCATGAGCCACTGCCTGGCCAGCACCTTTATACTCGACCACGTCTGAGCCCTTCTTTTCTCTCTTTCTTTCTCTTCTTTCTTTCTTTCCCTTCTTTCTTTCTTTCCCTTCTTTCTTCTTTCCCTTCCTTCCCTTCCTTCTCTTCATTTTCTTTCTTTTCTTTCCTTTCCCTTTCCTTTCCCTTCCTTTCCCTTTCTTTCTTTCTTTCTCTTTCTTTCTTTCTTTCTTTCTTTCTTTCTTTCTTTCTTTCTTTCTTTCTTTCTTTCTTCTTTCTTTCTCTCTTTCTTTCTCTCTTTCTTTCATTCTTTCCTTTTTTCTCTCTCTCTTGATGTCTTGCTCTATCGCCCAGGCTGGAGTGCAGTGGTGCGATCTCAGTTCACTGCAGCCTCCGTCTCCTGGATTCAAATGATTCTCCTGCCTCAGCCTCTTGAGCAGCTGGGACCACAGTTGTGCGCCACAATGCCCAGCTATTTTTTTTTTTTTTTTTTTGTATTTTTAATGGAGATGGGATTGTACCATGTTGGCCAGGCTGGTCTCAAACTACTGACCTCAAGTGATTCGCCACCGCGTCCTGCCTACGTCTGAGCCCTTCTTGGTGTTTCGGGAGACCTGTTCCTGTTCACACGTGCCACAGAGAGAGGCAATATGGTGTAGAGGCAGGGAACACAGGGTGCCCAACTGCCTGTGGCTGTTAAGTAATAATGATGATAGCAGCAGCTGGGCACAGTAGCTCATGCTTGTAATCCCAGCACTTTGGGAGGCTGAGCCCCAGAGTTCAAGACCAGCTTGAACAACATAGTGAGACCCTGTCTCTACAAAAAATAAAATTAAAAAATTAGCTGGGGCCGGGTGCAGTGGCTCACGCCTGTAATCCCAGCACTTTGGGAGGCTGAGCCCAGGAGTTCGAGACCAGCTTGGACAACATAGTGAGACCCTGTGTCTACAAAAAATACAATTAAAAAATTAGCTGGGGCCAGGTGCAGTGGCTCACACCTGTAATCTCAGCACTTTGGGAGGCTGAGGCAGGTGGATTACCTGAGGTCAGAAGCTCGAGACCAGCCTGGCCAACATGGCAAAACCCTATCTCTACTAAAAATACAAAAATTAACCGGGCATGGTGGCACATGCCTGTAATCCCAGCTACTCAGGAGGCTGAGAAAGGAGAATCTCTTGAACCCGGGAGGCGGAGGTTGTAGTGAGCAGAGAGATCAAGCCATTGCATTCCAGCATGGGTGACAGAGCGAGACTTTTTTTTAAAAAAAAAAAAAAAAGAAAGAAAACGAATTAGCTGGGTAGTGAGTGGTGCGCACCTGTAGTCCCAGCTGCTTGGGAGGCTGAGACAGGATTGTTTGAGCCCAGCAGTTCAAGGCTGCAGTGAGCTGTGATTGCACCACTGCACTCCAGCCTAAACAACAGAGACCCCCTCTCTAAAATAATGATAATAATGAGATCAAGTTACTCAACCTCTCTGTGTCTCAGTTTTCCTGAGTGCTTGCTACTTTTTTTTTTTTTTTTTTTTTTGAGACGGAGTCTCACTCTGTTGCCCAGGCTGGAGTCCAGTGGCGTGATCTCGGCTCGTTGCAAGCTCTGCCTCCTGGTTTCACGCCATTCTCCTGCCTCAGCCTCCTGAGTAGCTGGGACTACAGGCACCCGCCACTGCGCCTCGTTAATTTTTTGTGTGTTTTTAGTGGAGACGGGGTTTCACCAACCTGGCCAGGCTGGTCTTGAACTCCTGACCTCGTGATCCACCCGCCTTGGCCTCCCAAAGTGCTGGGATTACAGGTGTGAGCCACCACACCCGGCCTAATTTTTGTATTTTTAGTAGAGACAGGGTTTCACCTTGTTGGCCAGGCTGGTCTCAAACTCCTGACCTCAGGTGATCCGCCCACCTTGGCCTCCTAAAGTGCTGGGATTACAGGCCTGAGCCACCACGCCCAGCCGCTTGCTACTATTATTTCAACAAAGCTTACTTGAGAAACCACCTAAAAAAATGATTTCAAAAAAAGATGGTGTCTCCTTGACAAATTTGCTTTTGACTGAATATTTTTACCATTAAGGGATTTACAACATTCATACTCTTTGCCCACAGATGAGCAGATAAATAATTCCACTGTTTGAGGTTTACAAGAAATGTACAATAACGGTAGCTGGAGGCAGATCTTGTTAATTTTTCATCCCTAAAGAACAGCGGGCCAGGCATGGTGGCCCAGCACTTTGTGATCACAGTACTTTGGGAGGCCGAGACAGGTGGATTGCTTGAGCCTAGGAATTCGAGACCAGCCTGGGCAATATAGTGAGACACCATCTCTCCAAAAAATGCAAATATTAGCAGGGCTTGGCGGCGCACACCTGTGGTCCCAGCTACTCGGGAGGCTGAGGTGCGAGGATGGCTTTGGGCCCAGGAGATGGAGGCTGTAATAAGCTAAGATTGTGCCACTGCACTTTTGCCTCAGCAACAAAGCGAGACCCTGTCTTAAAAGAAAAAAAAAAATAGAGAAGGGAAGACAAACTTAGAACAGGCAAGGGACAGGGCCAGGCAAAGTCAAACAGGGCTGGGCAGGTCTCGTGCTGTGAGTCTACATCATTTTTGTCCTCACAATAGCTGAGAGTCTGTTAAATGGGGCATTTCCTGGAACAAGCCTCCTCTGTGGTGAGGGGGCTTTTTGAAGAACTCTTTTTCCTCTAGAGCCATCTCAGCATGGATGAGCAGTTTTTGAACTGTATACTGCAGAGTTAGGGCTAATTTGTTCTGCTTTTTGAAGCATTTTGTGCAAAAAGAGGCTGTTTAGCTTTCCAAGCAAATCTGTTAGAGACAGGTAACTTTTCAGCCACTAGCCTGGGGCCTGGAATTAGTCATACTTTCAGGGTATAAGGAGGTTGAAAGGTACACCTGAGCCAAGCTGGGCATGGTGGCTCACAACTGTAATCCCAGCAATTTGGGAGGCCGAGGCAGGAGGATTGTTTGAGCCCAAAAGTTCAAAACATGGTGCAACCCCGTCTCTACAAAAAATTGTTTAAAAAGCAATAGAAATGAGCTGGGTGTTCAGGGGGCTGCATCTCTGAATCCTATCTTCAGGGTTCTGGAGTTAGACAGTATACAAGTTCAACAGATGGTTATTGGTCTTTTTTCAGTTTAAAAAATTATTTTTGAATATTTGAACAGAAACTAATGGAGGGAAGTGTGCCCTCTGCCAAAAGCCTTCGAGATGCTGGAGAAAGATAATAAAAGACTTTTCAGGAAGCCATTTTCAAGAAGATGCTAGAGTATATATAACAAGAGAGCCTTGTTTTCAAGAAACCTGATACCTTGATGGGCTTGGGGAGGGTAAGACACACACACACAAAGCTAAGGAACACTCGAGAATCCAAGCACTGTTACAGACCAGGGAGAAGAAAACTCAGTCAGTGTCGAGTTGAGAGTGATGATGTTTTGATCCCCTTCCTTCCTTCCTTCCTTCCTTCCCTCCCTCCCTCCCTCCTTTCCTTCCTTCCTTCCTTTCTTTTTCTTTCTTTCTTTCTTTCTTTCTTTCTTTCTTTCTTTCTTTCTTTCTTTCTTTCTTTCTTTCTTTCTTTCTTTCGTTCTTTCTTTCTTTTTCTTTTTCTTTCTTTCTTTCTCTCTTTCTTTATTTTTCTCTCTCTTTCCTCTGTCTTTCTCTCTCTCTTTCTCTCTTTCTTTTCTTAGAGGAAGAGTCTCACTATGTTGTCCAGGCTGGTCTGAAACTCCTGGCCTCAAGCAATCTTCCTGCCCCGGCCTCCCAAAGTGCTGAGATTACAGGCGTGGGCCACTGCGCCGGACCTGAGAGTGATATTGGCTGGATCCATGGGAAGTCCTAGGTGGAGGAACTGGAACTTGAGCTGGGTTTGAAGAATGGGGAGTGGGAGTAGAGGGGTGGGAAGCATTTGGTGCTGGAAGGAAGTGTCATGAACAGAGTTGGGAACCCACAGTGACAGTGACTTACGAGCAGGCCCATCTGCATAAGTGGAAAGTTTATGGCAGGGGAACATTTTTTTCCTTTTTGAGGATGATTCCCAGGGGCAGAATCAACTTATCCTTGGGGCTTGTGGCAGAGCTGAGGTGACCATTTCATGGACTCCCCCATGTTGGGCCAACCTGGATGTAGGAAGGTCTCTTCCACCCATGAGGTCTATGGACCAACAGGATTTTGATTCTGGGTTTGTTGTTGTCTTTGTAGTTGTTGTTTTTTGAGAGGGAGTCTCGCTCTGCCACCCAGCCTGGAGTTCAGTGATGCAATCTCAGCTCACTGCAACCTCTGCCTCCTGGCTTCAAGTGATTCTCCTGCCTCAGCCTCCCGAGTAGCTGGGATTACAGGCGCCAGCCACCACGCCCGGCTAATTTTTGTATTTTTAGTAGAGACGGGGTTTCACCATGTTGTCCAGGCTGGTCTCAAACTCCTGACCTTAGGTGATCCACCCACCTCGGCTTCCCAAAGTGCTGGGATTACAGGCATGAACCACCACACCTGGCCTAGGCTTCTGATTTCTTGTACCACCGGTGTGAAATGGAGAAGGTGAAGGCAGTGACTGTCCTGACATATTCTTCGTATTTATTTATTTTATTATTTTTTTGAAACATTTTTACATGTTTATTTATCAAAAGTGAAAAAGCATACAATTCAACACAATTTCAATAGCATTTGACACCACCCCTGTGGATCCTGTACATGGCTGACGTCACCGTCCAGTGCAAAATCAAAAAAGAAAGAAAGAAAAACCCCAAAGAAAGAGGATTTTTCAGTGGAGAACATGGTGGGCTGATTAGGCTTCTATTAGATTACATTCATTTCACATCTGTGTGCAATTCTCCCATAAATTGGTCTTTAAAATATATATATATATTTAAAGATATTAGAAATATATATTTAAGTATATTTAAAATATATATATTTTTAAAGAGACGGGGGTCTTGGTATGTTGCCCAGGCTGGTCTTGAACTCCTGGGCTCAAGCAATCCTCCCGCCTTGGCCTCCCAAAGTGCATTACATCCATCTTTGTGCCCTACCCTCTGGCTGGTAGGTTTTCAGAAATATTATCTAAGGTAGTTGAATCCGAGCTGCCTGTCTCTCTCACCCACCCCCCCCTCACGTGTCCACTGCTCACACACAGCAGCCGGAAATGACACATTGAAGTGAGTCACCAATGCGGCTGTGAGTCACCCTGTAATTGGGGAAAGTTCTGTCCTGGTAGGTCATGCAGCCCCTTGCATTTCTGCTCCTAAATCTATTGAACACATTGGAAACCACTCTGTCCTCATCTGAGTCTCTGTCCCCCCACTCCGTCCTTTTGATCCCCTGAAGGAGGATGAAATTGTATGGTCAATTTCCATCAAGGGGAAAAAGAGGGGCGCGGGGGGCGCGAGGGTCTCAGGCGGCCACAAGGTGGCAGTGTGGGCTCCGTCACGCTGGATGTCCGGAGGGGTGTGTGCCAGTCAAGTGGCTGGACTTCCTGAGATACGGTGACACAGACCACAAAGAAACACTAGGAGCGAGTTTAAATAATATTATTTTCCTTAGTAGTTCTCTTTCTCTCTAACAAGCACTCAAGGGCAAGGATATGATAAATATTTAGGTACACCCCTCCCCACCAAGAGATTGGGGGGTGAAGAGCTGGGCACGCATCTGACATTTCTTCCTCTATTCCTATAAAAATAAAAGGAAGCAGAAATCTGCTTCAATGAGTAAACAAGTCACCTACACTCCAAAATAACCCATGCACACTGTTTCTGGGGAGGGAGATGGCCAGGCCAGGAGAGTTGGGCCACATGATGGGGGACATTCACTCTGCCACCTGCAGCACCCCTGTACTGGGGAGGGGTGGCCAGTGCCACAGTGGACTCTGAGATGAAAGGGTGTTTCTTCCACTGGCCTTTGGCCTGTCACCAGCCTCCTCCGCGGTGGCAGGCAGTACAAGAGTGATGGCAATGTGACTGGAACAGAAATAGTTTCTACCAGGCACACAAAAGCTCCTGTAAGCCCCGTAGTTCCATCCTGCAAAGGGCCTCAGTGGGAACCAGGTCTGCAGACCCGAGTGGGCAGAGAGACGGGTGGAAGCAGGTGCCCCAGATGGTCCCGCAGGCGTCACCGTCTGGTTTGGAGACCTTAAGGGAGTTGTGCTTCAAACTTCTCTCCCAGGGTCTCAGGTGGAGACTAGGGAGTTTGACCTAAAGGTCCTCCAAGGAGAGGCCAAGGTCTTGGAGACAGATCTGGTTTACCATCTTTTAACAAAAGGCAAATGTCTTCTCTTCCTTCAGAAAGAGTCATTAACACTAAAATTCTTTTCTTCGGAGTTTCTTCTTTCCCGATGCATCTCCAGTTTTGTCCCAGATGAAGGCGTCTTTCCCCAGGGTCAGGGTTCCATCACTTGGCCCATGAAAAGGACTGTTCCTGAGGGTGGAAGAACCATGGGGGTTGAGAAGCAGAAGGAGTGGGACAGCTCATCAGGCTGGATGTGGGTGGAAGGACTGAGATCTAGGCAGATGAGTGAGCTGTCTGGAGTCGCAGCTGCCTGAGTCACAGAGCGGGGACCCGGCACTGTCTGTGGGTGATAGAAGGTAGCCTCCTCTTGGGACAGGAAGCAGGGTAGGGTTATGGGTTCCCTGCCCAGAGCCCTCTCAGGGATAGAGGGATGTCTGCATCTGTCGGGACTAGTTCCTGAGAGAAAGAATGGGTGGGAGGATGTGGAACGTGATGGGTTCCAGGCTCACCTGTGGGGTTGTGCCGGACCACAAAGAGGAAGGGTCTGTCCATGATGATCTCCTCGGGGGCCATGCGGGCTGAGACTATGACAGCTGCAAGAGAAGGGACAATGTCTTAGAACAGAGGGATGCTGGCACTGGCACCACCCCCACCCCCGCCGTTTTTCTTAGAGACAGGGTCTCCCTCTGTCGCCCAGGTGGGAGTGCAGTGGCACCTTCATGGCTCACTGCAGCCTTGAACTCATGGGCTCAAGTGATCCTCCCACCTCAGTCTCCCAAGTAACTGGGGCTACAGGTGCATGCCACCATGCCTGGCTAATTTTTTTCTAATTTTTGTAGAGACACAGTCTCATTATATTGCCCAGGCTGGTCTCAAATTCCTGGGCTCAAGCGATCCTCCTGCCTCGGCCTCCCAAAGTGCTGGGATTACAGGTGTGAGCCACTAAGCCCAGCTGGAAGTTGTTTGTTTTCCTGAATATGAACCTTAAAAGTTTAGGGACATCCTCTGAGACCTGGTTTCCTCCAGGAGCTTGGTAGCAATGGATCAGCTCTTCCCTTACACACATTTATCTAAATCCTTTAAGGGCTTATTGATAAGCTCTTTCTTTTCTTTTCTTCTCTTTCTTTCTCTTTCTTTCTTTCTTTCTTTCTTTCTTTCTTTCTTTCTTTCTTTCTTTCTTTCTTTCTTTTCTCTCTCTCTCTCTTTCTTTCTTTCTTTTCTTCAGAGTCATGCTCTATTGCCCAGGCTGGAGTGCAGCAGCGTGATCTCGGCTCACTGCAACCTCTGCCTCCTGGATTCAAGTGATTCTCCTGCCTCAGCCTCCCAAGTAGCTGGGACTACAGGCACATGCCACCACGCCTGCCTAATTTTTGTATTTTTAGTAGAGATAGGGTTTTGCCATGTTGCCCAGGCTGGTCTCGAATTCCTGACCTCAAGTGATCCACCTGCCTTGGTCCCCCAAAGCGCTGGGATTACAGGTGGGAGCCACCATGCCCAGCCTGATAAGCATGTTTCTTAAGTTTACTTCCCACTGTGGGAACAACTTGGGTTTTTCTTTAGGAGGCCTTTTCACAGTCAGGGAACTTAGGAGCCATCAGGCGAGGAAACAGGGTTCCATGGTCCCAAGCCCGTTTTCCAGGCTGAGAAACAGGTGGGGAGTGGGTGATGGCTGAGCACAGACAGAGCTGCTCTGTGCCGAGAGGGCTGCGGGGTCCTTTCCGGGTCTGGGGACCAGTTATCCTGAAGGGCGATGGAGGCGACACCCGTGGAGCCTCACCTGAGCCAGACTCACCTGTGGATGAGGAGGCCACCGTGCCACTCTCGTTCACCTCGATCTTCACTTTCTGCAGCGCCTGCGCGACGTGGAGAGGCTCTTGGTCTGAAACAGATGTGGATACAGGATTAGATCAGCTGCCGCTCTCAAGGAGAGGTTCCTTTTTCCTCTTAGGGGCCCCCGCAGTCCACTGGGGTGAGAAAATGCAAAGGAAAGTCTTCTTACCTGAAAGACTCGTGAAGTCAGCCTGAAACTGTCTGAACATGTCGGTCATTCCCAGGTTCTCTAGGGGCTTCCTGAGGTCGACTTCAGTCTCCAGGGAGAACCTGCAGATAGCAGCAAGAGGCTGCTCAAGCCGGGGTCCCCTCTGGCTGGCAGCTCCCACCTTTCCCCATCCCCTACCAGGTGTCCCCCGAATCAAGTGGCCAGAATAGGGACGGAGGTGAAGGTTGGAGAGGGAGGCCTGGTTCGTTCGTTCTTTCTTTCCTTTCTTTTTCTTTCTTTCTTTCTTTCTTTCTTTCTTTCTTTCTTTCTTTCTTTCTTTCTTTCTTTCTTTCTCTCTCTCTCTTTCTTTCTCTCTCTCTTCTTTCCTTTCCTTTCCTTCCTTCCTTCCTATTTTTCTTTTTTTTTTTTTGAAACAGATTCTTGCTCTGTCCCCCAGGCTGGAGTGCAGTGGCGTGATCTCGGCTCACTGCAGCCTCCACCTCCCAGGTTCATGTGATTCTCTGGCCTCAGCCTCCGGAGTAGCTGGGATCATAGGCGCTCGCTACCACGGCTGGCTAATTTTTGTATTTTTAATAGAGACAGGGTTTCACCATGTTGGCCAGGCTGGTCTCAAACTCCTGACCTCAAGTGATCCGCCCGCCTTGGCCTCCCCAAATGCTGAGATTACAGGCATGAGCCACCACACCCAGCCGGCCTGGTTCTTCTTCTAAAGCTGTTTACAAAGTCCCCCCTTAGAGCTGAAAATCCTAATATTCATGAACATTCTTCTGCAATCTCCCCACCCCCTCCCACCTATGACTAATTACTTTCCTCAAATAAGACAGTAGTTTCAGCATAATTTTATTCAGCCTGGCTGGGGTGGGGGAAGCTAAGGGCAAATTCTCCTGCAAGGATGTTGGAACAAAAATCTGTTCTGCAGATTGTGTTTCTGAGAGCTAACCCTGAAGAGGACTCAAGCAGGGGGCCTTTGTGCACTCTCTGCTTCTCACCAGGGCACAACTAATTACCTCCATTTTTATGAGCCAGAGAGAGAGGAGAAAAAAAAAAAAGAGGAAGAGAGAGGATGCAAGTGAGAGCACGCACCAGCTAACCAACTAAATTCTCCTCTTTCCCCAAGCCTGGCATTATAGCATCCGGAAATTTGGGATGAGCGTGGTGGGAGGCTTCCCTATAATTCTGGAGTTCCCCAGCTCCAGCCTTCTCCTTCTGCAGAAAGATTTCAAAAAATCTCTTTGCTTCCTTCTGCAGAAGGATTTCGAAAAATCTGCTTTCTTGGAACCCCAGCTAGAAGCTGCGCTTTGAGCTGCTCCGTCCTTGGAAGTGATTTCTTTTGTTTGGATGTTGACTTGAAAGGGTTGGGGATGGAAGTGCTGATGGGGCGACCCTAAGTAGATGTGGACTGATTGGGCCCCCACCTCCCTCATTTCTCTGACTCTCCTTTTGGGGGCTTTTGCTGGGTATTCTGGGGATAGTCAATGTGGGGGTGTGGTCAGGAAGAGCTGTCCCCTGCCCTCCAGCAGAAACAGGGGGAGGGATGATTGCAAGACTCATAATCAAACCCAGGCCACAGTTTCCCATCAGCCTCCCACACATGCATGTCCTGCAAGCATCACAGATCTGGGAAATTCAACCTGGGGGCGGTGACTTTAGGGAGCCAGGAGAGAGGGGTTGGTAGGTCGGGGAGATAGCGGGGTGGCTTACTTGGGCAGAACCAGGAGGCGGGGCAGCCTGGTCATGTTGCCTTTCCAGTGGCTGATGAGCTGGGCACTCAGAATGTTGGTGAGGGCAGAGAGAGGCACCTCTTTTTCATAAGGGGCAGCAATGAACATGCTGAGGGTGTCCCCGTGGTAGGGCAGTTCCAGGATGTCGTAGTAATGGCCATCGGGCGTGGTGAACTCAGCTGTGAAGACGACAAGATGGTTCGTTGGAAATGGCTCCAGCTCTCGCTGATGGCAACCCAGCACTGGGTTTTCACCTAGTTCTCCTGGCTTCTCCACTATTTCTGGAAGCCAGGCTCTCTCTCGCTCTTGGCTTTTGGGTATCCCCTGTTCACTGCTCCCCTATTCAGTATTTTAATTTCTATTTCCCTTCTCTTCTGCCAATTCAGTATCTTCTAATTTCTCTCTCTCTGTGTGTGTGCATGTGTGTGTGTGTGTGTGTGTGTGTAAGAGACAGGGTCTCACTGTCACACAGACTGGAGCGCAGTGGTGCAATCATAGCTCACTGCAGCCTCCGAATCCGGTTCAAATGTTCCTCCCGCCTCAGCTTCTGTATTTTGTTTGTTTGTTTGTTTGTTTGTTTTGAGAAGGAGTCTCACTCTGTCGCCCAGGCTGGAGTGCAATGGCATGATCTCGGCTCACTGCAACCTCCCCCTCCCGGGTTCAATAGATTCTCCCACCTCAGCCTCCTGAGTAGCTGGAATTACAGGCACCTGCTATCATGCCCAGCTAATTTTTGTATTTTTATACAGATGGGGTTTCACCATGTTGGCCAGGCTGGTCTTGAACTCCTGACCTCAGGTCATCCACCCGCCTTGACCTCCCAAAGTGCTGGGAATACAGGCGTGAGCCACCGTGCCTGGCCTCACCTCAGCTTCTTGAGTAGACTACAGATGCATGTCACCAAGCCTGGCTAATTAAAAAAAATTTTTTTTTTGTAGAGGCAGGGTCTTGCTATGCTGCCCAGACTGGTATTCAACTTCTGGCCTCAAGCAATCCCCCTTCTCAGCCTCCCAAAGTGCTGGGATTATAGGCGTGAGTCGCCGCGCCAGGCCTTCTCTGTCTCTTTTGGCCTTCCTTCACTTCCATTTTCCCCACACCCAGCCACCAGTTCATCCCAGTCCTCATCCTTTTTTTTTTTTTTTTTTTTTTGAATGGAATTTCACTCTTTTGCCCAGGCTGGGGTGAAGTGGCTCAATTTCGTTCGGCTCACTGCAACCTCCACCTCCCGGGCTCAAGTGATTCTCCTGCCTCAGCCTCCCGAGTAGCTGGGATTACAGGCGCCTGCCACCACACCTGGCTAATTTTTGCATTTTTAGTAGAGACAGGGTTTCACCATGTTGGCCAGGCTGGTCTCAAACTCCTGACCTCAAACTCCTGATCCACCTGCCTTGGCCTCCCAAAGTGCTGGGATTACAGGCGTGAGCCACAGCACCTGGAGTCCTCATCCTCTTAACCTCAACTCCCCCAGCAGGATTTCTCATCCCCAGGTAATCACACTAGCAACACACGAAGATGAGACCCTGGAGTCAGGTGGACAAATGTGGCCCTGAGGGAATCTCTGGATTTCAGCTTCTTCATCCTTCATGGGATAAACCTCCTGTCTTCTGTTCCCATTATCCTGATGTCTCCTGCTTGGGAAATCTTTGTCAAAGCTGGAGTATATTCTAGGGTCTCTCCTCCCTTAAAGGGGAGCATTCCCTGTGGTCTTCCTCCCTCAGAGGGTGACATTTTGGGTATTCCTTGGGAGACCCCAGGAATGAGATGCAGTTGCTGTGGGCTGTGGGGAAGGGGCTCTTGGACTTACTATAGTTGAACTTGTTGGTCTGAGCCATCATGGGCACAGAGACAGTGCTGCCGTCTGATTTGTGGAAGAGGCGGCGGTGGGTGCTGGAGTCGGGGAAGGGAGTCTTCCACTGGCCGTTGAAGTAGAGGGCATTCACCAGCACCAGCCGTGTCAGCTGGTCCACGGCTCCTTTCCCAAGCAAGTTGCTGATCATACCTATGGGAAAATCAATGATCAGGAAGATCAGGAAGTTAGACGATTTTGTTGTTGTTGTTGTTGTTGTTTTGAGATGGAGTCTCACTCTATTGCCAGGCTGGAGTGCAGTGGCGCGATCTCGGCTCGCTGCAACCTCTGTCTCCGGGGTTCAAGCAATTCTCCTGCCTCAGCCTCCCGAATAGCTGGGATTACAGGCGCCTGCCACCATGCCTGGCTAATTTTTGTATTTTTAGTAGAGACGGGGTTTCACCATGTTGGTCAGGCTCGTCTCAAACTCCTGACCTTTTGATCCACCTGCCTTAGCCTCCCAAAGTGCTGGGATTACAGGTGTGAGCCACCATGCCCGGCTGAAGTTAGACAAAGTTTTTAAGCCTTTTAGATGTTTCCCGGAGTCCCCAGTCCTCAATTGGATGTATGTCAAAGGGCTGCAGTCAGGGGTTTAAATGAACCCGTCTAGTTCCTTTTTTTGGAGACAAAGTCTTGCTCTGTCACCCAGGCTGGAGTGCAGTGGCATGATCTCAGCTCACTGCAGCCTCTGCCTCCCGGGTTCAAGTGATTCTTTGAACCTCATCCTCCCGAGCAGCTGGGATTATAGGCATGCGCCAACACACCTGGCTAATTTTTTGTATTTTTGACAGAGACAGGGTTTCACCATGTTGGCCAGGCTGGTCTCGAACTCCTGTGCTCAGGCAATCTGCCCGCCTTGGCCTCTCAAAGTGCTAGGATTAGAGGCGTGAGCCACCGTGCCCAGCCTAAGATTTGGTTCTTAAAGCATCCAGCCCTTTGTCCATAGAGAAGAGAATGCTGAAAAGGAGCATTTTTTAGGATATGTGGATTTGGTTTTTGTTTGTTTTTTAGAGATGAGGTCTTGTTCTGTGACCCAGGCTGGAGTGTGGTGGTGCAAACATAGCTCACTGCAGCCTTGAACTGCTGGACTCAAGTGATCCTCCCACCTCAGCCTCCCAAGTAGCTGGGACTACAGGTGTGCACCACCATGCCCGGCTGGTTTTTAAATTTTTTGAAGAGATGAGGTCTTGTTATGTTGGCCAGGCTGGTCTCAAACTCCAGGCCTCAAGCCTTCCTCTCGCCTAGACCTCCCAAAGTGTTGGGCTGGGATTACAGGTGTGAACTACTGCACCCAACTGGGATATGTGGATTTATTTCCAAATTCCCTTTCTCTTGAGGCCCAGGAAATGGGTTTCCTTTCCCTGCCTGCTCACCTTTTGTGTGTGTCTTCACCCAGTCATTGATGATGAATCTGGCTCTCTCCACCTCTGAAAAGTCCACTTGCTTGACCGTGCTCCGGAACAGCCTGAAGAAGTGGGGCATGAAGCCCTGGACCAGCTTCAGATCCCGCTGGACGAAGATCGCGTCTGTGGTGCTGATCTCATCCTTGTTCCATGGCCCCATGAGCTCCTTGTACAGATGCCGGAGGGCGGGGGCCATGCCCTTGTCTGCACCGGGACAGAGAGGAGAGGACATGTGAGGCTTATGCTGAATTGAGGGTTCCCAGCCGAGCCCACTTCCCCCACAAGGGGCTCCACTCTGATGGATGGGGGCTACCGTGCTTTCCCAGGGCTCTCTGGAGGGAGATTTCATTCCAGGATGAAATCTCTTTTCTGTATCTCCTTCCTTTCTTCAAAAGTCTCAGATCCCAACCCTTTCTTTGGGCTAGAATATTTTTCTCTGTTCTTAAATTATGAACCCTAAATATTTTCTTCCTGTTTTTTTTTTTTTTTTTTTTTTGAGTTGGAGTTTTGCTCTTGTCTCCCAGGCTGGAGTGCAATGGCGCGATGTCAGCTTACTGCAACCTCTGCCTCCTGGATGAACCCTAAATATTTTCTTTCTTCTTCTTTTTCTTTTTTTTTTTTTTTCAGACAGGGCTTCCCTTTGTTGCCCAGGCTGAAGTGCAGTGGTACAATCATAGCTCACTGCAGCCTCCAGCTCCTGGGCTCAAGCCATCCTCCCACCTCAGCCTCCTGAGTAGTTGGGACTACAGGTATGTGTCACCACATCTGGCTAATTTGTAAATTTTTTTGTAGAGGCAGGGGTCTCCCTGTTGCTCAGTCTTGTCTCGAACTTCTGGCCTCAAGTGATCCTCCTGCCTCAATCTTCCAAAGTGCTGAAATTACAGTCATAAGCCACCTTGCCTGGCCTTAGTTTTTTTTTTCTTTTCCTTTCTTTCTTTGTTTCTTTGTTTCTTTCTTTCTTTCTCTCTCTCTCTTTCTTTCTTTCTTCTTCTTTCTTTCTCTCTCTTCTCTCTCTCTCTCTCTTTCTTTTCTTTTTTTTGACAGGTCTCACTCTGTCACCCAGGCTGGAGTGCAATGGTGTGATCTCAGCTCACTGCCACCTCCACCTCCCGGGTTAAAGTGATTCTTGTGTCTCAGCTTCCTGAGTAGCTGGGATTACAGGTGCACCACCTCATCAGACTAATTTTTATATTTTTATTAGAGACGGGGTTTCACCGTATTGCCCAGGCTGGCCTTGAACTCCTAGCCTTGGGTGATCCTCCTGCCTCAAACTCCGAAAGTGCTGAGATTACAGGCATGAGGCACTGTGCCTGGCCTTAGATTTTTTTCCTATAGTGATGGCTATGCTAAGTATTTCACAAGTGTAATTCCATGAATTCTTTTATTTTTTTTTTTTGAGACGGAGTCTCTCTCTGTCGCCCAGGCTGGAGTGCAGTGGCACGATCTCAGCTCACTGCAAGCTCTGCCTCCTGGGTTCATGCCATTCTCCTGCCTCAGCCTCCCGAGTAGCTGGGACTACAGGCGCCTGCCACCACGCCTGGCTAATTTTTTTTGTATTTTTAGTAGAGATGGAGTTTCACTGTGTTAGCCAGGATGGTCTTGATCTCCTGACCTCATGATCCGCCCGCCTTGGCCTCCCAAAGTGCTGGGATTACAGGCGTTTGAGCCACCGCGCCCGGCTCATGAATTCTTTAGGACAGCAAATAATCCTCATTTTGTAGATGGGCAAACTTAACGAGGTTAAGATCACACGGTGGTGAATAAGCGGTAAATCTACTGGTCAGACACCCTTGGAGATTCAAGGGTCCAGTGACTTGGAGTGTAGTGGGAAGAAGATGGGGTGGCCCCTGCAGCACAGCTGTATGGGGCTTGGCTCGGCTAAGCCAGAGCCAGCCTTTCCTTGGCTTCTGGTAGGTCTGTTCTGCATGCCACCCACCTCCCCTGGTGTCCCGTGGCTCACCATCAATCTTGAATCCCATAGCTGCTTGAATCTGCTGCTGGGTTTCTCCTCCTGTTGTCAGCTGGAGCATGGCCAACACCGAGGCCACCCCATAGGGTGAGAAAACCACGTTGCGGTCCTTGGAGGCCTGCGCCACCTGCTGAAACACCCTCACCCCGAAGTCTGAGGCCAGGTGGGCCACGTAGGATGGGGGATGGTGCACAGCAGACCCTTCACCAAAGACAAGGGCCAGGCCCAGGACTAGGCAGGTGAGGGCTGGAGACATCTGCATCCTAGAGCAATGGAAAGAGGGCTGGTGAAGGAATCGTTCTGGAAGACAGGCGGGAGGGGAGGGGAGCTGGCCAGCTGTGGGCCCTGCTCTTCTTGTTTCCTGCAAGCAGGTGGTAAGTGAACACTAGGGCAAGGTGCAGGAAGAGACCATGACATGTTCAGGTTCTAAGCCCATCCCACTCCGTCTCACTCAGACTGACTTATCCCCGGGCAGTGGCAGGGAGTCTTCGCCCATCTTGCCCTGTGGGAATCTTGGAATCCAGTCCATCTCCCTTCCCTCTGTGTCCCGTAAAAAAGCCTTAGAAGAAAAGCAGGTGAGAAGTCATTACCACTCTCTGCCTTTGCAGCCCAGGGGGAATTTAGCCCAGACTCAATTATCAATTATCACAACATCTTTGATTTGCATAAGCTTTAAATTTGCTTTCTTTTCTTTTCTTTCTTTTCTTTCTTTCTTCCTCTTTCCTCTTTCTTTCTTTCTTTCTTCTTTACTTCCTTCCTTCTTTCCTCTCTCTCTTTCTCTCTCTTTCTTCCTTCCTTTCATTCATTTTTAGAGACAGGGTCTTGCTCTGTCACCCAGGCTGGGTGCAATGGCTCAGTCTTGGCTCCCTGCAGCCTCCGCCTCCCCAGCTGAAGCAATCCTCCCACCTCAGCCTCCCAAGTAGCTGGGAATACAGGCACACCAGCACGCCCAGCTAATTTTTGTATTTTTTTGGGAGAGCAGGGTTTTGCCATGTTGCCCAGGCTGGTCTCAAACTCCTGGGCTCAAGTTATCTGCCTGCCTCAGCCTCACAAAGTGCTGGGATTACAGGCATGAGCCACAGTGCCCAGCCTTAATTCTCTTAATGCTTTCCCAGCGATTGTTTCATTCAAGTTAGCAGGCATGAGGTGGGAAATGGGTAAGTGTCTTGATGCAGAGGGACTGAGAGAGTCAAGGTTCTTGTTACTGGGTGATGGGGTTGTTGGTGACGCCTGACCATCCTCCCTGCTCTCCTGCAGTCACCCCTAGGGCAGGGTCGACCCAAGGCTGCAGGTCCGAGGAAAAGAAAATAGAGGAATAGCGGGGGATCATGGAGGGAGGAGATTCTGGGGAGGCGAGTTCTCTGCCTTAAGCCCGAAGTAAGAGGTTGGAGGGAGTTTGCTTTTCTCCTACCTGAAGTTCTCAGAGGTGCCTTGCGATTGGCGGTTCGTCCTGCTCTGGCGGCGGCTGCTGAGCTGCAGGAATTCAGCTGCTGGAGGGGGGCGTGTGGGTCTTCTTGACAGCGCTCTTGGCCCTGCAGCCAAACACAGCTGTGCTCCTCTGTGGGCCACTGCCTCCTTTTATACCAGATGTGGGCAGGAAATAGATGAACTCATGTTCCAGCCCCACCCACTCACTGGCTCTGGGAGTCCGTCTGAACAGCCAGCGGGTCCCCCTCGACACCTCCCTCTCTGGGACTTGCTGAGGCATGTGTGTGTGTGTGTGTGTGCTGCTCTGTGTGTGTACGTGTGTAAGAGCATTCAGGAACAATTGAGCAAACCCCAATAGCCTTGGCCTGAGAACCTCCCTTGACCTTTCTGCCCTCTGCCTGTGTCTGTCTCTCCCGGATGTCCTGCCAGGTTGACTGTCTGCCATGCCGGGTGACCCAAAAAGCCTAGGACCCCTAGTGTTCAGCTTGGAGAAAAAAAAAACAGCTCACGTTGCCTGCTTTTCCTTTGGCGAACCAGGTCACTGTGGAGTTATCAAAGATAACCTCCATCAAAACGTGGAAGTTTTCCCCCAGGGCTGTCCACCCGGTGCTCTGGACCACCTCCAGGAAAGAGCGCCCCTCCCTCCTCCTGGGCCCAGCCCAACAGCCACAGGGCATGCAGCCAGCCACGTGATTGTCTAGGTTTTGTCTGTCTAGGACTTGGGCCCAACAGAGGACTCTTGGTCTTTCCCTCATCCCTGCCATGTGCCCGGCCGCCTCCGATGATACACGGCTGACTCCCCACGTGTCCAGACTCTCTCTGTGCCCCTGAGGGCTCTCTTGTGTCAACAACCTTGTCTGGCTGAGGTTGGAGGTGTGCTGGGTGGGGTGGTGGTGGCTGAACGGGACCAGGGGTTACCATGGTAAAAGCTTGGTAAGGAAACAGGAGACCAACGTGTAAGTTTCACTTCTTCGAGCTGCCCGCTAGGACTTGGGGCAGCTTGTCCTTTATCCTCTTCCTCCAGACACAGACACAAGGGGAAAAGGGATAGAAACAGAGTGTCAATTCATGGCAGGTTTGCAGGGTGTGCTTTTAGGGCAAGGGGGTGAGGGGAGGAAGAGTGACCGATAGATTCTGTGGAGCAGTGGTCCTCAACGTTTTTGGCACCAGGGACTGGTTTCATGGAAGACAATTTTTTCACAGACCAGGGTGGGATGGTTTCGGGATGATTCAAGCACATTACATTTATTGTGTGCTTTATTTCTATTATTATTACATTGTAATATATATAATGAAATAATTCCACAATTCACCATCGTGTAGAATCAGTGGGAGCCCTGAGCTTGTTTTCCTGCAACTAGATGGTCCCATCTAGGGGTGATGGGAGACCGTGACAGATCATCAGGCATTAGATTCTCATAGGGAGCTTGCAACCTAGATCCCTCACATGAACAGTTTAGAATAGGGTTCGAGCTCCTATGAGAATCTAATGCCGCCGCTGATCTGACAGGGAGTGGAGCTCTGGTGGTAATGCGAGTGATGAGGAGTGGCTGTAACTACAGATGAAATTTCACTCACCTGCCACTCACCTCCTGTTATGCAGCCTGGTTCCTAACAGGCTATGGACCAGTACGGGCCCCTGGCCCAGAGGTTGGGTACCTCTGCTGTAGAGGGTGGAAACTGGCTAGCAGTGGGTGAGCATGTAGGGCTAGACTAGTGGATTTTGTTGTTGTTGTTGTTTTTTGTTTTTTTTGTTTTTCTGTTTTGAGACGGAGTCTTATTTTGTTGCCCAGGCTGAGTGCAGTAGCACTATCTTGGCTCACTGCAATCTCCGCCTCCCAGGTTCAAGTGGTTCTCCTGCCTCAGCCTCCCGAGTAGCTGGGATTACAGGTGTGCACCACCACGCCCGGCTAATTTTTGTATTTTAGTAGAGACGGGGTTTCACCATGTTGGTCAGGCTGGTCTCGAACTCCTGACTTCGTGATCCGGCTGCCTCGGCCTCCCAAATGCTGGGATTACAGGCATGAGCCACCGCGCCCAGCTGGATTTGGGGTTTTGACAGGGTCAGGTGCCCTTGGCCGTGTGGTCTGGATGTTGTGGATGGAAGGGTGGCCAGGGTGCTGCCCAGGGGGTCCTGTATTGGAGAGATGGCATACTTGGGGTCCACGGACTGTTGGGTTTAGTGTATGTGGTGGGGTTCAGTTGGGAGAATCCATGGCAACAGCTGATAGCAGAGTCACAGGAAGTTTCAGTGGGTGGAAGCGTCGGATGTTTGTTTTGGATTTTTTCAGTAAACAGATACCAAGGGCAACCACACTGAGCAGCCCTCCTGCTTTTTAATCTGCCTTAGGCTTTGTTTTCTCACAGCTGGCAGGGAAAGAGAGGAGAACCACAGTCGGAAAGTTAGGCTCACAGACACATTAGGAGAACTCTTCCTGTGAAACTGCCTCTTGTTTATGTCTTTTTCCTTTTCTTAGTTGTGGTTTGGAGTCCCTGAGAGTGTGGTTAGCGGTGAGGAAGAAGCAACTGCCCTGACCTCTTGGAAGAAGACAAGTCCAGCCCCAAACCCATCTCTTTTTTTTTTTTTTTTTGGAGACAGGGTCTCACTCTGTCACCAAGGCTGGAGTGCAGTCATGTGATCATAGCTCACTGCAGACTTGAACTCCTGGGCTCAAGCAAGTATCGGGGACTACAGGCAAGCACCACCACGCCCAGCTAATTATTATTTTTTCTTATAGAGACAGAGTCTTGCTATGTTGACCAGGCTGGTCTCAAATTCCTGGGCTGGAACAATCCTCTCACCTTTGCCTCCCAAAGTGTATAAGCCAACATGCCCAGTCCCGAACTTAACTCTTGTCCTCAAAAGTACCCCAAGACAGGGCATGGTGGCTCACACCTGTAATCCTAGCACTTCGGGAGGCCAAGGCAGGTGGATCACTTGAGGCCAGGAGTTCAAGACCAGCCCGGCCAATATGATGAAACCCCATCTCTACTAAAAATATAAAAATCAGCTAGGCATGGTGGTGCGTGCCTGTAATCCTAGCTGCTTGGGAGGCTGAGGCAGGAGAATCGCTTGAACCTGGGAGGTGGAGGTTGCAGTGAGCCGAGATCATGCTATTGCACTCCAGCCTGGGTGACAGAGCAAGAATCTGTCTCAAAAAAAAAAAAAAAAAAAGTACCCCGCAAGGCTTTGCTCTCTGACCTTAAGGATCAGAGGGGAACAGGGATCAGGCAGTACCAAGCCTCGAAGACTTGAAAGTTCAATGGGTCTAGACATAGCTAGATGTGGCCTCCTCAGGTGTCTGACGCCAGCCTCTCCAGGCTGCAGCTTAGCCTCCATCCCTTCCTCTGCCTGTCATACCAGGAGCCATTGTCCCATACCTTGCCAGGTCTCTGCTGTTTTCTGTGGACAGCCAGAGCTCTGCAGGAGCAGTCACCAATTTAGTCCCCACTCATAGATTGGGTGGATGATCCTGATGCCAATCCAAAATAGACACCCCTGCTGGGTGTGGTGGCTCACACCTGTAATCCCAGTCTTTGGGGAGGCTGAGGCAGGAAGATCACTTGAGCCCAGGAATTTGAGCCAGCCTGGGCAACACAGTGAGATCCCATCTCTACCAAAAAAAAAAAAAAAATTAGCCCAGTGTGGTGGCGTGTGCCTATGGTCCCAGCTACATGGGAAGCTGAGGTAGGAGGATCGCTTGAGCCTAGGAGCTCAAGGCTGGAGTGAGCTATGATTGCAACACTGCACTCCAGCCTGGGTGACAAAGAGAGACCCTGTCTCAAAGGACAAAGCAAAGAGCAAAAAGGACATTCCATCCTTGGGCACGGGAGAGCTGGGGAGCAGCTCTAGTCCTGATTGGGGTGGAGGGTGGGGAGCGTTTTACTTTGGACTCAGAAGTGGCTGACTTACTAAGAGGTCTTTTCCCAAATCGGTGGAAACTTGTAGGCATAGGGAAGATGTGTATTAGAAACTGAGGCAAAACCTGTGTTATCGGGTCCATGTGAAGTTTCCGATTTCTCCATTGACTCTGATGAGCTGGGGCTGCCTAGCTACTCTAGAACCCAGACTTGGAGTGAAACCCCGTCTCTACTAAAAAAAAAAAAGTACAGAAATTAGCCAGGCATGGCGGCACGTACCTGTAGTCCCAGCTACTCAGGAGCCTGAGGTGGGAGAATCTCTTGAACCCAAGAGGTGGAGGTTGCAGAGAGCTGAGATTGCACCACTGCACTCCAGCTTGAGCGAAAGAGCAAGATTGTCTCAAAAAAATAAATAAATAAAAAGAACCCAGACTTGGCCATGACCCCTGCCTCTACTTCATGCACGTGGCCCTGCCTTCTCTTACCTGCCTTAGGAGCCGAGCCCTTCCATACCAGGGTCCAGCTGCCTGCGGGCTGCTCCCCACCGACCTCTCAGAGAAACCCTCTTCTCAGAATCTGACTCAAGGGGTTATCACTTTCCCCTTTTCCCCTGAATCCTAAGTTCTCTCTTTCTTGATCCAATCCTCTCTTTCCAGCTTGAGCTCTTTTGTAAGGGGTCACACGGGCACAGAAAGAAAAGTCCATGCTGATGAAATAGCTAGATCTCTGGCTTCCGGAGGGTCAGAGATAAGAGAGTGAGTTACCGGGCTGTGGATTTCAGGGGAAAGTTCTGATTCCAGCTACTGGGAAAGATGTCTCCATCTGTCCCTGAGCAGGTGGTTCGTGACTGTAGATCACACTCAGATTTTCCATGACTGTCCCTCTGTCCCCCACCCACTGGTGGGCCCTGGGTGGACACTGGCCTTCCCACCACCCATCGCCCCCTGACCTCCCGCCTTCTGGCCCGATCTCTGCTCTTCCTCTTTGCTTCTGTCTTCCCCGCTTTCTTTTTCACTTTCCCTTTCTCTCTCTGAGCCTCCCGCTTCCTGCTCCCTTCTCTCTGACCTCCTGCCTACCCTTTCTTCCCCGAGCCTTCCCTCCTGTCCCCTCTCCTCCGCTGCAGGAGGTTGCCCCCCATTTCCACTCTCTCTCTCTCTCTCTCTCTGACTCAGTCCCTCTGTCCCTCTGGAATCCCAGAATCCCTTTTACAGTCAAATGCTCAGCTCCCAAGCCCTTCCGGTGGGGAAGAGAGCACTGCCTGTTACACAGGCTCCCTGGAATGTGGGGCCCAGCCTCCCTGATTCCTGGTGATTTCACTGGGAGAGCCGGGGGTTGGAGAAGGCAGGGTCTTGCTAACAGCACTATTTCTGGCTTGGTTGCTCTCCAAACAACACAACTCCAAAAATAGCCTGTGTTTGGGCTCGGCTCTCTCCCCTTCTCTAGGAGGGAACCAGTGCTGGGTGTCTCCACCGCCTTTTTTTTTTTTTTTTTTGAGATGGAGTCTTGCTCTGTTGCCCAGGCTGGAGTGCGGAGGTGTGATCTTGGCTCACTGCATCCTCCGCCTCCCAGGTTCAAGCGATTCTCCTGCCCCAGCCTCCCGAGTAGCTGGGATTATAGTCATGCGCCACCATGCCTGGCTAATTTTTGTATTTTTAGTAGAGACTAGTTTCCCCATGTTGTCCAGGCTGGTCTCGATCTCCTGACCTCATGATCCACCCACCTCGGCCTTCCAAAGTGCTGGGATTATAGGCGTGAGCCACTGCGCCTGGCCCTCCACTGCCTTTTATTTAAGATCGTGGCTCTGGGACAGCCTGTCCAGGGGCCCTTCCTTACCCTGGCTCTGTGACTGACTTCCCCCTCCTCTCCTGCTGTATCCCCTCTCCCCTGCCAGCCCCTGGCCGGTCATTTCTCTTTAAACTCCCTAACACTCTAACTGGTGCTGCCTTACCCAATGTAGCCCTTGCTTGTCCACAATTGCATTTTTTTTTTGAGTGGGGGCCACGTTCTGTTGCCCAGGTGGGAGTGCAGTGGCACAATCATGGCTCCCAGCCTTGGCACAGTCATGACTCACTGCATTTCGACCTCCCAGGCTCAAGAGATCCTCCCATCTCAGCCTCCTGAGGAGTTGCTAGTTGGGACTACAGGTGTGCACCACCATGCCCCGCCAATTTTTTTTTTTTTTTTTTTTTTTTTTTGAGACAAAGTTTCGCTCTTCTTGCCCAGGCTGGAGTGCAATGGTGTGGTCTCAGTTCACTGCAACCTCTACCTCCCAGGCTCAAGCAATTATAGTGCTTCAGCCTCCCAAGTAGCTGGGATTACAGGCATCTGCCATCACGCCCAGCTGATTTTTGTATTTTTAGTAGAGACGGGGTTTCACCATGTTGGCCAGGCTGGTCTTGAACTCCTGACCTCAAGTGATCCGCCTTCCTCAGCCTCTCAAAGTGCTGGGATTACAGATGTGAGCCACTGTGCCCCGCCTAATTTTTTTTTTTTCAGAGATGAGGGTCTCTTTATGTTGCCCAGGCTAGTCTCAAACTCCTGGGCTCAAGGTTGGAGTGCAGTGGTGCCATTTCAGCTTACTGCAGCCTCTACCTCCCGGGATTAAGTGATCCTCCCACCTCAGCCTCCCAGTAGCTGGGACCACAGATGTACACCATGACACCTGGCTAATTTTTTGTATTTTTGGTAGAGACGGGGTTTTGCCACGTTGCCCAGGCTGTTCTTGAACTCCTGAGCTCAAGTGACCGACCTGCCTCAGCCTCCCAAAGTGCTGTGGTTACAGGCATGAGCCACCATGCCTGGCCCTAACCCAGTTCTTTTAATTTACAAGTGAGGGCACTTAGGTCCAGAGAGGTCCACTGTGGTTGAAGCCACACAGTGACTACACCATAAATGAGAGAATAGTGATCATTGGATCAGACAGACCCGGCCACTAGTTAGGAATCTGACATTGGCTATGTGACTAGGTAAAACTTAATCCCTTCTCCTTCTCCTTCTCTTCCTCCTCCTCTTCCTCCCCTCCCCCTCCCTCCCTTCCTTCCTTCCCTATGATTTAGGGATCACAGCCTCAGTATTCTTATTTGTAAAAGACAGATAACGATTCCCATCTTTCAAGGTTGCAATGAGAATTACATAAAACGTCATCTGCCAAATGTCCAACACATTTGGCAAGAACAAATGTTCTCCTTTGTGGCAGCCGCTCTTGGTGGGCAGCAGAGCCAGGACAGGAACCCAGACAGTCTGAGCTGTTCATTTTGATATAATGCAAGCTCCTTGAGGGATGGATGTTTGAGGTGTTTGTTTTTACGTCTCTCAGCATTTAGCGGAGCGTGGGCGTTAAATGCCTCGGAAGTGGGCTGGCTGCTTACCCGAGGGGATGCCTGGCAGCCCCTCTCATCTGTTTCATACCAGATCCTTCTGCTGTCTCCCTGGTCCTGACACGCTCCCATTGGCTGACTTTGCAGGTTTCAGATCCCAGGAAGATATTCCCCTCTGGGCTGCAGGTCATGGATGTACCCCGCTTTTGTCCCAAGTGTATCCTTATTTTCTGAGCATACCAGGGAGGAAGGAGACTTGATTTACCAAAATGGAGTTGAGCTCGACCCACTCTTCCAGGCTAGGCCCCTGCAGCCTCCATCTCCCATCTCTCATCGATTCCTCTATGGCACCTATAATGCTTTAATCACTTAAAAAAAATGTATGCTCTACCATAGCCAATTTTATCTTTTTTTTTTTTTGAGACAGAGTCTCACTCAGTCACCCAAGCTAGAATGCAGTGACGCGATCTCAGCTCACTGCAACCTCCACCTCACGGGTTCAAGCAATTCTCGTGCCTCAGCCTCCTGAGTAGCAGGGACTACAGGCCTGCACAAACATGCCCAACTAATTTTTGGATTTTTAGTAGAGACAGGGTTTCACCATGTTGGCCAGGCTGGTCTCAAACTCCTGAGCTCAACTGATCTTCCCACCTCAGCTTCCCGAAGTGCTGGGTTTACAGGCATGAGCCACCGCGCCCAGTCTATTTTTTTTTTTTTTTTTTAAGATAGGGTCTCACTTTGTTGCCCAGGCTGGAGTGCAGTTGTGTGATCATGGCTCACTGCAGCCTCCAACTCCTGGGCTCAAACAATCCTCTCACCTCAGCCTCCTGAGCAGCTGGGACCACAGGCATGCACGACCACACCCAGCTAATTTTTAGCTTTTATCACTTTTATATATTTGCATTCTCCCTTGTCTTACAGTTATTTCTGTATTTAAACTTATGTGGCCATCAAAGTGTCTTATTTCCTGAGGGCACTTAGTGCTGGGTCTTTTGTAATGTGGGTATTCCAAATGTCCTTTCACCATCAGGCAAGAATGAGCCTTCCTGGCCGGGCACAGTGGCTCATGCCTGTAATCCCAACACTTTAGGAAGCCAAGGTGGCAGGATTGCTTGAGGCCAGGAGTTCGAGACCAGCCTGGGCAACACAGGGAGACCCCCCCCCCCAACCTCTACAAAAAATAAATAAATGAGTCAAGCATGGTGGCATGTGCCTGTAGTCCCAGCTTCTTGGGAGGCTAAGACAGGAGAGTCACTTGAGTCCAGGAGTTTGAGGCTGCAGTGAGCCGTAATTGCATTGCTGCACTCCAGCCTGGGCAACAGAGTGAGACTCTGTCTCAAAAAAAAAAAAAAAAAAAAGAGAAAAGGAATGTGCCCCCAGTGTGGTCACCAAGGGGAATTTCAATGGCAGGGAATGGTGGAGCACCGGGCTCCTGGGGTAGATGTGAACATGGAGCTGATTACGTCAGGCTGATGAGGTAGTGCAGGCCTGCAGGGTGCCTCCAGGCCACTGGCCAGATTCCATCCCTCCATCCACTTCTCTTTACCCACATATGTGGCTTATCTGACTCTGATTCACTTTCGTTCATCTTTACCAGAACTCGTTCCTCATTCTCTACATTCTTGTGTCTCTCTTTACGCCTTTCTCTGGACACATTCTGTTCTTTGTTGTTGTTCCTGTTTGTTTTGAGAAAGGGTCTTGCTCTGTTGCCCAGGCTGGAGTGCAGTGGCACGATCATGGCTCGCTGCAGCCACTACCTCCTGGGCTCAAGCCATCCTCCTGCCTCAGCCTCCTGAGTAGCTGGGACTGCAGGCGCACACCACCAGGCCTGGCTAATTTAAAACATTTTTGTAGAAATGGGGTCTCACTCGGCTGGGAACAGTGGCTCAAGCCTGTAATCCCAGCACTTCGGGAGGCTGAGGCGGGCGGATCACGAGGTCAGGAGTTCAAGACCAGCCTGGCCAATATGATGAAACCCCGTCTCTACTAAAAATACAAAAATTAGCCGGGTGTGGTGATGCACACCTGTAGTCCCAGCTACTCAGGAGGGCTGAGGCAGGAGAATTGCTTGAACCTGGGAGGTGGAGGTTGTAGTGAGCCGAGATCATGCTACTGCACTCCAGCCTGGGCAATATAGCAAGACTCCATCTCAAAAAAAAAAAAGAAAGAAAACAAAGAAATTGGGTCTCACTATGTTGCCCAGGCTGGTCTTGAACTCCTGGGCTCAAGTGATCCTCTCACCTCTGCCTCCTGAGTCGCTGGAACTATAGGCTCGCAACACCACGCCTGGCTTGGACACAGACGTTCTTTTGCTAGTCTCCATTCTGGCTCTGGATGTGACTATAAAGACTGAGCTCCCACTGAGCTGGGCAGGTGTCCAGAGAGACGGTGACCCAAGGTCAGTGGGGGATGGGTGGGGGTGGAGGTCCCAGGGATGAAGCCGTCTGGGTGATACAGTGCAGATGGAATTCACCATGGGATGCCAGCATGCCCAGAGTCACTGGCCATTCTTATCTGCCCAGCTTCCCCTCCATATGGGAGCAGGCTTCTTGCATGTCTCTTCATCTGAGTCACCCTGGGCCCCCTCAGCTCTCCTCACCACTGTCATGCAGCTGGGCTGCTGGCTTGCTTGGATCTGTCTGGGCCCAGAGCCCATCCCAGACCCCCTTGTGTAGGTTTGTGGCTGGAGGGCTGGAGAGCAGTGAGGTGTAGGAGAGGAGGGGAGCAGGGAGCCTGACCTGGCCGGGGGTGTGGGACATGGGATGGCTGCCTCCTGCTTTCCTCCAACACAGCCAGTGAGAGCATGGAGTGGCATCTTAGGGTCTTTTCTGGGGTGGTTGTTATGGGACCTTCGCAGATGCATAGGACCAACACTGTCCTTGTCTCAGGAGCTTGTGAGGTAGTCTCTGTCCTGAGCAACGCCCTCTACTCCAGTGCAGACCGAATGCCACGTAGGAGGACTTTCCCGAGGCTGCCCACACTTGGCTTCCTCCTCCTTTTTTTTGAGACAGTCTTGCTCTATCACCCAGGTTGGAGTGCAATGGCGCAATCCCCTCCCGGGTTCAAGCGATTTTCCTGCCTCAGCCTCTCGAGTAGCTGGGATTACAGGCCCATGCTAACACGCCTGGCTAATTTTTATATTTTTAGTAGAGATGGGGTTTTGCCATGTTGGCCAGGCTGGTCTCGAACTCCTGATCTCAAGTGATCTGCCCGCCTTAGTTTCACAAAGTGCTGGGATTACAGGGGTGAGCCACCTCGCCTGGCCTCTTCCTGCTTGGACAGAGCGAGACTCCATCTCCAAAAAAAAAGAAAAAAAAAAAGGATTCAAATCCAACCTGCTACTGAGCCCTTTGTGTTTGCTCTGGACGCAGACTTCTCCCATGGCCATTGCTATAACCAGACAGCTCTGGCTCCAGTGAGCTGGGCGATCGTGAACAGGTCCTTTACCTTCTAGAGCCCCAGTCTCTGGAGAAAGAAGCCGACAGGGCACATGTACAAGCAGGAAATTCTGGGCAACTCCCATTTCTCCCCTGAGTCTTAATTTTCTTTCCTGTAAAGTAGAGATAATGATGCCAATTCCATAACAGTGGCATTAGGATTTCAGCGGATGGTATGAATGAAATGACCAACTGCATCCATCCATAGAAAGTCGTTAGTAGGTTGCAAAAATGGTGGCCGGGGGCAGTGGCTCTTGCCTGTAGTCCCAGCATTTTCAGAGGCCAAGGCGGGCAGATCATGAGGTCAGGAGACGGAGACCATCCTGGCCAACATGGTGAAACCCCATCTCTACTAGAATACAAAAAAAAAAAAAAAAATTAGCCAGGCATGGTGGCGGCCGCCTGTAGTCCCAGATACTTGGGAGGCTGAGGCAGGGGAATCGCTTGAACCTGGGAGGCAGAGCTTGCAGTGAGCTGAGATCGCACTACTGCACTCCAGCCTGGTGATAGAGCAAGACTCTATCTCATTAAAAAAAAAAAAAAAAGTAATTATTTGGCTGGGCATCGTGGCTGGTGGCGTACGGCTCACATGGGCGGACTACATGAGGTCAGGAGTTCGAGACCAGCCTAGCCAACGTGGCAAAACCCCGTCTCTACTAAAAATACAAAAATTAGCCAGGTGTGGTGGTGCGCGCCTGTAGTCCCAGTTACTCGGGAGGCTGAGACAGGAGAATTGCTTGAGCCTGGGAGGTGGAGGTTGCAGTGAGGTGAGATCGCCCCAACTGCACTCCAGCCTGGGTGACAGGGTGGAATTCTGTCTCCAAAAGAAAAAAAAAGAAAAGTAATTATTTTAAAAAATATATCTTTTCTTGAGCCCACTGGTTTCCTGAGGGTCTCCTGTGCTAGAAGGGGATTCACCAATGAGGCTCTAAGGTGATGAAACTCCAGACAGTCAGCAGGTCGTGCTGGGCCAGGGCCTGCTGGGGCAGGGAAGGCCACCAAGGGCTCTGGCCTGTGTCTGGCACTGGCCTGTAAGAACTGTGGAAAAGGAGGCCCAACTAGGTCATTAATACCACAGTAAGAACTTGGATCTAGGCTGGGTGAGGTGGCTGATGCCTGTAATCCCAGCACTTCAGGAGGCTAAGACTGGAGGATCATTAGAGGCAAGGAGTTTGAGATCAGCCTGGGCAATATAGCCAGACCCTGTCGCTACAATATATGTATTAAAAAATTAGCTAGGTGCAGTGGTGCACACCTGTGGTCCCAGCTACTGGGGAGGCTGAGGCGGGAGGATCTCTTGAGACCAGGAAGTCAAGGTTGCAGTGAGCCGTGATCACACCACTGCACTCTAGTCCAGCCTAGGCTGCAGAGCAAGACCCTGTCTCTAAAAAAGACAAAAAAGGCCAGGTGTGGTGGCTCATGCCTGTAATCCCAGCACTTTGGGAGACCAAGGCAGGTGGATCTCCTGAGGCCAGGAGTTCAAGACCAGCCTGACCAACATGGTGAAACCCCGTCTCTACTAAAAATCCTAAAATTAGCTGGGTGTGGTGGCACACGCCTGTAATCCTAGCTACTTGGGAGGCTGAGGCTTGGGAATTGCTTGAACCCAGGAGGCAGAGGTGGCAGTGAGCCAAGATCGCGCCACCGTACTCCAGCCTAGGTGACAGAGCGGTCTCAAAATAAATAAATAAATAAAAATTAAAAAATAAAAACAAATTAAAAAGACAAGAAGCAAACAAAGAACTCGGATCCAAAGCTGACCCCTCCAGGCTGCAATCCTGATGCCCCCACTACTCCCAGGGCCCGAAGCCCCATCTGAGAGTTATGACATGCTCTCCCCCTGAGTCCCCTTCCTGGGGGGCTCTGATGAGTCCCCTCTGTGCCCCCACCCCCATCTGTGTCAGGATCTCCCGGGACTGTGTGAGTAACGGCTGATGCAGGCAGGACAAGTAACTGTTATTCACACAACAGCACTGCCTTCCCGGGTGCCTGGGGGAGGGAGCCGGGGCTGTTGGGGTGAGGGGGGCTGAGGTGGCAGATATGAGGCAGCTAAGACTTGACAGAGGGCTCCGGGGCCCCTTCTGCTCTGTCTGGGAGGGCAGGATGATCTGGGCGCATTGAGCACCCCCGGGATCAGACTTGGGCTCTTTCCTGCAATCAGCACTCAGGCTAGGGGCTAAGACAGGGGAGAGGAGGCCATCGCCATCCCCACCGCATCTCCCCCTTCTCCCCACCTCACAAAACCCTACAGGGAGTGCCATGGGCGGGAGAGTTGGCACAGGTATTGGGCAGAACCACCCCCGCCCTGTGATGACATTGGAGGTTAGCCTCAACTGTTACCTGTCCATCTGAGCTGCTTGCCTTCCTCATTAGCTGGGAGAGTCTTGCAGCAAATGGTGGGAGAACCCGATTTGGGAGTATGAAATTCAAGGTGGTAAGGTGTGTCCCCACCTGCGTGGAACTTCCTCATCTGTCCAGTCTGGGTTTGCTCCATGGACTCACACTGCTCCACTGCAGAGGGGAAGGACCACTTGCTTTTTCTTCTTCTTTTTGTTTATTTTTTTGAGACGGAGTTTCCCTCTGTCGCCCAGGCTGGAGTGCAATGACACAATCTCAACTCACCACAAACTCCGCCTCCCGGGTTCAAGTGATCCTCCTGCCTCAGCCTCCTAAGTAGCTGGGATTACAGGCGTGCACCATAACGCTCGGCTAATTTTGTATTTTTAGTAGAGGTGGAGTTGACGGGGTTTTACCTTGTTGGTCAGGCTGGTCTCGAACTCTTGACCTCAAGTGATCCACCTGCCTCGGCCTTCAAAAGTGCTGGGATTACAGGCATGAGACACTGTGCCCGGCCAGCTTACTTTTTATTTTATTATTATTATTATTATTTTATTTTTGAGATGGAGTCTCCCTCTGTTGCCCAGGCTGGAATGCAGTGGCACAATCTGGGCTCACTACAAGCTCCATCTCCCAGGTTCAAGCAATTCTTCTGTCTCAGCTTCCCAAGTAGCTGGAACTACAGGCACGTGCCACCACGTCCAGCTAATTTTTTTATTTCTAGTAGAGATGGGGTGTCACCATATTGGTCAGGCTGCTCTTGAACTCCTGACCTCAGGTGATCCACCTGCCTCGGCCTCCCAAGGTGCTAGGATTACAGGCATGAGCCACTGCGTCCAGCTGGCTTGCTTTTTCTTTACAGTTCTTTCTTTCTTCCTTTCTTTCTTTTCTTTCTTTCTTTCCCTCTTTCTCTCTTTCTTTCTTTCCCTCTCTCTCTCTTTCTTTCTCTTCTTTTCTTTCTTTCTCTCTCTCTCTCTCTCTTTCTTTCTTTCTTTCTTTCTTTCTCTCTCGCTTTCGCTCTTTCTCTCTCTCTCTCTTTCTCTTTTGACAAAGTCTTGCTATGGAGTGCAGTGGTGTAACCTCAGCTCACGGCAACCTCCGTCTCCCAGGTTTAAGCGATTCTCCTGCCTCAGCCTCCCGAGTAGCTGGAGTTACAGGCATGCGCCACCACGCCCGGCTGTTTTCGGTATCTTTAGTAGAGACAGGATTTCGCCATATTGGCCAGGGTGGTCTCAAACTCCTGGCCTCAACTGATCTGCCTGCATTGGCCTCCCAAAGTGCTGGGATTCCACCCGTGAGCCACCGCGCCCGGCTTTCTTTAGAGTTTTAGAAGTTCCCTTCCCCTAACTTCTGCAATAACAGGGCTAGTATACACAGAGCACTTGCTGTTTGTTTGCTAGGCCCTGTTTCATAGCATTATTTTGTTTCATTTTCATACAACTAAACTAAAAAAATGGGTATTGGGGACCAGGTGCATTGGCTCATGCTTGTAATCCCAGCACTTTGGGAGGCCAAGGCAGGAGGATCCCTTGAGCCTGGGAGTTCGAGACTGACCTGGGCAAAATAGTGAGACACCGTCTCCACAGAAAATACAAATATATATACATATGTATTCTGGCGTGGTGGCCTGGGCCTGAAGTCCCATCCACAGTGGATGCACCGCAGGCCCCTGCAGAAGGGGCCCCAAGGCCCTGACCAAGGAGGAATTCCAGCTTCCCTCTTCCTGCTTCAACCCTTTGCTGTGTTCGGCCCCCATCCTCTGCACGAATGGTCAAGGTCCTGGCTGGTGGCCAGCCCTGTCTGGACAGGAGGAAACCGTTATGCGAGGGGTAGAACATGAAGTCCTCAAGAACAGAAATTCCAGCGGAAGGGAAACAATGCGTAGGGGATAGAGTCATCCCCACGGGGGCAAGGGAAGGGACAGGGCCTTCCTGCCCCAAGTGGGGTAAACAACCCAGGCCTGGGGAAGCTCACAGCATCTAGCGTCTTCCAGGCAGGGCTGGAGTGCTGGGTGGGGCACCGCGTTGGACCAGCTGGAAGAAATGGGTCCCTGCACTGTTTTCTGGCCTTTCAAGGCTGATATGCTCCTATGGGGAGGAACAGGATTCCACTGCCAAAGTCAGGGGATCAAGGGAAGAACTGGAGGAGGATCCAGCTAAGGAGGTTCCACTGTGGCTGAGGCCATAATGGCCATAGCCCTCAATGGCCAGTCAGCTGCTGGCCACCAAATAAGACAGCCCTTGTTTTTTTTTGTTCATTTGTTTTCGATTTTGTTTTGAGACAGGGTCTCTCTCTGTCACCCAGGTTGGAGTTCAGAGGTATGATCATGGCTCACTGCAGCCTCAAGCTCTCGGGCTCAAGTGATCCTCCCACCTCAGCCTCCCTAGTAGCTGGGACCATAGGCGCACGCCAGCACACCCAGCACACTCAAAAAATTTTTAAAAATTTTTGTAGAAATGGGGTCTTGCTGTGTTGCTCAAGCTGGCCTCAAACTCCTGGGCTTAAGCAATCCTCCTGTTTCGGCCTCCCAAAGTGCTGGGATTACAAGCGTGAGCCACCATGCCCAGTGGGCTCCAGGTTTCAGGGCAGGATTTTCAGGAGCCAGAGCTTGTGGAAAGCTCCATTAGGGGTGAAAGAGGTCAGTCTAGGGCCACCCTCTGTGGTACTACAGGGGACAATTTCCTTTTCTTTCAGGGCCCAGACCAGGCTAGCCTTGAGCAGAGCAGGAATGAGCCTTCTCCCAGGGCTAGAAAAGAAGCTTCCATCTGGAAGGGACAGAAGAAACGACACAGTGCCCCCGGGATTCCCCAGGCCAGTCTCCCATGCTGGCAGGGCTGGAGGGAAGATTGAGGCAAAGAGTCTAAAAATTCCTGCCCGCCTTAGTCTGGATTTGTGGTTGCTTCTGTAATTTGTTTAGGTGGCTTTGATCAGCGAATCCATTTGTTTTTCAGCTCTCAGGGTCTACTTGCCTTTCTTTTTTTTTTTTTGAGATGGAGTTTCGCTCTTGTTGCCCAGGCTGGAGTGCAATGGCGCGATCTCGGCTCACTGCAACCTCTGCCTCCCGGGTTCAAGCAATTCTCTTGCCTCAGCCTCCCATACCACGCCCAGCTAATTTTTGTATTTTTAGTAGAGATGGGGTTTCACCATGTTGGTCAGGCTGGTCTCGAACTCTCGACCTCAGGTGATCTGCCAGCCTCGGCCTCCCAAAGTGCTGGGATTACAGGCGTGACCCATCACACCCGGCCCTGCTTGCCTTTTCTTTAGAGTTTTTGAAGTTCCCATCCCCAAACTGCAGCAATAACAGGGCTAAGATACATATAGCAGTTGCTGTTTGCTAGGCCCTGTTTCATACTCATTATTCTATTTCATTTTCATACAACTAAGAAATGGTTATTGACAGCCAGGCACGGTGGCTCACACCTGTAATCCCAGCACTTTGGGAGGCTGAGGCAGGCAGATTGCTTAAGGTCAGGAGTTCAAGCCCAGCCTGGCCAACATGGTGAAACCCCGTCTCTACTAAAAATATAAAAATTAGCCGGGCATGGTCGTGGGTGCCTGTAATCCCAGCTACTAGGGAGACTCAGGCAGGAGAAATGCTTAAACCCGGGAGGTGGAGGTTGCAGTGAGCCGAGATTACGCCACTGTACTCCAACCTGGGTGACAGAGGGAGACTCCCATCTCAAGAAAAAATAAAAAATAAAATAAATAAATAATTAATTAAAAATGGGTATTGGGGACCAGATGTGGGGGCTCACTCCTGTAATCCCAGTACTTTGGGAGGCTGAGACTGGAGTATCACTTGAGGCCAGGAACTGGAGGCCAGGGATTGGAGACCAGCCTGGGCAACACAGCAAGACTCTGTCTTGCAAACATAGCAAGACTCTGTCCGCCAAAGAAAAAAATGTAATAATACTAATAATTAGCTGGGTGTGGTGGCATGCACCTGTAGTCCCAGCTACTCCGGAGGCTGAGGAGGGAGGGTAGCTTAAGGACAGGAGTTCAAGGCTGCAGTGAGCTATGATCATGCCACTGCACTCCAGCCTGGATGACAGAGAGAGACTCTTTCTCTTAAAATAACAAAATAAGGTATTGGTCCTATTCTCATCTGAAAGATGAGGAAACTGACAGATAGAGGATTTGCTATCCTGCTCAAAGTCACTCAGCTAAGAGAGAGACTGGCTCCAGCAGCCCCAGCTCTTAACCAGACTTCATCCTGTTTCTCCGTATCTCAGCTGTTCCCCCGACGTGACCCTTGCATGCCTGTCCCCTATCCCCAACCCAGGATACTTCAAGCCCCTCACCGTGTGACCCACTGCTCCCTATGAGTTCCTTCATTGGCCCCTTCCTTCACAACTTTTTTTAAAGAGACAGACTCTCACTCTGTAGCCCAGGCTGGAGTGCAGTGGCATCATCTCGGCTCACTGTAGCCTCCACCTCCTGGGTTCAAGTGATTTTCCTGCCTCAGCCTCCTGAGTAGCTGGGATTACAGGCACCTGCCACCATGCCCAGTTAATTTTGTATTTTTAGTAGAGACGGGGTTTCACTAAGCTGTCCAGGCTAGTCTCGAACTCCTGACCTTGTGATCCACCCACCTTGGCCTCCCAAAGTGTTGGGATTACAAGCGTGAGCCACTGTGCCTGGTCGTGAGACCCTGTTTCAAAAAAAAAGGTTCTAAGGAGATTTACACCAAGAGGCTCTTGAGTGACACATGAGATCAGATTAGGCCCCTAGAGAGGGGATGTGTGAGGCCTGGAGCAGACAAGGAAGGGTCCAGTGACCTTGGCATAGAGCAGAGGGGTATGGTTGGGGGCTGGTCGGGAGGACTTCTCAGCCTGGAGAAGCAGTTGTGTGCAGAAACCAGGTTGGAGGGTCTGGACATGGAGGACCCCAAAGGGCAGGCCGTGGGATTTGCTCCGTGTGTGGGAACCTGGGGGAACCTCCTATTCCCTTGTTTGCTGCACGTCAGCTACCCGCCCAGACCTGCTCTCTTAGTCACTTCTGTGCCAGGTGCTCCCTTCCCTGAAGCTCTGGGGCAGAGATGAGGCTCCTGTTATTCACAGCCTGAACCACGACGGCTGTCTCCCTCCAGGCACACTCCCTGGGTACAACCCAGCCTGCCAGCTCATTCCCCTAGGAGACTGGCCCCAGACCCAGACAACCCGGGTCGTGCCAGGGACAGCAGATGCTTGGGGCCCTGCAGGCAGAGACCTCTCCCTCCTCCTGAGCCCTTCAGCCCTGGACTGGCCAGCTTGGTCCAAGGATCAGCATCTCAGGAAGCAGAGGCAGTTGTTGTGTGTCCACGGCCTTGCTCCTGGACAGGGGACACCAGGGAAATTAGAGAGACCAACAGAGGAGCTTTAGGGTCTAGGAGGTTTGGGAGCCCCCTTCTCTTTCTGAGCCACCGATTTAGAGCTAGCAGAAGCCGTTCTGCTTTGGGTGGATCAAGCATCTCGTTCTTGAACCTAAACTCCGGGAACTGGGCCCAGGGGACCTTGTCTTCAAGTCCCCATCCTTTCAGGAAATGACATGCCAAACTCCATTTGCTCTTGTCTATCTTTGGTAGCAGCTCATCAGGGAAGTGGGGGCGGAGGTGGGGGCTGAGCCCAGAAGGAAAGCCCCAGGCTCGGGAACCCCCCAACCCCCCACCTGTTGCTGTTTCTGAGAATCCCGAGAGGCCCACAGGTAAAAGGTCATGTTGTGTCCAAAACACCGGGCTGGTTTTCCGGGTTGAATCAGAGCCGGTCAGCAGCTCTGCAGCAGGTGGAAGGCAGCAGGGCTGTCCCCCTTGGCCTGGGCGGGATTCCCCACCCTCTCTCTCCAACAGGGCTTTCCTGTCCAGTAGACCGTTAGTTCCGCTGGCTGGATGAATGAGCGTGCGTGCGTGTGTGTGTGTGTGTTTGTGCTTTTGTAATGGGCGTCTGCCAGGGCTGTGGTAATTGCAGGGCCTCCCCAGGGCTCCCCACGTTTCCCAACAAACCCAGTGCCTCTTTTTTTTTTTTTTTTTTTTTTTGAGACAGAGTCTTGCCCTGTCGCCCAGGCTGGAGTGCAGCGATGCGATTTCTGCTCACTGCAATCTCCGCCTCCCGGGTTCAAGCGATTCTCCTGCCTCAGCCTCCCAAGTAGCTGGGACTACAGGCATGCGCCACCACGCCTGGCTAATTTTTGTATTTTTAGTAGAGACAGGTTTCACCAAGTTGGCCAGGCTGGTCTCGAATTCCTGACCTCAAGTGATCCACCTGCCTCGGCCTCCCAGAGTGCTAGGATTATAGGTGTCAGCCACTGCGCCTGGCCCCCACCCCGCCGTGCCTGTTCTGCAGAAGATGAGCAGAAGCTGTGTGGGTGAAAGGGGAAACTGGGAAGTTATCTGTAAACACGGGGTTGGGGGCACATCTAGATTTGCCACATCTGTTCCTCTCCTCCCATCACAAGATCTGATTTTTGTTTTTGCCATCCATCTCTTGCAATTAGGCAGGTCCACTCGCTGCCCCCACTTCAACTTCTGGGGGTCTTTTGTGGCCAGTCTCCGGCCACACACACTCCTCTCTGGAATGTTTCCCCTCCTTTGCAGATCTGTGGTCCACAGAGCCTTCTAGGGCTTCCACCTTTCCCCCCAAACCACCCTCTGCTGTCTGTCCTTTGAACCTGAAAATTCTTGCAATAGGACCCACAGGATCACACACAGAGTTCAGCACTGGCTTGCTTTCCATTGTCAGGGGTTTGAGACCAGCCTGGCCAACATGGTGAAACCCTGTCTCTACTGAAAATACTGCCATGTATTCATTTTGCTTTCCCTACTGGATGGTAAGAATTTAGGGGTTAGGAACTGTTTGGGTCTACACTTTCCTCCTATGCCCCTTAATACTGCATGATATGGGCCAAGTGCAGTGGCTCATGCTTGTAATCCCAGCACTTTGGGAGGCTGAGACAGGAGAATCACTTGAGCCCAGGAGTTCAAGACCAGCCTGGGTAACACAATGAGATCCCTCCTCTACAAAAAATAAAATGATTAGCTGGGCATGGTGGCGCACACCTGTGGTCCCAGCTACTCGGAAGGCTGAGGTGGGAGGATTGCTTGAGCCTAAGAGTTGGAGGCTGCAGTGAGCTATGATCACACCACTGCACTCCAGGCTGGGCGACAGAGTGAGACCCTATCTCTGAAAAAACAAAAACGGGCCGGGCGTGGTGACTCACATCTGTAATCCCAGCACTTTGGGAGGCCGAGGTGTGTGGATCACCTGAGGTCAGGAGTTTGAGACCAGCCTGGCCAACATGGTGAAACCCTGTCTCTACTACAAATACAAAAATTAGCCGGGCATGGTGGCAGGTACCTGTAATCCCAGCTACTTAGGAGGCTGAGGTGGGAGAATTGCTTGAACCTGGGAGGCGGAGGCTGCAGTGAGCTGAGATCGCACCACTGCACTTCAGCCTGGGCGACAGAGCAAGACCCCGTCTTAAACAAACAAACAAACAAAAACAAAAACAAAAAAAGCCAACAACAGATAAACTGAATACTGCACAATGGGCAGTGCTTGGGCCCAACAGTGAAGTACTCCAAAGTGAACATTTCCTTCTGAGAACTTAATTAGGAAGAAACTCAGTTTAGGAGAGGATATTAGCCTTCTAGAAGTTACCTTAGGCGACTGTCTGTCTGCAAATGTTCCAAATCCAATTAAGGAGACCTGGGAGGAACCTCAGAGGAGCTGACGCAATTGTGATTGCAACTTAGAGAAGCAACAGCATCACTGTCCGTCTGAAGGAAAATGCCAGTTCGAGGAGGGCGTTCTGCGGGCGTTAGGAGGGTGTTCTGCAGGCTTCAGAAAGGGGGGAATCCAGAGAGATCATGCTTGGCATGGGGTCTCCAATTGTTCAGAAGAGTTGGTGTCCTGTCCCGAAAATGTCACTGTCCAGGCCATGGGACAGATGTGTCTCCAAGTGGTGAGGATGTCTCTGATTGTCATTGCTAGACAACAGCAGTGATTAGGATCATCCAACACCCCGCCCTGGCCTTGTTATATTTATTTATTTATTTATTTACTTATTTATTATTTGAGACAGAGACTTGCTCTGTCACCCAGGCTGGAGTGCAGTGGCGCAAGCTCGGCTCACTGCAACCTCCACCTCTCAGGTTCAAGTGATTCTCCTGTCTCAACCTCCTGAATAGCTGGGATTACAGGTGAGCGCCACCACGCCAGGCTAATTTTTGTATTTTTAGTAGAGATGGGGTTTCGCCATGTTGGCCAGGCTGGTCTCGAACTCCTGACCTCAGGAGATCCGCCCACCTTGGCCTCCCAAAGTCCTGGGATTACGGGCATAAGCCACCACGCCTGGCCTATTGTTTTGTTAAGAGACAGTCTTGCTCTGTCATCCAGGCTGGAGTGCAGGGATGCCATCATAGCTCACTATAGCCTCAAACTTCCAGACTCAAACGGTCCTCTCACCTCAGCCTCCTGAGTAGCTGGGATTATAGGCACGCACCACCATGCCTTGTTAATTTTTAAATATTTTGTAGAGATGGGCCAGGCACAGTGGCTCATGCCTGTAATCCCAGCACTTTGAGAGGCCGAGGAGGGTGGATCACTTAAAGTCAGAAGTTTGAGACCAATCTGGCCAACATGGTGAAACCCCGTCTCTACTAAAAATACAAAAATTAGCTGGATATGGTGGCAGGCACCTGTAATCTCAGCTACTCAGGAGGCTGAGGCAGGAGAATGGCTTGAACCCAGGAGGCAGAGGTTGCAGTGACCCTAGATTGCGCCACTGCACTCCAGCCTGGCTGACAGAGCGAGATCCTGTCTCAAAAAAGAAAAAAGTATTTTGTAGAGACAGGGTCTCACTATGTTGCCCAGGCTGGTCTTGAACTCCTGGACTCAAGTGATCCTCCTGCCTCGACCTCCTGAGTAGCTGGAATTACAGGCACAAGTCACTGCACCTGGTTTGTTTATGTTATTAATCTCATTTATTCCAGGAACCCCGTGGCATATCTTACTGTGATCATTTTACAGACGAAGAACAGAGGTTCAGAGAGGCTAAGTAACCTCTGCAGACGTCACCCAGTTAGTGAGTGGTGGAGCTGCGTTAAGCTCTCCTTGCCCTGAACCCCTTTCTTGGAAGGGGAGAAGGACCCAAAGTGGAGAGGATGCACCTTCTGTCTGAGGACAGGGGCTTCTGGAGGGAGGTTGGACAGGGCATAGGGGTGCTTATGTAGGGCTCTGCCCCTCACCTATGCCCAGCATGTGCTCGTGAGAGACAGACTTGGCAGCTGTGGTCCTCAGATGAGGACTAAAATGATAGGAAATGGAGGGAAATTCCAGTCTTGATCCTTTGATGAGGCAGGAGCTGGCCTAGTGCCCTGCCTGGGAACACCCTGACAGATCACAGAGATACACCCCCTTCCCCATCTAAACACCAAGGAGGCCGGGTGTGGTGGCTCAAGCCTGTAATCCCAACACTTTGGGAGACTGAGGTGGGCGGATCACCTGAGGTCAGGAGTTTGAGACCAGCCTGGGCAACATGGTAAAATCTAAAATCTACTAAAAATACAAAGCTTAGCCGGGCATGGTGGCAGGGGCCTGTAGTCCCAGCTAGTCTGGAGGCTGAGGCAGGATAATCGCTTGAACCCGGGAGGCAGAGGTTGCAGTGAGCTGAGATCGCACCGCTGCACTCCAGCCTGGGCAACAGAGCAAGACCCTATCTCGAAAAATAAACATAAACATAAACGTAAAAAAAAAAAAAACACCAAAGAGGAGGCCCTTCCCTGGCCAAGTGCAGGAGCCCCCACAGGAGGCACCAGGAGCTCTCTCCGGCGCCTGCAACAGGCTCTCCCGTGGGTGGAGACACCCACGCGTGTCTTCCTGAGCAGGGAGGATCTGCATCCTGCCCCCTGTTGCTGATATTCAAGTGTCTCCATTCCTCTCTCCAGGGATCACACGGGAGCAAATAGTTGGGGAGAGATCAAAGCCCACGTGGCCAGCCTGGGACAACTTTGTCAGCCCTGGCAAAGCCTGCGCATGAAGGCTTCCGGGGAAGCCACACCCCACTTAATCTGGCCAATTTTTTGTTTGTTTGTTTTTGTTTTTCTGTTTTTTGTTTTTTCTTGAGATAGAGTCTCACTCTGCCGCCCAGGCTAGAGTGCAATGGCGCGATCTCAGTTTGCTGCAAACTTCACCTCCCGGTTCAAGCAATTCTTGAGCCTCAGCCCCCCGAGTAGCGGGGATTACAGGCGTGTGCCACCAGGCCCGGCTAATTTTTCTGTTTTTAGTAGAAATGGGGTTTCACCATGTTGGCCAGGCTGGTCCTGACCTCAAGTGATCCACCCGCCATGGCCTCCTAAAGTGCTGGAATTACAGGCATGAGCCACTGCGCCCAGCCTGATTTTTGTATTTTTAGTAGAGATGACGTTTTACCATGTTGACCAGGTTGGTCTTCAACTCCTGACCTCAAATGATCTGCCCGCCTGGCCCTCCCAAAGTGCTGGGATTATAGGCGTGAGCCACCGCACCCAACCCCTGTTCACATTTCTGTGGATTTCCTGCTGCCTGGAGCTGAACTTGTAGGGACAGCTCTGCCCACCCCAAAAACCCTCTGCTCCAAGACATACCTCCCTCTGAAGACCTGTTCTGCAGGTGGAAGGCAGGGGGTGCCAGGCCTGGGAGCCTCGGGCCAGCTTGAACCCAGACCCACTCTCCTTACACCTCACCTGCCCAGTCCTAGGCTGCCTCTATGTCTCCATGAACTCCCTGTTTTCCTACCAGGAAAAAATCTTAGCTGAGGGGAAACTGTACCTCAGGGCACAGATATATTTTGTGGGATGGAATGGGATCACATATGAAATTGGTGGGCAGGGAGATAGAGAAATACCCTGGGCAGATTAAGTGGGGTGTGGCATTCCCAGAAGGTCTCTCGTGCAGACCCCCAGGGTGTGGTGAAGTTGGCCCAGGAGTGGCCATGTGGACTTTCACCTCTGCCTAACTACTGGTGACCTTGTTGCATAATCTCTCTAGCCTCACCTTCCTCATGGTTTTTTTGTTTGTTTGTTTTCGAGACAGAGTCTTGCTCTGTCACCAGGCTGGAGTGCAGTGGCGTGATCTCAGTTCACTGCAATCTCCACCTCCCGGGTTCAAGCAATTCTCCTGCCTCAGCCTCCCGAGTAGTTGGGATTACAAGCGTCTGCCACCAAGTCCAGCTAACTTTTTTTTGTATTTTTAGTAGAGACGGGGTTTCACCATATTGGCCAGGCTGGTCTCGAACTCCTGACCTTGTGATCCTCCCGCCTTGGCCTCCTAAAGTGCTGGGTTTACAGGCGTGAACCACCGCACGCTGCCTATTTCTTTGGTTGTTTGTTTTTGAGACAGGGTCTAGCTCTGTAGCCCAGGATGGAGTGCAGTGGTATAATCATGGCTCACCGCAGCCTCAACCTCCCGGACTCAGATGATCCTCCCAATTCGGCCTCCCAAGTAGCTGAGACTACAGGTACACGCCACAACACCTGGCTAATTTTTTGTATTTTTTGTAGAGATGGGATTTCACCATGTTCCCCAGGCTGGTCTCAAACTCCTGGGCTCAAGCGATACACAGGCTACGGCTCCCAAAGTGCTGGGATTATAGGCATGAGCCACCACACCCGGCTACCTTCCTCATCTTTAAAACGAGGATGGTCAGGAGTGGTGGCTCACGCCTGTAATCCCGGCACTTTGGGAAGCTGAGGCGGGTGGATCACTTGAGGCTGATCAGGAGTTTGAGAGCAGCCTGACCAACATGGTGAAATCCCGTCTGTACTAAAAATACAAAAATTAGCCGGGTGTGGTGGCACATGCCTGTAATCCCAGCTACTCGGAAGGCTGAGGCAGGACAATCGCTTGAACCTGGAGGGGCAGAGGTTGCAGTGAGCAGAGATCGCACCACTGCACTCCAGCCTGGGCGAAAGAGCAAAACTCCATCTCAAAAATAAAAAAATAAAAAAAATAAAATGGGGATGGGAGTGATACCCCCCCCACATAGAATTCCTGAGAGGACCAAAAGAGAATCCATGTGGTATGCATGGCAGGCAGAAAGGAGCCTGGCTGGGAGGAAATGTACACTGCATCCCACTCTCATTCCTGCATACATTCACTCATTCACTCATTCTGCATGTACTATAGCCCAGGCACTATTCCGGACCTATCAGTGAACAAAACAAAGTCCCCCGTCCTCATGGGGCTTGCATTCTACAGGGGTTGAAAATCGGTAACAATAAGCAGAATACATAATGAAAGGGTAGAGTATGTTAGAAGGTTAGAGAGGTATGGAAAAATAAAAAGCCCAGCAGGGAGGGGTTATTATCTTTCTGTTTGTTTTGTTTTGAGACAGGGTCTCGCTCTGTCACCCAGGCTGGAGTACAGTGGTACAATCTCAGTTTACTGCAACCTCCACCTACCAGGATCAAGCGATCCTCCTGCTCTCAGCCTCCCAAGTAGCTGGGATTATAAGTGCACACAACCACACCCAGCCAATTTTTAAACTTTTTGTAGAGATGGTGTCTCGCTATAGTGCTCAGGTTGGTCTCGAGCTCCTGGGTTCAAGCAATCCTCCTTCCTTCGCCTCCCAAAGCTCTGGGATGACAGGCATGAGCCACTGAGCTTAAATAACTTCATTCTTACTCATGCCTCCCTTCCAAGGAAAGGAATAATTAATAAATCTCTTTTGCAGAAGGGTCTCACCCCCTCAATAGAGTTGCCACCTGCCCTGGAGTGTATATGCGATCTGAACGAAAGTGACTAGGCTTTAGCATACATTCACTCATTCGTTATTTCAACCAATAGATATCTCCAAAATACCTGATTATGGAGTGCCCACTATGAATTAGAAGCCCTTGTCCTCCTGAAGGGTTTTGTAGGCAGGGAAGGAGCTGCATGTGAACAATCTAAGTTAGGCAGTGAAGCCGGGTGCGGTGGCTCATGCCTGTGATCCCAGTACTCTGGGAGGCTGAGGCGGGCAGATCACTAAAGGTCAGGAGTTCCAGACCAGCCTGGCCAACATAGTGAAACCCCGTCTCTACTAAAAATAGAAGAAATAGCTGGGCATGGTGGCGGGTGCCTGTAATTCCAGCTGCTCAGGAGGCTGAGGCAGGAGAATCACTTGGACCTGGGAGATAGAGGTTGCAGTGAGCTGAGATTGCACTACTGCATTCCAGCCTGGGTGACAGAGACTCTGTCTCAAAAAAAAAAAAAAAAAAGTTAGATGATGATCAGAGCTGCCAGGCATGGCAGGCAGGCATTGCTGGAGGGGGTGAGGTCTGCGTGTGCGCCTCACTCTGCGGCCTTGTGCCACCAGCAGCTCTCTGGACTCGGGGGTCTGCTGCACCTTGGCTTGCTTTGGCTGTTTTCTTCTAATAAGTGAATAAGTGGATGGACCGTCCCTAACCTACGATCACGGGAGGCAACATAGATACGGCTGTTTCCAAGTGTGAAGGAAGGTTTTCTGAGTTGGCCCCTGAGCAAAAATATCAACCCCCGAGAAACCCATTCCCCAACCCCCAGAAGCAGGGAAGGACGCCGTGGCCATCTGCCCAGCCATGTACCTGGCCTGCGCCACGTCCCTCCTTCTCCTCTTCTCCGGCATGGGCTTCGTTGCTGTGCTTGGGAGGTCAATCTAACCCCACGGAAAGAGTGAAGAGGAGGGAGGAGCAGAGTCTCTTGTTGCAGATACGGCTGCTCACCAAGGCTGTGGGGAGCAGACGTGACCCCTGCGTTTCTGGGGCTGTGACTGCACTAGTGCAAAGGAGGAGAGATCGGGTCTGAGGGAGGAGGCTTGGCCACATGGCTAAGAACCTGAGGCCCGTGTGTGTCCGACCGCAGAGGCAGATGCTCCGCCTTGGGGTTAGGAGCTGGGAACAGGCCGTTCTCCCTACAGTCACTGCTCACATGGACCACAGCGATCTCTCCTGCCATCGGCCCCCTCAGCTGCTGACTCATGCTCCCCAGGGTTGGCAGAGGCGCCGGTCCAACTAGCTGAGTCATCAGAGGATGAATTGCAGAATTCTTATTCAGGCTGTCACCGGCAGCCGAGGGCCCTCTCCCCCGCCAAGCCATTCAAAGCATTCCCTCCCCGCTTGTCATTGTGTCTCTCCATCTCCGTCTTGGGGGCCTTGAACAGGATGCCAGCAGGGTGCATGGTGTGTCTCTGAGCACCCCCCTTAGGTCAAAATTCCAGACCTCTCCTAATAGGGACCAGGGCCTGGTTTATTAGCACGGGGCAGCATCTCAGATCTTTTTTTTTTTTTTTTTTGAGATGGAGTTTCACTGTTGTTACCCAGGCTGGAGTGCAAAGGTGCCATCTTGGCTCACTGCAACCTCTGCCTCCCGGGTTCAAGCAATTCTCCTACCTCAGCCTCCCAAGTAGCTGGGATTAAAGGCATGCGACACCACACCTGGCTAATTTTGTATTTTTAGTAGAGACGGGGTTTCACCATGTTGGTCAGGCTGGTCTTCAACTCCCAATCTCAGGTGATCTGCCCACCTTGGCCTCCCAAAGTGCCGGGATTACAGGCGTGAGCCACTGTACCCGGCTTAGCATCTCAGATCTTATTTCATCCACTCACTCATCTTATAAATGAGGAAACAGAGATACAGATAGGCTCAAGTGACTCGGCCAGGATTTGAGCTGCTTGAGAAGGCAGAGAACTGGGCATTGGGTGCTAGGAAGGGCAGCTTTGGAGTCAGACAGTTCTCAGTCTAAATTGAAATCGACTTATTCTGAGCAAGCCTCGCCAAGCCTCGGTTGGTTTTCTCATATGTAACAGAATGTGAAGGCTTCTGGGAGTCAATGGATGGGGAGCAGGCGAAGGCAAGATCTCAGCCACTGCTATCGGTTCTCCTGTATTTGATGGGGAGGCCAGAGGCTGAGATCATTCCTCTTCCTCTTTGGGAAAACTTGGAGGGGAGAGGAAGGAAGCTTTTTTGGGGGCTCTTGGATACCAGGTTAGGGGAGTGGGTTTGGCCAGTAGGTAGATGTTCCTAGAACCCGCCCCCCCTGCAGGGAGGACCCCAAATGCCACAGGCTGGAAAGTACCCACAGATGCAGCTGGATGCGGCGGCTCACGCCTGTAATCCCAGTGCTTTGGGAGGCCGAGGCGGACAGATCGCTTGAGCCCAGGAGTTTGAGAGCAGCCTGACCAACATGGCAAAATGCCATCTCTACAAAAATTAGCCAGGTATGGTCGTGAGTGCCTGTAATCTCAGCTACTTGAGGGACTGAGACAGGAGAATCATTTGAGCCCTGGAGGTTGAGGCTGCAGTGAGCCGAGATCGCACCACTGCCCTCCAGCCTGGGCGACAAAGTGAGACCCTGTCTCAAAAAACAAAATAAAAAATAAAAAAAGGGGGCTAGGTACGGTGGCTCACGCCTGTAATCCCAGCACTTTGGGAGGACAAGGCAGGCAGATCACAAGGTCAGGAGCTGGAGACCAGCTTGGCTAATATGGTGAAATCTTGTCTCTACTAAAAATACAAAAATTAGCAGGGGATGGTGGTGGGTGCCTGTAATCTCAGCTACTCGGGAGGCTGAGGCAGGAGAATCACTTGAACCCGGGAGGTGGAGGTTGCAGTGAACCGAGATTACGCCACTGCACTCCAGCCTGGATGACAGAGAGAGACTCCGTCTCAAAAAAATAAATAGAAAAAATAGAAAAGGGAAGGTACCCACAGGTGCTTGTTTGGCTTCCACAAACCCCAAAACAAAGCCCCACGTGGTGGGCACAGCCACCATGACCTGGGTCCCTCATGTACTTCCTGCATATCACACCTGCGTGTGCCCAGGTGGAGCCCTGCATGCGCCAGCATGGGCCAGATCACCTACTGGTTCCCACCCAGAAGGTGCATGCTTCTGCAATGTCCCCAAGGAATCTGTGTGGCCACCCTGGGAGCTACCTACCATTGGGTGGCTTTGATGACCTGATTTCCTTCACTATCTGGGCCTGGTTGTTAAAGGTTCCCTGTATCCAGCCGGGTGCAGTGGCTCACGCCTGTAATCCCAGCACTTTGGGAGGCTGAGGCGGGTGGATCACTTGAGGTCAGGAGTTCTAGACCAGCCTGGTCAACATGGTGAAACCCCGTCTCTACCAAAAGTACAAAAATTAGCCAGGCGTGTTGGCTTGTGCCTATAATCCCAGCTACTCAAGAGGCTGAGGCAGGAGAATTGCTTGAACCTGGGAGGTGGAGGTTGTAGTGAGCCAAGATCGTGCCACTGCACTCCAGCCTGGACGACAAGAGCGAAACTCCGTCTCAAAAAAAAAAAAAAAGGTTCCCCGTATCCATAAACCCTTCTGAGAAAAGGTTCCAATTTTTCAAAAGAACTTTATTAAGAAACAGAGGAAAGATACAAAATTCCCATCTGAGAAAGGTTCCCATTTTTCAAAAGAACTTTATTAAGAAACACAGAAAAGATACAAAATCCATAACCAAAGGAACTGAAGAGTTTACAGCACACTGGGTTTAGCCCATGGCAATGTAGAGAAATGGGCTGGGCTGGCGCTCAGTCACTAGGCACCGACGTCCTGATTCCTCGTCTTTGACCCAGTGTCCCTTGGTTGCTAAGTCAACCAGTTCTAACTTTCTCTGGAGACAAGTCAGGCTGCCCTCCCAAACCTCCTTCCTAATGTCTTTATACACAGGCCCTCTTCCATCTGGTCCCTAAGATTTCTCACCCAGCACCTCAGGTGAGATCTAGTCTGATGTTGCTGTACTTTGTATACTGCTCCAATCACAGGAGTCTGCAGTTTCTAGAAAATCTATTTTTGCTCCTGTCCTGATCCATTTCATAAACTGCATTCACAATCCAGTTGGGTAGTCTAATTTTGCTACCTTTGGTCAAGTTACCTACTTTCCCAAGTCTGCATCTGAACTTGGTCTTTCTCCTGCTAACAACGTATTCCTAGGTACTCTCTCTGGCAGTTCTCTGCCCCAGTTCATCCAAGACCTTCTCCCCAATACAGAAGTCCGCACCCCTTTCCAATCTCCCACTTAATTTATGGGATAGCCCTAGTTCTCTGCTTACCTTTCAAGGAGAGACAATCAGAGACCTTGATCTTGGCACTCGCCTGTTCAACCCTGCCCAGCTCAGGTCAGCAACCTCATCGGTTTCCTTGCAAAACTTTTGACTTCTGCCTTGGACTTTCGCCCCTTAGAATTTTATTTCTGCAGATTTAGAATATGGCATTGCTTTATAGATACCGTAATAATAAGGCTAAAATAGAAGGAGAGCTACTCCCTTTCCAAATGATATTTTCTCTAAACTCTCAAAAGATTGGGCCACTCTTGCCATTTTTCACTTTTTCTAAATGTCTACTCTTATGGGTCCTTAACTAATACGGTCTGATTCTTAGCTGGCTTTTAAGAATGGCATTACATTTCAGCAAGCTGGCCATTGGTCCCTTCTATTCCTGAAGTCACTGTTGTGACTTCAGATAAGGCTTCTTCAAGTAACTGCTGGAAAGCAAAACAAAATGGTCTCCTCTGAAGGAGAAGCTGATTTGCAGAAAGCTCTACTCGGGTGTTCCAGAGCTTTCACTCACAACACATGTACCTAACATCCTCATACACGCTTATGCTGATGGAGGGGTATCAGGTGGGTACAAGTCAGTTGAAACTTTTCCTAACCAACACCTTGTATTTGAGCTTTATGGTGTCCGAAATACTTCTCTACATTTCTCATCCAGTCCTCACAGCAGCTCTGTGAAGTGGGCATGTGGATGTCATTATCCCAATGTTACTGATGTACAAACTGAGGCTCAGAGAGGTTAAGGCACTAGACCAAGATCACACAGCTGTTTAGTGCAGAGCCAACACTCAACCCAGGTCTCTGCTCCCTCATTCTCTTCCCATTTCTTGACACCAAGAATACGAAAGAGGTTTTCTACTTCCCTCTTCCCTACCCAAACAGGATTTTCTTTTCACTGGTCCATCCACGCACAACCTAGTCAGTTCCGAACAGGAAAAGGAACAATTTATCAAGTTAATTGTCACAATCCCAGGTGTGGTGCAGTGGGCTGGGGTAAAACATTTTGCTGTATCTTTCATGATGTTCCTGATTTCTCTCTTTTTTTTTTTTCTTTTTGAGACAGGGTCTCACTCTGTTGCCCAGGCTGGAGTGCAGTGGTACGATCTCAGCTCGCTGCAACCCCTGCCTCCCGGGCTCAAGCGATTCTCCCACCTCAGCCTCCTGAGTAGCTGGGATTACAGGCATGTGCCACCACGCCTGGCTAATTTTTGTATTTTTAGTAGAGATGGGGGTTTCACCATGTTGGCTAGGCTGGTCTCGAACTCCTGACCTCAGGTCATCCACCCGCCTCAGCCTCCCTAAGTGCTGTGATTACAAGCGTGTTCCTGGTCTCTTTGTATCTGCGATATAACTGGGAACTCTGCCTTAGTCCTGAGCAGGGCTTTCTATCAGGTCCCCAGGCCACTCAGTTACGGTGTTGGAGATTTTACCTCCAAATTATGCTCAATGCAACACTTCCCATCCATGCTTCTCATTTTCCAGTGTCCTTTGCTGCTCTCGCCCCCCTCACCTCTTTACGAAGAAAACTTAATATTTCCCTCCATCTTACAATGCCCTGTGGATTCTTACAGCTTCCCGAGAAGCCACTTGGCATCCCCATCTCTAGGGCGCCTGTGGGACTATCTTCTTGCAGCCAGGTGACGTTTCATTTCTGAAGGTTTCTATTGTTTTGCCCCCTGGGTGGGCCACGTGGCTAGAATCATTTCACCAGCCAGGACCACTGCCCATGGCTCCCATGCAACTCCGGAGAGCTGCTGTTTCCACCCCAAGGTGTGCGATCCCCTACAGTACACGGTTCCCAGTTACCCCCTCCACATGCACAGAAGCGGGACACCCCGATCTCATCTCTCCCTCTTTTATCCCCCCCTTAGGAAACCAGGTTTTGCTCTGTCACTCAGGCTGGAGTGCAGTGGCACAATCAGAGCTCACTGCAGCCTTGAACTCCTGGGCTCGAGCAATCTTCTGCCTCAGCCTCCCGAGCAGCTGGGACTACGGGTGCATGCCACCACCTCTGGCTAATTTAAAAATTTTTTTGTAGAGATGGGGTCTTGCTATGTTGCCCAGCCTAGTCTTGAACTCCTGGCCTCAAGACATCCTCCCGCCTTGGCCACGCAAAGTGCTGAGATAACAGGAGTGACCACTGCACCTGGCTCAGTCTCATTTTTTTTTTTTTTTTTTGACGCGGAGCCCAGCCTTGGGAGGCAGATGCGAACCGTGTCCACAGTGCCCCCTACTGGAGATTCCCCACAAGCCGAGGTTTTGGAGGTGGGAAAGCTTTGGAGAGTCATACCAGTCTCATCCTTGTCTAGATAGTAATTCACTTCACAGACATTCACTGAGCACCTACTATGAGGTATCACAGTGCTGGCTCTGCAGACAGAGCTGCAATGAAGACAGACACCGTTCCCTGCCCCCCTCCCCCCGCCCCCATGTAGCTGATCCCTATTCTAGTTGGTCCTGTAGAAACTCCACTTGGTTTCCAGTTGGTCTGAGTTATTTGGTGAACTCAACAAAACTTCCCCCGCCTTCCAGACACTCCACGATAATTCGATCACCTGGCAGGGGGGACCCCGACCTTTGCAAACCTTCCCAGAGCGGTTCCTTGGACTGCCACCCTGCCCCAATGGCCCTGCCTCCTGGCTGAGCCCCGGCCGGGTGGGATCCTCCTCCCTGGCTCCTGCCTCTTCTTTCATAGGACAATCTCATTCGTTCTGACACCTTCATTCTCAAACCCAGTAGTTATTGAGTATTACTTATAAAGGTGTATTTCCTTGAAGCAAATAATCAAGCATGTATGTTATGTAATGGATAATAAAAACTGAAGTAGAAATGTACACGTATGAATAATAGCACAAAATAATGAAAAACAAACAAAAAACAAAACAAAAAAAACCCCAATCTCCCAAATTAATGACTATTTACAAATTCCGAACCTATTTCTACTCAGTAATTATTTAGACAGATGTTTTCCTTGTTACTATCACTATTTGATCATAATTCCTGATTCTCCGTTTTTGAGGATTATGACTGTATCACGTAACTATTTCTTCTCAATAGTTTTCATAGTTGTCATACACAAAGAAAGGCTCATTCCCCTAATAAACCACAATCTAGTTAGCTGTCACCCTGCAGCCGAACAGTTTCCAGTTCTTGCCTGTAATATACAGAGCAGCCTCAAATGTCTGTATGCAAATATTTTTTCTCTTACATTATTTTCCCAGAATGTATTCCCCAAAGTGAGACAACTGATTCTTATAATCATTTTTGTCATTCTTGCAAAGTCTAGCCAAATTATTCTCCAGGATCATTTTTATAGTGCCAGGAGTCTATTTCTCCGCAAGATTTCTCACCCATTTATTTAACATTTATTTTTGACCACTGCAAGTGGATTTAATTATTTATTTATTATTTTTTTGAGACAGAGTCTCACTGTGACACCCAGGCTGGAGTGCAATGGGGTGAACTCGGCTCGCTGCACCCTCTGCCTCCCAGGTTCAAGCGAGTCTCCTGCCTCAGACTCCCCAGTAGCTGGGATTACAGGCATGCGCCACCACACCCGGGTAATTTTTGTATTTTTAGTAGAGATGGGGTTTCACCGTAGTGGCCAGGCTGGTCTCAAACTCCTGACCTCAGGTGATCCACCCACCTCAGCCTCCCAAAGTGCTGGGATTACAGGTGTGAGCCACCGCGTCCAGCCTTTCTTTTTTTTTTTTTTAATTATTATTATTTTTTATTTTACTAGTCCTTGCCTGCATACATTTCCTCCAGGGTACAGAGCTTATGTGGTTCTTTGACCAAATACTGTTCTAGTCATTGCATGTATTAGAGACCAAGGCTTTCCTCGTCAAATCAATTCTGCATGGTTTTCCCATCTTCTTGGTTTTCTTTTTTTTTTTTTTTTTTTAATTTTTTATTGATCATTCTTGGGTGTTTCTCGCAGAGGGGGATTTGGCAGGGTCATAGGACAATAGTGGAGGGAAGGTCAGCAGATAAACAAGTGAACAAAGGTCTCTGGTTTTCCTAGGCAGACGACCCTGCGGCCTTCCGCAGTGTTTGTGTCCCTGGGTACTTGAGATTAGGGAGTGGTGATGACTCTTAAGGAGCATGCTGCCTTCAAGCATCTGTTTAACAAAGCACATCTTGCACCGCCCTTAATCCATTTAACCCTGAGTGGACACAGCACATATTTCAGAGAGCACGGGGTTGGGGGTAAGGTCTTAGATTAACAGCATCCCAAGGCAGAAGAATTTTTCTTAGTACAGAACAAAATGAAGTCTCCCATGTCTACTTCTTTCTACACAGACACGGCAACAATCTGATTTCTCTATCTTTTCCCCACCTTTCCCCCTTTTCTATTCCACAAAACCGCCATCGTCATCATGGCCCGTTCTCAATGAGCTGTTGGGTACACCTCCCAGACGGGGTGGTGGCCGGGCAGAGGGGCTCCTCACCTCCCAGACGGGGCGGCCGGGCAGAGGCGACCCCCCACCTCCCGGACGGGACAGCGGCCGGGCGGAGGCGCCCCCCACCTCGCTCCCGGGCGGGGCGGCTGGCCGGGCGGGGACTGATCCCCCACCTCCCTCCCGGAAGGCGCGGCTGGCCGGGCGGGGGCTGACCCCCCACCTCCCTCCCGGACGGCGCGGCTGGCCGGGAGGGGGCTGACCCCCCACCTCCCTCCCGGACGGGGCGGCTGCCGGGCGGAGGGGCTCCTCACTTCTCAGACGGGGCGGCTGCCAGGCGGAGGGGCTCCTCACTTCTCAGACGGGGCGGCTGGGCAGAGACGCTCCTCACCTCCCAGACTGGGTCGCGGCCGGGCAGAGGCGCTCCTCACATCCCAGACGGGGCGGCGGGGCTGAGGTGCTCCCCACATCTCAGATGATGGGCAGCCGGGCAGAGACACTCCTCACTTCCTAGATGGGATGGCGGCCAGGAAGAGGCGCTCCTCACTTCCCAGACTGGGCAGCCGGGCAGAGGGGCTCCTCACATCCCAGACAATGGGCGGCCAGGCAGAGACACTCCGCACTTCCCAGAGGGGGTGGCGGCCGGGCAGAGGCTGTAATCTCGGCACTTTGGGAGGCCAAGGCGGGCGGCTGGGAGGTGGAGGTTGTAGCTAGCCGAGATCACGACACTGCACTCCAGCCTGGGCAACATTGAGCACCGAGTGAACGAGACTCCGTCTGCAATCCCGGCACCTCCGGAGGCCGAGGCTGGCGGATCACTCGCGGTTAGGAGCTGGAGACCAGCCCGGCCAACACAGTGAAACCCCGTCTCCACCAAAAAAATACGAAAACCAGTCAGGCGTGGCGGCGCGCGCCTGCAATCGCAGGCACTCGGCAGGCTGAGGCAGGAGAATCAGGCAGGGAGGTTGCAGTGAGCCGAGATGGCAGCAGTACAGTCCAGCTTCGGCTCGGCATCAGAGGGAGACCGTGACCATGGAAAGAGAGGCAGAGGGAGACCGTGGGGAGAGGGAGAGGGAGAGGGACCTTGGTTTTCTTTCTTTTCTTTTTCTTTTTTTTTGAGATGGAGTTTCATTCTTGTTACCCAGGCTGGAGTGCAATGGTGCGATCTGAGCTCACTGCAACTTCCACCTCCTGGGTTCAAATGATTCTCCTGCCTCAGCCTCCCAAGTAGCTGGGATTACAGACGCCCGCTCCCACGCCTAGCTAATTTTTGTATTTTTAGTAGAGATGGGGTTTCTCCATGTTGGCCAGGCTGGTCTCGAACTCCTGACCTTGAGTGATCCACCCACCCCAGCCTCCCAGAGTGCTGGGATTACAGGCTTGAGTCACCGTGCCTGGCGCTTGGTTTTCTTATAATCTTCATTATTCTTTGCTGTGCCTACCTTTGTAATTTGTAGATAATGGAATGTGTCCACCCGGACTTTGATGATGTCCTGCATTGTTTCAATAAACAAGAAATGGTTTTCCCAGAAAGGGATTTTCTTTTCCCTCTACCTATGCCCTGCACATTCCATCTGGACTTGTCCAAAATCCCTCTGGTTCCCACGAATGCCCCACTGTCCACAGTCCCCACATTAAGACCCCCTTCTGCCATCTCTCAACAGCCCCTGGCTAAAAACATTCTCCAAGCCTACTTGCCCCCTCAATTCTACCACTGCCACCACTTATGAAAAGGTCCGGTGGTCACAGCCCACCTCCGACGGGTTCCTCCCTTCTGGTTTGACACCTCTATCCGTCGCAGCCCCATTGCACCTTCTAGGTTTTCTTGGCACCTCCAAGTTCCACTTGGCCTGCAGGGTTTAGCTGTTTCCCCAGCAATAGTGGCCCACAGAGGACAACCTTCCTTCACCCCCTAGTTCAGCCGAGTGAAGGCCAACATATCTCAAAAGGAATTTTGCTGGAAAATGAAGAGAAGGCAACACATAGACCCTGGGAAATGGAAAGACACCGAAGCAGAAGCGTTGGAGCCTAGAGATTTTTCTATCCTATGTACCTCTTCCCTCAGACTGGCTCCGTGGCTGCGTGGAGGGCTCCCCTGCTCTGACACTCATAACTTGGTATTTATTTATTTATTTATTTATTTATTTATTTATTTATTTTAACACTTGATCTTAGCTGAGAAGTGATGGATAACCTGCTTTTTCTGTTGTTTCTGTTTTTTTTTTTTTTTTTTTTTTTCGAGATGGGGTCTGGAATGCAGTGGTGCGATCATAGCTCACTGCAGACTCAAACTCCTCGGCTCAAGGGATCCTCCCACCTCAGCCTCCTGAGTAGCTACGTTGAAAGGCATATGCTACTACACGCAGCTAATTTTTAATCTTTTGTAGAGATGGGGTCTCGCTATGTTGCCCAGGCTGGTCTCAAACTCCTGGCCTCAAGCAATCCTCCTGCCACAGACTCCCAAAGTGCCGGGATTATAGGCATGAGCCACTGCGCCTGGCAGAGCCTGGTTTTTTTTTAATACTTAATCTTAGCCAAAAGGCTGAGAAGCGATGGAGAATGTGGATTTTTGGACGTGAATTCTGTTGGGTTTGGTTTTCCAGTAGCCTATTCTCTTCGCAGCCTTTGAACCTAACACCTCTTTGGCCCCAGCTGCTGTCTGCACTTGCAGACCCTCCTGCAAGCTCACCCTGTACTACCGCCGGGGGATGCCGTGATCAAGGAGCATCCTGCCTGTGGCTGGCAGAAGAGGCCATTCACTGCCCATTCGAAATCTCAGGCCTCCTCTGACTCTGTAGGACCCTGTGCCAGTCCAAGGGGGGCCGGGGTCTCAGCTCTGTTCCACAGTGCACACGCCTGACCCACCCTGGGCCCTTCTTGGCCCCAAGACTCTCCCTCGGCTACTCTATCAGGAATGGTTTTGAAGAATGCAAAGCAGGACAGGCTCACAAACCTCAGAAACCTAAACTATATAGCAGCGGCGGTGGTGGCAGCAGCCACCCACAAAAAGCAAGAGGCAGGTGAACTCCCAGCATCCCCCTCCACCCACCTGCCTCCTCTGCTTCTGAGAGTTAAGGTCACGCCACCACCTTGGTCCCTATTCTCACACACTAGAAGACGGGTTAGCAGTTTGGCACTCCATGTTGAAAAGTTGCCAACCCCTGCCCTTCAGGAAAATGTCCTCGGCCTCCACCTCCCACGGACAGCTCTGCCTCCTTCCTGCCCTCTCCCTCCCCACTCCCTCTCACCCTAGTCCTAGCCCCTTTAACTGTCCGGAGAACGGACCCGAAAGATGTGGATGGTCCCGTTACTGAGGGACACGACCAGGTACCTGCCATCCACCATGGTGGTAACCCGGGGCTTTTCCAGGCCGTGGTAGGCTGTCAGGAAGTCTCCAAGGAGGGACCCCTTCGGGTCCAGGATCACCACCTTGTTGACTTCTCGAAGGGTCAGAAAGATGTAGCCCTTCTTATCCACAGACACGGAGCCCGGCTGGCAGCCATGCAGGCCTGGCCCCTTGTACTCCCCAACCACCTGGCCCAGCCCATCACAGATTACCACACTATTCTGCTGCCAGTCCGACCCCACGAAATGCCCCTGGGGGCTGGTGGTCAGAAACACCAGCGCCCGCAGGCCCCGGCTGGCCTTGCCTCCAGGAATGAACCGGGTGGCCAGGCTGCCTTCCATATTGTACACCTCCACGTGGCCCGCCACGCTGACAGCCACGCGGTCCCCGCTAGGCAGTGCCGCCACCGCGTGGCTGGCCTGGGAGAGGCTCAGGGCCCTGCGCCACTGCACTTCGCCGTTGGGGTTGATGAGATAGAGCCGTGCGCTAGCGGAGAAGGCCACCGCGCTCTGCAGGGCGGCCACGCTGCAAGGGGAGCAGCCCTCAGGGACCGGCACGGTGCCCTTGTAGTCGCCGTTGAGGGAGAAGCGTTTCAGTGCCCGGTTCTGCTCATCCGCCACCAGGATCTCCCGGGGACCGAAGGGACAGAGCCCGGTGATCCGGGGGGACCGCTTGTCTCCAGGCATCCGCGTGGGGAAACTGCAGTAAAAGATGGGTCTGGGGAGGAGGCCAGAGCCGTCCAGATTCGGCCCCAGGGCTGGGCTGGGCTCCCGGGAAATTGACTTGAGCCTGCCTTTGAACTTTTTCTTCTTGTTGGGTCTGCCACCCCTGTGGGGCTGGGGTCCTCCATCCTCGTGGGGTGTCTGGGCCCTGTCCTCCTCCAAGGTCTGGGCTCCCTCTTCTCGGGTTGTCTGGGCTTTTTCCTCTTTTGGGGTCTGGGCTCCATCTCCAGCCTGGGGCTGGACTCCACCCTGTCTCTCAGTCTTCGGCTCATCCTCCCTCCGGCTCTGGCTCTCCTCACCTCCCTGGGTACCAGCTCCGTCTTTCCCACCATCCTTCTGGGGCTGCTGCTCCTCAAAGGACAGCCGAAGAAGGTGGCAGTTCTTGTCCAGGAGCCCAGGATGGAGCTCCAGCTGTGGGAGCAGGCAGGGGGCCGGGCCTGGTGCCCAGGGGCAGCCCTGCAGCTGCCTGAGCCGCTGTGCGATCGCCCCTTCCAGGGAGAGGATCTCGGCCTCTCGCCCCAGGCTGAGTACCCGGCGGGCGAAGGCGGCTGCGGCCCTGGCCACCTGCTCCCGGCCCTCAAGCTCCGCCAGCCTCTCCCGAGCAGCTTCTTCGGCAGCCTCCACGTGGGCTCGTAGCTGCCCCAGCACCTCCTGCTTCTGGGCCAGCAGGGCCCGGAGGACGCCCTCAGCCGCCTCCTCCACCTGAGTCCCCACCCGGGCCGCCTGCTCCCGCAGCCGGGCTAGCGCCTCCTTCTCCACCCTCCGCGCTGCCTCCAGCTCCACCAGGTTATTGTCCACACCGGCCAGCAGTCCCTCCAGGCCCGGCCTCCGGGCACGCACAGCTTCAGCCAGAGGCAGGCAGGGGTGGTCCAGGTGGGGGTCTAGGCGGCACTCTCTGCACAGCAACTGTGAGCAGGGCTGGCACAGGAAGCGCAGTGCCTCCCCGGGGTGCTGGGGACACTGGGCCGCTTGGCGCTCCCGGGCCTCCTCATCATACCACCCGGCCCTGTAGCCCACCAGGTCCACCACGCGGTGGGTGTGGGTCTGGCGGGTGCAGCGGTGCCCGTCGGCACAGGCCTGGCACAAGTCATCGGCACAGTCCAGGCACCGGGCCGTGGCCGGCCCCCCGGTGCTGGTGCCACCCACCAGGGGACACAGGGCACAGGCTGGCTTCCCGGCACGCAGGTCTCCACAGGCCCGGGCCTTCACCAGGTCCAGCAGCCCATTGACGAAGAAGTTGGTCTTGAAGGAGGCCACACCCTCGGGCGGCACAGGCACTGTCTCGCGGCACTCGGGGCAGCGGACGCGGCCGCCATCCGCCAGCTGTGCCAGGCAGTCTTGGCAGTAGGTATGCAGGCAGGGCAGTGTCTTGGGTGCCCGCAGCTGCTCCAGGCAGATTTTACAGGCCAGGAAGTCGCTGCTCAGGGCCTCCAGGAGGGAGGGCGAGGACCCGTGGGAAACCATGCTGCAGGCAGAGGCGTCAGGATCAGAGTTGAGAAGGCACCTTCACCAGCTCACCCTCTAGCTTCTACCGCCCGTCCTCAAGCCCCACGGATCCCCAGGGCTAGGGGCTGACCCAAATGGCCGGGAAGGAACCTGAGGTCTCACCTGAATGGCCAGGAACTTCCTTCTAGTCTTCTGAGGCCTTGGGCCACTTGCTCTTGAGCTAAGGAGCTGCCCTCCTCCTTCTCCTCCTCCTCCTCCACTTCCGTGTGTACATCCAGCAAACGTAAAAATGTCAGTGCTACTTGTTGGGTCAGACCTGTGAGAACTGACAAGACCAGGAGTCCCTGGCCTTAGCTAATAATCGAATCCTCAGTGTCCCCAGTCCACAGGCCTTGTGGCAAACATGGTGGAAGCCCTCCTGTGTGCACAGGTACTGGGGTCCTGCTGTATAGGGTGCCAGGGTGCGAGGAGCAGGCAGTAAGGACACAGACGGGGATCCCAGTGGGCAGAGATGCCTAGGTCCTGCCAGTTGGGGTAGGATCTTGCAGTAGCTTAGGGGGCTTTAATCCTCCAAGCCCCATACACCTGCCTTCTTTTTATTTTATTTTAGTTTTTAGCAATAGGGTCACCCTCTGTCACCCAGGCTGGAGTGCAGTGGCGTGATCGTAGTTCACTGCAGCCTCAAACTCCTAGACTCAAGTCTTTTGAGTAGTTGGGAGTACAGGCATGTGCCACCATGCCCAGCCTTTTTTTTTTTTTTTTTTTTTTTTGAGACAGAGTCTCACTCTGTTGCCCAGGCTGGAGTGCAGTGGTGCGATCTTGGCTCACTGCCACCTCCACCTGCCAGGTTCAAGTGATTCTCCTGCCTCAGCCTCCCGAGTAGCTGTGATTACAGGTGCGCACCATCACACCCGGCTAATTTTTGTATGTTTAGTAGAAATGGAGTTTGGCCCTATTGGCCAGGCTGGTCTTGAACTCCTGACCTCAGGTGATCCGCCCTCCTCGGTCTCCCAAAGTGCTGGGATTATAGGCGTGAGCCACCATGCCCAGGGGCCCAGCCAGCCCATTTTTTAAAAATTATCACTTTTTGTAGAGATGGGGTCTTGCTATGTTGCCCAGGCTGGTCTCCAACTCCTGGCCTCAGGCTATCCTCCCGTCTCGGCCTTCCCAAAGCATTAGGATTACAGGCATGAGCCACCGCACCCGCCTGGCCTTACACCTGTCTTCTGCTAGACCTGGGGCAGCATCGCGGGTGGTGGAGGCCCCACTTTCTGCATTTAACAGTTTCTAAAGCGGATTCTGGAGCGGGCAGAAAAAACGCTAGGGGAAGGGCTGGTCCCCTTCCCGCTGCTGGCTCACCCTCTGATAGACTTGGCCTTGGCTTATCTCCTGGAGTCCTGTTCTTTTAGCTTTTCCTGCTGAATGCATTCCAGAAACCTCTGGAGGGAGGGAGTCCCGAGCTCCTGGCACAGTGGCTGAGACCTACTTGTTGGGCAGACTAGGTGGAATGTCCCCTTTTCTGGAGCTGGGAGGAGACCTCAGAGAGTGGGACGGGGTCTTTCTTGCGGGGACCTGTGGCCACGGAGCGGGAGGGAGGCGAGTGCAGTTTCCCTCCTGCCCTCTCCTCCTGCCTTCCGGGTGCCTCTTCACGCCCTCCCTTTCCTTCCCTTCCTCCTCCTCCCGCGCTCTCTCTCCACTCCCCTCCCCCTACTCCCTCCGCTCGGTCCTTCCTATAGCTGTGCCGCCCCCCACCCCTTACCTAGCCAGAGCTGATCTTGACCTCTAGGATGGTGAGGGGGCCTGAGGCCTGGAGGCCGCCGTTGCTGGGTGCCTGGAAAAGAAACAAAACTGAAACTAATTGTACTTGTGGTGCAACTTCCGTCCCAGCCAGGGACACACCGACTCGCCTCGCACAGCCTCAGGCCCCGCCTTCCTCCCCACCCGGCCCCGTCCTCTCCCGCCAAGGCCCCCACCCCGGCAGGCAGCTGGCAGGCTTGGGCTGGAGTCCACCAGCCAGGTCGGCCTGTCAGTCCAGCCTCAGGGCTAAGTGTGTGTATGTCACAAACAGGGAACTACCTGAGGGCGGGTTCTCTGAGTAGAGGGTGGAGGGTCACAGGGTTTATTTGTGGGAAGAAATGAGAGCTCATCTGTGATTCAGAGACCAGGGTAACTAGACACATGGCCTCAGGGCGGGTCTGCAGATTTGCTAACACCTCAGGCAGGCAGGTGCCTGCAAAGCTTCAAGAGAGGCCTTTCATTCCATAAACCGTTGCTGAGCTGTAGGAGAGGCTGTGGGGGATCAGGTAAGAAGCCTCTTGCTGAGGGAACAGCACAGGCTTCCTGGAGAAGGCATCAATGAGATGAGTTTAAAGAAGGCGGGAGGATTGCTTCAGCCCAGGAGTTCAAGACCAGCTTGGGCAATATGGTGAGACCCAGTCTCCATAAAAAATTCGCTAGCCGTGCATGGTAGCGCATACCTGTAATCCCAGATACTCAGGAGACTGAGGCAGGAGAATCACTTGAACCTGGGAGGTCGAGGCTGCAGTGAGCCATGATGGTGACACTGCACTCCAGCCTGGATGACAGAGCAAGACCCTGTCTAAAAAATAAAACAGTAAGAGGGCATAGAGGGCTGGAGAACACTGAGAAGAATGTTCCTGTTCCAGGTACTGGGAGCAGCAAGGGTACATCCCCATTTAGGATGATGTGTGTGGAGAGGATACGAGAGTGTTGGCAGAGAAGCCTGCATTTTATCAAAAAAGACAAAAGAATCATTGCAGGAGATTTCCCTCAACATTTCATGAAAAAATAATTTTTATTTTGAGACAAAGCCTCGCTCTGTCGCCCAGGCTGGAGTGCAGTGGTGTGATCTTAGCTCACAGCAACCTCCGCTTCCCGGGTTCAAGCGATCCTCCTGCCTCAGCCTCCAAAGTAGCTGGGATTACGGGCACTCACTGCCACGCCCAGCTAATTTTTGTATTTTTAGTAGAGATGGGGTTTCACTATGTTGGCCAGGCTGGTCTCGAACTTCTGACCTCAAGTGATCCACCCACCTTGGCCTCCCAAAGTGCTGGGATTACAGGCGTGAGCCAACATGCACAGCCTCATTTTATGAAAAATTCAAAGCACAAAGAAGTTGAAAGAATTGCGGTGAACACCCATATCTCCACCACTTCTGTTCTACAATTATCATTTTACCGTAATTAATTCATGACATACCTATGCATGTTTGTACCTTTTTATCCACATGGCGGAATTTAAGTAGGAAACTGAAGCTGTAAGAGCTCACTCTGGCAGCAGCCGAGAGGACAGAAGGGAGCCTGACCTCAGGGTCCAGGTGAAAGGTGGAGGGGCTGAGACATAGATGCCAGAGAGGTAGGTGGAAATCCAAAAGAGAGAGGGTCACAGAGGCCAAGGCAGGAAATGCTGCACTTCTAGAAGGACGAGGGGGTCAGCACTGTTGAATGCTACCAACCAGACGGGCAACCAAGGTGAAGACAGAAAAACAGGCCAGGTGCAGTGGCTCACACCTGTAATCTCAGCACTTTGGGAGAATCACTTGAGGCCAGGAGTTCGAGACCAGCCTGGCCAACATGGCAAAACCTCGTCTCTACTAAAAAACAAAACAAAACAAAACAAAACCTAGCCTTCCTAGCTACTCGGTAGGCTGAGGCAGGAGAACTGCTTAAACCTGGGAGGCAGAGGTTGCAGCGAGCCTAGATCGCACCATTGCACTCCAGCCTGGGCAACAGAGTGAGACTCCATCTCAAAAAATATATATATTAGCTACCTGATGGCTCACACCTGAAGTCCCAGCTATTCAGGAGGCTGAAGCAGGAGGTTCGCTTGAGCCCAGGACTTCAAGGCTGCATGTGCCATGATCTATGCCACTGCACTCCAGCCTGGGTGACAGATCAAGACTCTCTCTACAAAAAAAAAAAATTAAAATTAAAATTAAATTCCCTGTTGTGAATCTCGTAAGGTCTTAATATAATGGTCAAGGAAGGCCATTATAAGGCTTCCAGCAGGGAAGTTTGGACTTTGTCCTATAGGTATTAGAGGGAGTGGCCAGCACAGACATTTGTTTGTTTGTTTTTTGTTTGTTTGTTTGCAGAGATGGGGTCTTTCTATGTTGCCTAGGCTAGTCCTGGGATTATAGGCATGAGCTACCAGGCCCGGCCCCCAGCAGAGGTTTTTAATCCTAAATTATAATGTGGATACTTTAAAACACTCATATCATCATTGTAACACAATTAACTATTTCTTTCCTGTGTGTATGTCCTTTGGTCTCTGTCCGTATTTTACATAATTATATTTACAGGGTACATATAATTTTGTCTATAAAACTTAGCCCTATACCAACTGGTAAACAAAATTATGAGGCCAGGTGTGGTGGCCCATGCTTGTAATCCCAGCACTTTGGGAGGCCAAGGTGGGAGGATTGCTTGAGTTCAGGAGTTTGAGACCAGCCTGGGCAACATACTGAGACCACCCCCGTCTCTACGGAAAAAATAAAAAATTAGAAAGAGGGCACATGTTCTCAGGATCTCCCGGGGCTGTGTCACAAGTCATTAAAAAAAATAATGTGCCTATAGTTCCAGCTACTTGGGAGGCTGAGGTGGGAGGATCGCTTGAGTCCCAGAGTTCAAGACCAGCCTGGGTTAACATTGAGGCAGAAATTTAAAAATAATAGTAATAATAAGTACTGCATTCATTCACTCCAAGAAAAGTAAAAGCCAAGGCCCAGAATGTGGGAAGATAAGGGTTAAAAAGAAAAGAAGAACAAATTTTCCTCTGCCTAACAAACTCACTTCAAGGACAGTTATAAGATAACGCTGCTCGAGAAGTCAAAACCAAAGGAATAGGTTCCAGACAGTCCCCCTCCGAAGCAAAGGTGAAGGAAAAAAAAAAAAAAAAGAAGGACAAATGTCTGTATTTAGCCAGTTCTTGTTTTTTCTTTCAATGCAGCTATACGGCCACCAGCTATGCAAGGCCATGAGTTATGCCAAGCCATCAGTTATGCTATAGATTATATGACCTGTTATTATATGATTAACTGTCTTTGTTTTGCTTCTATAAGTTTGCTTATAATAATCCCGCTCAGTCTTTGTTTAAGGCTCAGCTTTTTGGATGTGAATCCACTGAGCCAGCACACACCTTAAAATAAATATCCTCCTGTATTCACCCATACTGGTCTCTCTAGTCCTCTGCATCCCACAGCAACATACAGAGATCTCATCTCTAAAAACAAACAGGCCAGGCAGTGGCTCACACCTGTAATTCCAGCACTTTGGGAGGCTGAGGTGGGCAGATCACCTGAGGTCAGGAGTTCGAGACCACCCTGGCCAACATGGCAAAACCTCGTCTCTGCTAGAAATACAAAAATTAGCCAGGCGTGGTAGCATGCTCCTATAATCCCAGCTACTTGGGAGGTTGAGACAGGAGAATCACTTGAACCCAGGAGGCAGAGGTTGCAGTGAGTCAAGATCGCACCACTGCACTCCAGCCTGGGCAACAGAGTGAGACTCTGTCTTAAATAATAATAATAACAACAACAACAACAACAAACAAACAAAATTATGGGAGGCTATTGTGTGGACTGAACTCCTACATTAGACTCCTGCCAACCAGACCAAACCAAAATGGAGTCACTCATGCTAAATGCCACATCATCAAACCGAGAGTTTGAGGAAGCAGACAGATTCCCAAACAGACCAGTTTTTCTTGAAAACAAGGGATTCCAATCTACTTGAGTGAACATAATAAGGAAGTCCCCACTGCTTTAACCTTCCACAAAAGCAACATGAAGTAACCTAAGGTTAACCAATTAGCTTGTTTTTCTACTCTTCTGTTTCCTTGTTCCTTCCTTACAAACTCACTGTTCTGCAGTTACAGTGTGAGATCTCAGCATATTTCTTAGAATGGCAGGTGGCTCCCTTCATGAATGGCAAAAGCCCACTAGATCTATAACTAGAATTGTTGTAATGTTGTCATTTGACAAAATATTTTCTTTTCTTTTTTTTCTTTTTCTTTTTCTTTCTTTTTTTTTTTTTTGACAAGGTCTTGCTCTGTTGCCCGAACTGGAGTGCAGTGGCTCAATCTCAGCTCACTGCAACCTCCTCCTCCCAGGCTCAAACAATTCTCCTGCCTCAGCCTCCCGGGTAGCTGGGACTACAGGCACATGCCACCATGCCCAGCTAATTTTTGTATTTTTTTGTAGAGATATTAAAATTTTTTTTTCACTGTGTTGGCCAGGCTGGTCTCAAACTGCTGAGCTCTGGTGATCTGCCTGCCTCATCCTCCCAAAGTACTAGGATTGCAGGCATGAGCCACCACGCCCAGCTGACAAGATATTTTCTAGGATTTTACATATTCTTTGTAGTTTTTAGAATTAATGGCTTCATAAATTATCTGCCGTAATTTACTTAACGATTTAGTAATATGCTAGTAAACTGTCACCTCCTCTTAAAAAAAAAAAAACCCTGGGCCGGGCACAGTGGCTCACAGCTGTAATCCCAGCACTTTGGGAGGCCGAGGCGGGTGGATCACGAGGTCAGGGGATCAAGACCATCCTGGCTAACACAGTGAAACCCCGTCTCTACTAAAAAAGACGAAAAAATTAGCTGGGCGTGGTGGCGGATGCCTGTAGTCACAGCCACTCAGGAGGCTGAGGCAGGAGAATGCCATGAACCCAGGAGGCGGAGCTTGCAGTGAGCCGAGATCGCGCCACTGCACTCCAGCCTGGGCGACAGAGCGAGACTCCGTCTCAAAAAACAAACAAACAAACAAACAAAAATCATGCACACCACCACTATTTAACAACCAGCCCATAGAATTCTTTTTTAAATAATTTTTATTTATTATTTCTTATTGAAACAGGGTCTCGCTATGTTGGGCAGTGTGGTCTTGAACTCCTGGCTTCAGGTGGTCCTCCCGTGTCAGCCTCCCAAAGTGCTAAGCAATGAGCTCTCAAGGATCCAGTACCCTTTGGAAGCTTTCAGAATGTTCTTTGATCCCAGTGTTCAGAATTTCACAGTGAGTACATCCTGCTGGGCATGTAGTGGCTCTTTTAAATCTGCCAACATGGCTGGGCACAGTGGCTCACGCCTGTAATCTCAGCACTTTGGGAGGCTGAGGTGGGTGGATCACTTGAGGTCAGGAGTTCGAGACCAGCCTGGCCAACATGGTGAAACCTCATCTCTACTAAAATACAAAATTAGCCGGGTGTGGTGGCGGGGCGTCTGTAATCCCAGCTACTCTGGAGGCTGAGGCAGGAGAATCCCTTGAGTGGGGAAGGCGGAGGTTTCTGTGAGGTGAGATTGTGCCATTGCATTCATTGCACTCTAGCCTGGGCAACACAGTGAGACTCCATCTCAAAAAAAAAAAAATCTGCCAACAGGTGCCTTGAGGTGTGGGAAATTCTCTCAAGGATTTTGTGGAAATTCTCTCCCCTCCATTTTCTCTGCTTCTTCCTCTGAGCTCTCACCATTCAGAGTTGCGCCTCCTGAGTGATTCCTCTAATTTTATATTTTCTCTTCTCTTTTCTTTTTCCTGTTTCTTTTTTTTTTTTTTTTTTTTTTTGAGATGGAGTTTCGCTCTTGTTGCCCAGGCTGGAGTGCAATGGCGTGATCTCGGCTCACCGCAACCTCCGCCTCCCAGGTTCAAGCAATTCTCCTGCCTCAGCCTCCCGAGTAGCTGGGATTACAGGTATGTGCCACCATGCCCAGCTGATTTTGTATTTTTAGTAGAGACGGGGTTTCTCCATGTTGGTCAGGCTGGTCTCGAACTCCCGATCTCAGGTGACCCGCCCGCCTCGACCTTCCAAAGTGCTGGGATTACAGGCATGAGCCACTGCGCCCGGCTTTTTTTTTTTTCCTGCTTTCTGGATGACTTCCTTAATTAAAACCTTCCAACCCTTCTATTGTGTCTTTCAAATCTGCCATCACGGTTTTTTGTTTGTTTGAGAGGGTCTCGCTCTGTCGCCTAGGCTGGAATGCAGTGGCTCAATCTTAGCTCACTGCAACCTCTGCGTCCTGGGTTCAAGAGATTCTTCGGCCCCAGCCTCCCGAGTAGCTGGGAATACAGGCGCGTGCCACCACGCCTGGCCAATTTTTGTATTTTTAGTAGAGATGGGGTTTCACCATATTGGCCAGGCTGGTCTTGATTTCCTGACCTCATGATCCGCCCACCTCGGCCTCCCAAAGTGCTGAGATTACAGGTGTGAGCCACTGCACCTGGCCTGAAGCCATAGTAATTGGAAGGTTTTAATTAAGGAAATCATCCAGAAAGCAGGAAAAAAAAAAAAAGAAAGAAAGAAATAGGAGTACAGTGGCACGATCTAGGCTCACTGGAACCTCCACCTCCCGGGTTCAAGAGATTCTCCTTCCTCAGCCTCTTGAGTAGCTGGGACTACGGGCGCCCACCTGGCTAATTTTTGTATTTTTAGTGGAGATGGAGTTTCACCATGTTGGCCAGGCTGGTCTTGAACTCCTGACCTCAGCCTTGGCCTCCCAAAGTTCAGGGATTACAGGCGTGAGCCACTGCACCCAGCCAAAAAAATAAAAAATATTTTTTAAAAATTGCATAGAACTATGCAGACACACACACACACATACATGCACACACACACATGAGTGCATGTAAAAACTACTGCAATCTGAGTAAGATCTGTAGTCTAGTTAATGGTATTGGACCAATGTCAATTTCTTTATTTTTATAATGTACTGTATCAGGATTGTGTTGGCAATTACTCGACTATGTACACTTGTCAAAACTCATTGAACTATATACTTAAATGGATGGTTTTTAGTTTATATAAATTATAGCCCAATGAAGCAAATTTTAAAATATAAAATATTAGGCCAGGCGTGGTGGCTCATGCCTGTAATCCAGCACTTTGAGAGGCCAAGGCAGGTGGATTACTTGAGGTCAGGAGTTTGAGACCAGCCTGGCCAAGATGGTGAAACACTGTCTCTACAAAAATACAAAAATTAGTCAGGCCTGGTGGCGGGCGCCTGTAATCCAGCTGCTTGGAAGGCTGAGGCAGGAAAATCGCTTGAACCTGGGAGGTGGAGGTTGCAGTGAGCTGAGATCGTGCCACTGCACTCCATCCTGGGCGACAGAGTGAGATTCTACATCAAAAAAAAAAAAAAAAGAAAAAAAGAAAAGAAAAGAAAAGAAAAAGAAAAAAGAAGAAAAAAGAAAAAAAAAGAAAAGAAGAAAAAAAAGTAAAATTGTAATCCTAGGCCCATCCCTCTTCTCCCAGTGCCAAGGCTTCAGGATCAGATGTGTAGTGATAGCGAAACATGTGTGGCAGCCCAGGTAGCCTCTTTTTACCTTTTATCCTATAAACCTCTCTGACTTTTGAAGCTGTGATCACTTCCTTCTCAAAACTCACGCCTCTCTAGGTCGACGCCCCCTCTTCCCCCTCCTCCTCTGCCCCCTCCCCTCTGCCCTGCTGGCTTCTCTTCCTCTGCCTGTTCCCCAATTGCTAGGCATACCTGTGCTCCCAGTGCCCGCAGCACCATCCACTCTGAACCATCTTTGCCATCCAGGCCCACTAGAGGGAGCTCTGTCCCCTGCTAACGCTGCCTGCTGGCTCCGGGCGATAGTCAATTACCCAGTCACCCATAAAAACCACCTTTCCTTCATCCAGTAAACCATAATGTTGCCACGGCAACTACTGCCTTCCTTGTCTTTTCCTCCTTAGCCAATTCTGTGGACTAATTCTAGAATGACTGTTCTTGCGTGGTCACTCTCCCCATCAGTGTCCATAGCAGCTCTTATAAGACCCCATGACAATACCATGTCCCTGCATGTTCAGCTGTGCCAGGCAGCTGGAGAAGGGCAGGGACGGTGCATAGACCAGTGGGCAGAGCCTGGGGAGGTCCCTGTCAGCCTGTGGTTGCTCCTGCCAATCATCATAGGCCCTATGTGTCCCTTCTAGGCTGCCAGACCCAGGGGCCCATCCTCAGTTCCTGTTTGTTCTGTTTTGTGAGACGGAGTCTTGCTCTGTCGCCCAGGCTGGAGTGCAGTGGCGTGATCTCGGCTCACTGCAACTTCCACCTCCTGGGTTCATGCATCTCCTGCCTCAGCCTCCTGAGTAGCTGGGATTACAGGCGCCCGCCACCACACTTGGCTAATTGTTGTATTTTTTAGCAGAGATGGGGTTTCACCATGTTGGCCAGGCTGGTCTTGAACTCCTGACCTCAGGTGATCCGCCCATCTCAGCCTCCCAAAGTGCTGGGATTACAGGCATGAGCCACAGTGCCTGGCCTCCAGTTCCTGTTTATACCAGGAAAACTCCCTCAAAGATTCCATTTTCTCCTTTTACTACTCCTTCCACCAGGGTCTCAGATATAACATCTAAAGAAGCACCAAAAATGTTACTAATCAGCATACATTTTTTGTGGATATGTTAATAATTAATATTTCAATGCAATACTTAAAAAATAAAATTACAAGACATCCATAATAAACATAATATCACAATTTTAAGTAAAGACAGAGTCAGTGTTACTGAGATTTCCTTTTGCCACTAGATCCTTTTAGCATATTTTCCATCTTTTGTTCTTGTTTTTGTTTTTGTTTTTAGAGACAGGGTCTTGCTCTGTCACCCAGGCTGCAGTGCAGTGCTGTGACCATAGCTCACTGCAGGCTTGAACTCCCAGGCTCAAGCGATTTTCTCACTTCAGCCTCCCGAGTAGCTGGGATTACAGGCACATGCTGCCACAGCTAGCTAATTTTTTGTATTTTTAGTAAAGACAGGGTTTCACCGTGTTCCCCAGGCTGATCTCAAACTCCTGAGCTCAGGCAATCCACTCGCCTCAGCCTCCCAAAGTCCAAAGTGCTGGGATTACAGGAGTGAGCCACTGCACCCGGCTATTTTATCTTTTGTAGAGATGGGGGGGGGTCTCACTGTGTTGCCCAGGCTGGTCTCAAACTCCTGGCCTCAAGTGATCCTCCCGCCTTGGCCTCTCAAAGTGCTGGGGTCACAGTAGAGACACAGTGCCTAGCCTATTTCCCATCTTAAAAACACAAGAGGCCGGGTGCAGTGGCTCACGCCTGTAATCCCAGCACTCTGGGAGGCCGAGGTGAGGGGATCACAAGGTCAGGAGTTCGAGACCAGCCTGGCCAAAATGGTGAAACCCCATCTCTACTAAAAATACAAAAATTAGCTGGGCGTGGTGGCCGGCACCTGTAATCCCAGCTACTCAGGAGGCTGAGGCAGGAGAATCGCTTGAGCCCGGGAGATAGAGATTGCAGTGAGCCGAGATCGCTCCACTGCACTCCAGCCTGGGCGACAGAGTGAGACTCCATCTCAAAAATAAATAAAAATTAAAAAAACAACAACAACAACACAAGAAAGCCAGTTCCCTGCTTGACCTTGCATGCCCCTACCAGTGAACAATGTCTGCCTTTGTTCTCCTTTTTCTCTGGGACCCACTCCAGACAGGCTCTTGTTTTCAACACTCCAGGGAAGCTGTTCTGGACAAGGTCATCAATCACCTCCCCATTGTCTGTGCTCCTCTTACTCAACTGTAGTATTTGACAGAGGAAGTCGCTTCCTCCTTGAAACTCTCTTCTCTTGGTATCTTGGCCTCTCATCTCCGTTGGTTCTCTTCCTACCCCCTGGCTATTCCTTCTCTGGGTTCTTCTACCATCCTGACCCTAAACATCAGCATGCGTTTAGACCTCCTCTCTGTCCACACTCCCTCCTTGAGGGATCCCATCCGGTCTTACGGCTTTAAATGACTGCCGTAGTCCATTTTGTGTTGCTATTAAAAAAAATACCTGAGGCTGGGTGATTGATTGATTGATTGAGATGGAGTCTCACTCTGTAGCCCAGGCTGGAGTGCAGTGGCATGATCTCAGCTCACTGCAACCTCCACCTCCCAGGTTCAAGTGATTCTCCTGCCTCAGCCTCCTGAGTAGCTGGGATTACAGGCACGTGCCACCATGTCCAGCTAATTTTTGTATTTTTAGTAGAGACGGAGTTTCACCATGTTGGCCAGGCTAGTCTTGAACTCCTGACCGCAGGTGATCCACCCCCTTCGGCCTCCCAAAGTGCTGGGATTACAGGCGTGAGTCACCTCGCTTGGTCAGAGGCTGGGTAATTTATAAAGAAAAAAGTTTTATTTGGCTCATGATTCCGATGGCTAGGAGGTTCAAAACTGGGCAGTTGTATCTGGTGAGGGCCTCTTTTGTAGAGATGAGGTCTCACTGTGTTGCCTAGGCTGGTCTCAGACTGCTGGGCTCAAACTATCCATCCACCTTGGCCTCCCAAAGTGTTGCTTCCAATTATGGAGGAAGGTGAAAGAGAGCTGGCGTGTGCAGAAATCACATCATGAGAGAGAAAGCAAGAGCGACGGGGGAGAGGTGCCAGGCTCTGTTTAACAACCCTGCTCTTGAGGGAGCTAATAGAGTAAGAACTCACTCACTTCCCATTCAGGGAAGACATTAATCTATTCATAAGGGATCTGACCCAAGACCCAGACACCACCCATTAGGCCCCACCTCCAACACTAGGATCAAATTTCAACATGATGTCAGATGTGGTGGCTCACGCCTGTAATCCCAGCACTTTGGGAGGCCAAGGTGGATGGATAGCTTGAGCCTAGGAGTTTGAGACCAGCCTAGGCAACACAGTGAGACCTCATCTCTACAAAAAATACAAAAATTAGCTGAGTGTGGTGGTGCATGCCTGTAGTCCTAGCTACTTGGGAGGCTGAGGTGGGAGGATCACTCGAGCCCAGGAGTTTGAGGCTGCACTGAGCCATGATCATGCCACTGCACACCAGCCTGGGCAACAGAGCAAGACCCTATTAAAAGAAAAAAAAAAAAAGCAAATTTCAACATGAGGTTTGGAGGTGTAAAACACCCAAACCATAGCAATGATATTATATCCATCCTTTATAGAATGGTAATTTCTTTTTTTTTTGAGATGGAGTCTTGCTCTTGTCATCCAGGCTGGAGTGCAATAGTGAATTCTTGGCATATTGCAGCCTCCGCCTCTTGGGTTCAAGTGATTCTCCTGTCTCAGCCTCCCGAGTAGCTGGGATTACAAGCACATGCCACCACACCTGGCTAATTTTTGTATTTTTAGTAGAAATGAGGTTTCACCATATTGGCCAGGCTGGTCTCGAATTCCTGACCTCAGGTGATCCGCCTGCCTTGGCCTCCCAAAGTACTGGGATTACAGGTGTGAGCCACTGTGCCTGGCCTAGAATGGTATTTCTCAATTTTCATCTCCAGACCAGACCTCCCCCCGACTTCCAGATTCATGTCCCACGGATGGCCCCACTGGACTTATCTACTTGTAGGTCTAACAGGCATCCCATTCTTAATATGCCCCAAAATGGATCTCTAGTCTCTTCCACCCCAACCTGCTCCCTCCCCACTCTCCCAGACATCACCATCTCTGAAATGCAAATCCATCCTTCCAGGTACTCAGGCCAGATCTCTCGTTGTCATCCTTGACTGCTCTTTTTTCCATTGCAGTGTGTACCCAGACCATTAGCGAACTTGTCAGCTCTGCCTTCAAAATGCATCCAGCATCCAACCTCTCCTCCCCTCCTCCACCAACCTTACACAGAGAAGAGCTACTGTCACCTCTGGCTTGAACCACTGCAGTAACCTCCTCACTGGCCTTTGAGTGTTTTTGTTCTTGCTTTCCTTTGATATTTACTGAGATATATTTTATTGGACTAATTATGGACTTATAAACATCTCATGCGTGCTTGAGAAAAATGCATCTTCTTTCAATTTCTGGGACCAGAATTGTGTGTGTGTATATATATATGTGTGTGTGTGTGTGTGTGTGTGTGTATATAATGAATATATATATTCATTAAATCAACTTTATAACTTTTAATTCCTCTCTATTATTTCTTCTTCTTCTTCTTCTTCTTCTTCTTCTTCTTCTTCTTCTTCTTCTTCTTCTTCTTCTTCTTCTTCTTCTTCTTCGTCTTCTTCTTCTTCTTCTTGTTGAGACAGGGTCTCGCTCTGTCACTCAGGCTGGAGTGCAGTGGTGCAATCATAGCTCACTGCAGCCTCAGCCTCCTTGGCTCAAGCCATCCTCCTTCCTTAGCCTCCCAAGTTGCTGTGACTACAGGTGTGTGGCACCATGCCCAGCTAATTTTTAAATTTTTTTTTTTTTTTGAGATGGAGTCTCACTCTGTCACCCAGGCTGGAGTCCAGTGGCGCGATCTCGGCTAATTTTTTGTATTTTTTAGTAGAGATGGGGTTTCACTGTGTTAGCCAGGATGGTCTCGATCTCCTGACCTCGTGATCTGCCCGCCTCGGCCTCCCAAAGTGCTGGGATTACAGGCGTGAGCCACCGCACCCTGCCAAGAAATGGAGTATTTGAATAAACTATTGATAAACATGAACTAATGACAATTATTTATACATACATTTTTTGAAACAGGGTCTTGCTCTGTTATCCAGGTTTGAGTGCAGTGGTGCCATCATGGCTCACTGAGGCCCCGACCTCCCAGGCTCAAGCAATCCTCTCACCCCAGCCTCCCGAGTAGCTGGGACTACAGGCACCTGCCGCCATGCCCAGTTCATTTTTAGATTTTTTGTAGAGACAGAATCTCTTTAGGTTACCCAGGCTGGTCTCAAACTCCTGTGCTTGAACGATTCTCCTGCCTTGGCCACGGAAAGCTCTGGGCTTACGGTGGTGAGCCCCTTTGCCAGGCAGTCTGCTTTCAGGTTTTTAAGACCTATCCACAGGCGAGTTTCTCTAGGAGGTGCATTGCTGGGTCATTCGGTTTACGTATAACTTAGTTTTTACTACTGAGCCAGATGCTGTCCGGATGACTGTGCCCACCTGTGCTCCCGCCAGTTCCCATGTCTCCAGAGTCGCCCTGCCATCAGATGGGTATAAAATTACCAATTACCGGTGAGACTGAATACCTTCTAACATGTTTGTTAGCCATTTAGGTTTCATAATCTTTGCCTTCCCTGGTGGTCTAGTGAGTAGAATAATAATATCATCTAAAAGAAAAGTAAAAAAAAAAAAAAAAAGAAATAATTATCTTTTCTTATTTTTCTTTGAGTTGTTCCCCTTCCTTCCTTCCCTCCTTTCCTTCCTTCCTTCCTTCCCCTCTCTTCTTTTCTTTCTTTCCAGGTTCTTGCCCTGTTACCTAGGCTGGAATGCGGTGGTGCGATCTGAACCTCAACCTCCTGGGCTCAAGTGATTCTCTCACCTCAGCCTCCTAAGCAGCTGGGAATACAGGCATATGCCACCACACCTGGCTACTTTTTGTTTGTTTGTTTGTTTGTTTGTTTGTTTTTATTTTTGTAGAGACAGGGTCTTGCCGTGTTGCCCAGGCTGGTCTCAAACTCCTGCCCTCAAGTGATCTACCCACCTCGGCCTCCCAAAGTTCTGGGATTACAGGCGTGAGCCACCACGCCCGGCTGGGTTGCTTGTCATTTTCTTATTGATTTATGGGAGTTTCTTGGATATTCATCGCTTGTCAATGTCAGACATTGCACGGGTCTTTTCCCAGGGAGATGTTCGTATCTTAACTGTTTCTGCAGTGCTCTTTGTTGAACAGAAAACTTATTTTTCCATATGGTTTGTGTTCGGGGGATCCAGCTCAAAAAGTCTTTCCCTATACAAAAGTCTCAAAGGGATTCTCCTACATTTTCGGCTGTTAGTTTTGTACTTTTCTGTTTCACATTTAGGTCTGAGCCTTTTGGGAGTTCACCTCTGTGATGGGTTTGTTAGTCTTTTGCTATTGATTTTTGTTTGTTTGTGTTTGAGATGGAGTCCTGCTCTGTCACCCAGGCTGGAGTGCAGTGGCGTGATCTCAGCTCATTGCAACCTCTGCCTCCCAGGTTCAAGTGATTCTCCTGCCTCAGCCTCCCCGGTAGCCGGGATTACAGATGCCCACCACCACACCCGGCTAATTTTTTTTTTTTTTTGAGACAGAGTTTTGTTCTTGTTGCCCAGGCTGGAGTGCAATCGTGCCATCTCAGCTCACTGCAGCCTCTGCCTCCCGGGATCAAGCGATTCTCCTGCCTCAGCCTCCCAAGTAGCTGGGACTACAGGCACTCACCACCAAGCCTGGTTAATTTTTTTTCTCTTTTTTTAGTAGAGACGGGGTTTTACCATGTTGACCAGGCTGGTCTTGAACTCCTGACCTCAAGTGAACTGCCGGCCTCGGCTTCCCAAAGTGCTGGAATTACAGGTGTGAGCCACCATGCCTGGCCTGCTATTGATTTTTAATGTTTATGATAATGAAAAACCATAATTTCTGCCAGGCAAATTTTTTGTAATTTACTGAGGTTCCTTGTAACCCAGAACATGGTCAACATCTGTTAATGGTTCATATGGGGCCCTCTTGAGGCCCTGACTCAAAAACAAACAAGCAAAATCCGAAAGAATAGAAACAGAAAAGATGAGATCCACAGAACACATTCATGTATATAAACTTAAGACACAGAGATTAAACAGTATAATATAACTTTCAAAACTATATTAATAAGGCTGGGTGCGGTGGCTCACGTCTGTAGTCCCAGCACTTTGGGAGGCCAAGGTGGGCGGGATCACTTGAGCCCAGGAGTTTGAGACCAGCCTGGGCAACATGGCAAAACCCTGTCTCTACAAAAAATACAAAAATAGCTGGGCGTGATGGTGTGCGCCTATAGTCCCAGCTACTTGCGGGGGCTGAGATGGGAGGATCATTTGAGCCCAGGAGTTTGAGACCAGCCTGGGCAAAAGGGCAAAACCCTTTCTCTACAAAAAATACAAAAATTAGCTGGGCGTGGTGGTGTGCACCTATAGTCCCAGCTCCTTGCAGGGGCTGAGATAGGAGGATCACTTGAGCTCAGGAGATGGAGGCTGCAGTGAGCTGTGATCGCACCACTGCACTCCAGCCTGGGTAAAAGAATGAGACCCTGTTTCAAAAAAAGACTATATTAATATACATATATATGTGTATATATATATATATATTTTTTTTTTTTTTTTTTGAGACGGAGTCTCTCTCTGTCACCTAGGCTGGAGTGCAGTGGCGCAATCTCAGCTCACTGCAACCTCCGCCTCCTGGGTTCAAGCGATTCTTCTGCCTCAGCCTCCCGAGTAGCTGGGACTACAGGCGTGTGCCACCACACCCTGCTAATTTTTTTCTATTTTTAGTAGAGACGGAATTTCACTGTGTTAGCCAGGATGGTCTCGATCTCCTGAGCTTGTGATCCACCTGCCTCAGCCTCCCAAAGTGCTGGGATTACTGGTGTGAGCCACCACACCTGGTTTATTAATGTATTAATGCATACTTAATATATATTAAGTGAATTGGAGTGAGTGGGCAACGATGGAGGCGGGGAGGTAGAAGGCACAGGAGTGTAGTGGGGAATCTGATGAGGGATGAGTCTTGTTCAGACTGTTGGCAATGAAATGATCTGAGATGTGTAACCAGCTCGGCCCTCTGCATTGAGGGTCAGTCAAAAGTCCTCTAGGCCGAGTGCAGAGGCTCACGCGTGTAATCCCAGCACTCTGGAGAATCCCTTGAGGCCAAGAGTTCATGACCAACCTCGGCAACATGGCAAAGCCCCCATCCCTACAAATAGTTTAAAAATTAGCTGGCTGTGGTGGCGTGCGTCTGTGGTCCCAGCTACTCAGGAGGCTGAGGCAGGAGGATGACCTGAGCCCAGGGGGTGGAGGCTGTAGTGAGCCAAGATCACGCCACTAAACTCCAGAGTGGGTGACAGAGCAAGACTCTGTCTCGAAGGAAGAAGAAGAAGAAAAAAAAAGGCTGGGTATGGTAATGCTTGCAATCCCAGCATTAATTACATGCTTGTAATCCCTTACTTTGTGAGGCTAAGGCGGGTGGATCACTTGAGGTCAGGAGTTCGAGACCAGCTTTGCCAACATGGTGAAACCCTGTCTCTACTAAAAATTAAAAAAAATTAGCTGGGTGTAGTGGTACACAGGAGCTACTCGGGAGGCTGAGGCAGGAGAATCGTCTGAGCCCAGAAGGCGGAGATTGCAGTGAGCCGAGATTGTGCCACTGCACTCCAGCCTGGGCAGCAAGAGTGAAACTCCATCTCAGAAAACAAAACAAAACAAAACAAAACAAAACAGAGGGAAATTGGCTGGGAGTGGTGGCTTACGCCTGTAATCGCAGCACTTTGGGAGGCCAAGGCAGGTGGATCACCTGAGGTCAGGAGCGCGAGATCAGCCTGGCCACCATGATGAAACCCTGTCTCTACTAAAAATACAAAAATTAGCCGGGTGTGGTAGCAGATGCCTGTAATCCCAGCTACCCAGGAGGCTGAGGCAGGAGAATCGCTTAGACCTGGGAGGTGGAGGTTGCAGTGAGCCGAGATTGCACCATTGCACTCTAGCCTGGGTAACAGAGCGAGACTCTGTCTCAAAAACAATAAAAAAAATAGAGGGAAATTGATTCACAGAGACAGGCCTGCAGTGGCAATGCCATATGAAGACGAAGGCAGGGATTGGAGTGATGCTTATACGAGCCAAAGAATGCAAAAGATTGCCAGCCGACCACCGGGAGCTGGGGGGAGAGGCATGAACAGATTCTCCCTATGGGCCTCATAGAGAACCAGCCCCGCGGATACCCTGGTCTTGGACTTCTGTCCATCAGAACTGTGGGACAATAGATTTCTTTTGTTAAAGACCATCAGTGTAGTACTTTGTGATGGCGGCCCCAGGGAACTAGTATGAGCAGTTAGCTCCGCCCCGAGGTGTGTATGAGGTCTTGATCTGGTGCCTGGAGGATGAATCTTGTGGGGACAGCCGGGCTCACCCTCAGGCTCCTGGGCTCAGCCTGCCCTCCAGGTTTAAGCAGCGAAGCCACAGCAAACCCTTGGCCGTTTTAGCTTCAAATCAGTGCAGTGGTGCTCTGCGGCATCTCTGACTTGTTGAACCAAATTTCAGGCCTGGATATTCTCAACTCGGGTGTCTGCAACGCAGCCTCCTTCCGTAAGGGAGGAAGATGAGAAAATGCTGAATGCTTGGGCCTCTCAACTCTGACATGAGAATGCCCAAGAGGTCGTCTCTGCTGCGTCCATCTGGTCTACCTCTGCAGCATAGAAAGAGATACTTCCAGTGCTGTTGACAGAGGCTTCTCCCTGCTCAGGGCAGAGAATCCCAACACTGTGTATGTGTCAGGAGAAACCTGGCTCTGCCAGCCATGAGCCTGGGCTTGGACTGGTATTAGAGACGGGCAGTCCGCTTGCCTGAGCGTGCTATCATAGTGGGAAGCAAACATGCACAGGGCCTGGCCCAGTGGCTCATGCCTGTAATCCTAGCACTTTGGGAGGCTGAGGCAGGAGAATCACTTGAACCCAGGAGGCAGAGGTTGCAGTGAGCCGAGATTGCACCAGCGCACTCCAGCCTGGGCGACAAGAGTGAAACTCCGTCTCAAAAAAAAAAAAAAAAAAAAATCAAGGGAAATATGATTGCATCTGCAAGGCTGGAGGCCACAGTTACCAGGGATGACAGGGCTCCAGCCCCTGGCAAGCCCTGCATGGTGGCCTGAGGGCTGTGGTCTCACTCTCTCTGGAAGCCTGGAACCCTTTCAGGGCATGCTGGGTTGAGAAACGGAGGTTGGGGAGCTATGAATTAATGTGTATGCATGAATCCTGGTACCAGCCCTGACTTATACCAATGGCTCACAAAGGGCTGCGTGATTATTGCAATCAGGGCAATTTTGGAAGGCATGGGAAATGCCTCCACCTGGCAGGGGCTATCAGTGGCCTGTGTTGGTCATGGAGAATAAAGTCATGCAGTCCTCACCTGGCATTACGGGCCCTCTTTTCCCAAAGATTCACAGTTTGAATTTTTATTTATTTATTTATTTTGAGACGGAGTCTCACTCTGCCGCCCAGGCTGGACTGCAGTGGTGCGATCTTGGCTCACTGCAAGCTCCGCCTCCCGGGTTCACACCATTCTCCTGCCTCAGCCTCCCGAGTAGCTGGGACTACAGGTGCCCACCACCACACCCGGCTAATCTTTTTGTTTTTGTTTTTGTTTTTGTTTTTGTTTTTTGTATTTTTAGTAGAGACAGGGTTTCACCGTGTTAGTCAGGATGGTCTCGATCTCCTGACCTCGTGATCTGCCCGCCTCGGCCTCCCAAAGTGCTGGGATTACAGGGGTGCGCCACTGCGCCTGGCCCAGTTGCTCTTGACCTTAGCACACCACAGCTCCTGGAACTCCACCTTGATGATGCTGACTTGACTGCCTGCCCCCTCTTCCCCTGCGCTGCCTCCCGCCCTTGGCTCCCACCAGGAGGCACTGAGCTAATCAGGCTGATGATCACCCAGGTTCAATTCCACTTTCCCTGGCTACGACCTGCTGTAAATTTCCTTAGCTTCCTGGCTCCCCTGTGAGTCCTGCCTCTCATCAGGCGGTCTGACTTAGGAAGCCGCCAGCTCCCCGACCTGCTGTATCATCGCAGATGAATCAGGCTTGCCTACCTTGGGGGTGTCATTTCAACAGGCCCTACAGAGTCACATCACCCACCGCAGCAAAGCACGACTGGTCACGTCTTCCCCCGGGTCTAGCACAACCTCTGGAGATCTAAACGGCAAGACCCCTCCTGTTCTTCAAAAGCCGTGTTATAATCTGCCTGCAAGAGAGCTGAATTTTACAAGATGCTTTGGAAAATGATTTCCCTCATCTCCATGCATCCCCAGGCGGGGGGAGAGGCATACATTTTCATTTATTGGTCAGGAGATGGTCCTTGAACTTCCAGCCTCCTGTCATTCTTGCCCCACCCCCAGGGTGTCTGGTGACTGAGGGTGACCTGAAAAGACTCAGAAGAGGAGAAGGAGAAAGATCAGACGCTGTGTTTATGCTCAAGCCAAGGGCCCCCTGGGATGCAGAAATAAGCTCTGCTTACCATTCCATTTGTCTTGATCCCTTCCAGAAAGGGAGAGGCTCGGCCGTGGGAGGAAAGCAGAAGACAGAGAGCCCCAGGGGGCCCACAGCTTGCACTGCCTGAGCTGGGCTCTGTGGCCCACAGGGGCTGGCTTTCTGTGGGGTTGGTGTAAGCATGCGTGAAGTAACCAGAACAAGTGAGAACTTGGTCACGTCGTGTTGATACAAGCCCAAAAGGATTATAAGAAGGACAGGGTGAATGTAACAGGAGACGGTTTTTTGTTTTTGTTTGAGACGGAGTCTCCCTCTGTTGCGCAGGCTGGAGAGCAGTGGCATGATCTCGGCTCAATACAACCTCTGCCTCCCAGGTTCAAGCAATTCTTCTGCCTCAGCCTCCCAAGTAGCTGGGATTACAGGCACCCGCCATCATGCCCGGCTAATTTTTGTATAGCCGGAGTTTCACCATGTTGGCCAGGCTGGTCTTGAACTCCTGCCCTCAGGTGATCCACCCACCTCGGTCTTCCAAAGTGCTGGGATTACAGCGTGAGTCACTACGCCCAGCCAGTAGATGTTTAAAAAACTTTGTGGATACGCCTGTAATCCCAGCACTTTGGGAGGCCAAGGTGGGTGGATCACTTGAGGTCAGGAGTTCCAGACCAGCCTGGCTAACATGGTGAAACCCCCCACCATCTCTACTAAAAATAACAAAAATTAGCTGGTGTGATGGCAGGTGCTTGTAATCCCAGCTACTAGGGAGGCTGAGGCAGGAGAATTGCTTGAACCTGGGAGGTGGAGGTTGCAGTGAGCTGAGTTCATGCCACTGCACTCCAGCCTGGGTGACAGAGTGAGACTCTGTCTTAAGAAACAAAACAAAACAAACAAACAAACAAAAACAACTTTGTGGAGATGAGTTGTTTTTGTTTTTTGTCTTGAGATGGGATCTTGCTCTGTGGCCCAGACTGGAGTGCAGTGACATGATCATAGCTCACTGCAGCCTCCAACTCCTGGGCTCAAGTGATCCTCCCACTTCAGCCTCCCGAGTAGCTGGGACTACAAGTGTGCACCACCATCCCTGGCTAATTTTTTGTAGAGATGGGGTCTTGCTATGTTGTCCAGGCTGGTCTTGAACTCCTGGGCTCAAGCAATCCTGCTGCCTCGGCCTCCCAAAGTGTTGGGATTACAGGCATGAGCCACTGTGCCTGGCCAAGAGAGATGAGTTTGTTTGTTTGTTTGTTTGTTTGTTTTTGAGACAGGGTCTCACTCTGTTGCCCAGGTTGAAGTGCAGTGGTGTGATCTCAGCTGACTGCAGCCTCGACAATCCAGGCTCAAGCAATCCTCTCACCTCAGCTTCCCAAGTAGCTGGGACTACAGGCACGCACCACCATGCCCAGCTAATTTTAAGACTTTTTGTAGAGATGGAGTATCACCATGTTGCCCAGGCTGGTCTTGAACTCCCAAGCTCAAGTGATTCTCCTGCCTCAGCCTCCCAAAAAGGGGAGGGATTACAGGCATGAGCCACTGTGCCTGGCCAAGGGAGAGAAGTTTTAATTAAAGTTAACAAGCATTCAGGGCATCTTCTATGCACAAGGCACGGTGTTAGGTGCTGTGGGGTACAGAAAGTAACAAAGCCTCATCCTCACCCTGGAGCGAACAAGGGGAAATGATGAACGCAATGAGAGAAGTAGACAAAGGTGGTATCAGAGAGGGCTTCCTGGAGGAAGTGGAATTGGAGTTGCAGGATGGGTCAGGTTCTAGAGAGAGATATGTGGGAAGAGGAGGGTAGAGAAGCGGCCGGGAGGCCGAGTGCAGTGGCTCATGCCTATAATCCCAGCACTTTGGGAGGCCAAGACAGGTGGATCACCTGAGGTCAGGAGTTCGAGATCAGCCTGGCCAACATGGAGAAACCCCGTCTCTAATAAAAATAGGAAAATTAGCTGGGTGTGGTGGCACGTGCCTGTAATTCCAGCTACTGGGGAGGCTAAGGCAGGAGAATTGCTTGAGCCTGGGAGGCGGAGGTTGCAGTGAGCCGAGATCACACCACTGCACTCCAGCCTGGGCGACAGAAGGAGACTCTGCCTAAAAAAAATAAAAAAAAAAAGAAGGAGCTGCAGGGTGGCAGTTCGACAACCCACGTGCCACGTGGCCTGGGACATGGGTGGGTGGTGGAAGAGATGGAGTCAGGAGGAAAATGAGATCAGATTCCAGGGACATTGAAAACCATGCTGAGGTGGAGATATTGCTTTAATCAGAGGGCCAGGGCGTTAGTGTTGGAGCAGGTGAACCGCATAACTGGGAAGGCAATGGTGGGCTGTGGCAGGAAACAGTGATTGGCAGTGGGACAGACCACAGGGAGAGCAGCCAGTGGATGCCATGGGCTGGATGCAAGGAGATGCCTGTGAACAGACTCAAGGGTCGGCAGGAGCGGCGCTGAAAGTCAAGCAGTGGTACGTGTGCACCTGCGTGACGGTGAGGAACGGTGCAGGTGACCCGAGGTGAGCCCGGAGGGGTGGTCCCTGAGTGCCTCTTTGCCTTTAGGTCCTTTGTTAGTCCGTTTTTACTTTGCTATAAAGCAACACCTGGGGCTGGGTAATTTCTCAAGAAAAGAGGTTGTATTTTGGCTCTCGGTTCTGCTGGCTGTCTGAGAAGCATAGCGGCATCTGCTTCTGTTGAGGGCCTTAAGAAGGCTCACAAACATGGAGGAAGGCGAAGACGGAGCCAGTCACATGGCGCACGCGAGAGAGAGACACAGAGAGAGAGAGAGAGAGAGAGAGAGAAAGAGAGAGAGAGAGAGAGAGAGAGAGAAAGAGAGACAGAGAAAGTGCTTTTCTTTTCTTTTCTTTTCTTTTTTTTTTTGAGATGGAGTCTCGCTCTGTCGCCCAGGCTGGAGTGCAGTGGTGCAATCTCGGGTCACTGCAACCCCCACCCCCCAACAGGCTCAAGTGATTCTCCTGCCTCAGCCTCCGGAGTTGCTGAGATTACAGGCGCGGGCCACCACACCCTGCTAATTTTTGTATTTTTATTAGAGACGAGGGTTTCTCTATGTTGGCCAGGCTGGTCTCGAACTCCTGACTTCAAGTGATCCACCTGCCTCGGCCTCCTAAAGTGCTGGGATTACAGGCATGAGCCACCATGCCCGGCTTATTTGGAGACAGGCTCTCCCCCTGTCACCCATGCTGGAGTGCAGTGGTGCGATCATAGCTCACTGCAGCCTCAACCTCCCAGGCTCATACAATCCTCCCGCCTCAGCCTCCTGAGTAGCTGGGATTACAGGTGTATGCCACCATGCCTAGCTAATTTTTTTAACTTTTGGTAGAGATTGGGGCAGGGAGGTCTCACTAGGTTGCCCAGGCTTGTCGCAAACTCCTAGGTTCAATCAATCCTCCCGTCTTGGCCTCCCAAAGTGCTGGGGTTACAGGCATGTGCCACTTTGCCTGGCCTAAACTCTTTTGAACAACCAGATCTCCCATGAACTAACTAAGTCAGAGCTCATTCATTTCCAAGGGGATGGTGCTGAGCCATTCATGAGGGATCTGACCCGATGACTCAGTGCCACTAGGCCCCACTACCGACATCGGGGATAACATTTCAACATGAGATTTGGAAGGGACACGCATCCAAACCATATCAAGCCCCCACCAGACCCCTCTTTCTGTGACTTAGTGTATCTGCCTCCAACTATCTCTTTGCATCTCTATGCATTTGGATTTCTTGGTTTCTGCAAAGTGACAGGGCCAGCCTTCTGTCTTGCTTCAAGTCCAGCCATCACTCTTGTATGGTTGGAGGAAGAGAGAGAAGAAACTTAAGAGGGATGAGCTGCAAAGAGAGAATTATGACAGGGAAGCTGATGTAGCAATAGCTCATGTTTTCTCTCTCCCACTCTTTCTCTTTTAGAATTTTTTATATGCCAGAATTTGTTCCAAGCATTTTACGTGTATTAACCCAGTTTATCCCAAGAGTGGTCCCACGGGGAGGGCACATAAGTGATAGATAAGAACGCAGACTTGAGTCGGGCACTGTGGCTCACACCTGTAATCCCAGAACTTTTGGGAGGCCGAGGTGGTAGGATGATTTGAAGTCAGGAGTTCGAGACCAGCCTGGGCAACATAGCAAGACCCCTGTCTCTATTTTAAAAATGTTAAAAATTAGCTGAGCATGGCAATGCACACCTGCAACTACTTAGGAGGCTGAGGCAAGAAGATTGCTTGAGCCCAGAAGTTTGAGGCTGCAGTGAACCATGATCGCACCACTGCACTCCAGCCTGGGTAACAGAGCAAGACCCTGTCTCAAAAAAAAAAAAAAAAAGAACACAGGTTTGACCAGATGCCACCCTGTTTTCTAATCCCAGCCTCATACCCATTGGTTTCATGATCTTGGGCAAGTTGCTAGGATGTCTGCCTTGGTTGCCCTCATTGGTGGACTGGGAATGATGAAAGGTACTTTGCACATGGTAGGTGGTCATTGGGTTTATTTTTCTTTTTGAATACAGAGTTGTTTTGCTCTTATTGCCCTGGCTGGAGTGCAATGGTGCAATCTCGGCTCACTGTAACTTCTGCCTCCCAGGTTCAAGTGATTCTTCTGCCTCAGCCTCCCAAGTAGCTGGGGTTACAGGTGTGTGCCACCACACCTGGCTAATTTTCCTATTTTTAGTAGAGACGGGAATTCACCATGTTGGCCAGGCTGGTCTCAAACTCCTGACCTCAGGTGATCCACCGGCCTCAGCCTCCCAAAGTGCTGAGATTACAGATGTGAGTCACCACGCCCAGCTACTCAGTTTTGTTGTTGTTGTTGTGTTTTTTTTGTTTGTTTGTTTTTTGTTTTTTGTTTTTACAGCTGAGGGAGCAGAGGTTCAGAGAGAAGAAGTTACTTTCCCAAGCTCACGCAGGTAGTAAATGGCTCACCAAGAGTGGACCTGGGCAGCCTATGGGTCTGGGTGCTCTGTCCTGCCTCTCCGTTTCACAGATAGGATGAGAGAGTGGGAAGGTGCTGAGATTTCAGTTCCAGATGGGATGTGGGGTCTGTAGCCCTGTTAAGTCCCCGCTCCCATGGCCACAGATGCCTATGGGAGGCAGGAGGCAGGTCTGAAAGTGAAGATGTATGAATTCAGCTCAGTTTTGGGAACTGAGGATTGTTCATTACTGGGTATGTACTCCAAGGAAAAATAAACTATTCTACCCCCAACACACCTGCACCTGTACGTTTATTGCAGCACTATTCACAGTAACAAAGACATGGAATCAACCTAGGTGCCCATCAATGGTGGATTGGGTAAAGAAAATGTGGTACATGTACACCATGGAATACTATGCAGCCATAAATAAAACAATGAAATCGTCCTTTGCAGCAACGTGGATGCAACTAGAGGCCATTATCCTAAATGAATTAACACAAAGACAGAGAACCAAATACCGCATGTTCTTGCTTATAAGTGAGTGCTAAACATTGAGTGTACATGGACGCAAATATGGGAACAGCTGACACTGGGGACCCCAAAATCAGAGAAGGAGGGAGGGGGTCAAGGGTCGGAAAAATACCTATTGGGGCCGGGTGTGGTGGCTCATGCCTGTAATCTCAGCATTTTGGGACGCCAAGGCAGGCAGATCACTTGAGGTCAGGCATTCCAGACCAGCCTGGCTAACATGGCAAAACTCCGTCTCTACTAAAAATATAAAAATTAACCAGGCAAGGTGGTGCACGCCTGTAATCCCAGCTACTCGGGAGGCTGAGGCAGGAGAACCACTTGAACCCGGGAGGCAGAGGTTGCAGTGAGCTGAGATTGTGCCACTGCGCTCCAGCCTGGGTGACCGCGAGTCTCGGTCTCAAAAAAAAAAAAAAAAAAAGAAGAAAAGAAAAAAAGAGAAAAACTACCTATTGGGTACTATGCTCACTACCTGTGTGACAGATTTATTCATACTCTAAGCCTCAGCACCACACAATATACCTTTGAAACAAACCTGCACATGTACCCCTTGAGTCTAAAATTAAAAAAAAAAAGGTCAGGTTCGTGGTAATTTTTTATTTGTAACTTTTCTAATTTTTAATTTCCAATTTTGCTTAATTCGAAAAAATACATACCACTTTAGAGCAAATAGGACACAACGTTAACAACTGATAACTCCAGGTGAAGGTTATATGGGGTTCACTGTTATATATACATATATATGTGTAATTTTTTTTTTTTTTTAAGACAGACTCTCTCTGTCACCCAGGCTGGAATGCAGTGGTACGATCTCCGCTCACTGCAACCTCCGCCTCCCAGGTTCAAGCCATTCTCCTGCCTCAGCCTCCTAAGTAAGTGGGATTACAGGCATGCGCCACCATTCCCGGCTAGTTTTTGTATTTTTAATAGAGTCAGGGTTTTACCATGTTGGCCAGGCTGGTCTTGAACTCCTGACCTCAGGTGATCCGCCTGCCTCGGCCTCCCAAAGTGCTGGGATTACAGGCGTGAGCCACCACGCCCAGGTAGGGTTCACTTTTTTAACTTTATTGTTTTAACTTCCCTGTAGATTTGCAAATTTTCAAAATTAAAAAAAAAAAAAAAGGCCGGGCATAGTGGCTCATGCCTGGAATCCCAGCATTTTGGGAGACAGAAGTGGTTGGATCGTTTGAGCCTAGGAATTCAAGACCAGCCTGGACAATACAGCGAAACCCCGTCTCTACGAAAAAATTAAAAATTAGCCGGGCGTGGTGGCCGGCATCTGTGGTCTCAGTTACTTGGGAGGCTGAGGCTGGAGGAATTCTTGAGCCCAGGAGCTCAAGGTTGCAGTGAGCAGTGATCACACCACTGTGCTTTGGCCTTTGCGAAAGAGTGAGACTTTGTTTCAAAAAAAGGAAAAGAAAAGAAACAGAATTTTGATGGCAAATATGGAAATGATCAAGTGTAACGGAATATTTTTGTCACAGGAGAGGCCAGAAGGGGACCGCTGAGAAACGGCATGGTGCCTGCAGGTGCTCAGAGTGTCCAGTAGGGGGAAGCAGAGTCCAGGTTCTGTCTCAGGTTAGGCTTTGAAGCGGGTGGCGGGTGGGACAGACTTTCAAGAATACAATGAATCCTGAGCGGCATGGCTGGAATAACAATAATTATTAAAAAGCGTCCTAGGAATATTAAGAAGGACAGCGATGAAAGAGGCTTTAGAAATAACCTAGTCCTTATTCGGCAGAAGGCAAGACTGAGTCCAAATAGATTTTTCCCAGATTTAACCCAAGGAATTCACGAGAAAGCTTGAAATAGAACCCAGGTCTCTATCTCTTTAGATGTATGGAAAGAAATAAAAGCCCGTTTTCAGAAGGAGAGCTTGCAAAATTTGGTTTTCTTTGGTAGGAAGTGAGTCTCTCTCTCTCTCTCTCTCTCTCTCTCTCTCTCTCTCTCTCTCCCCCCCCCCCCTCTGTGTGTATGTGTATATGTGTGTGTGTGTCTGTCTGTCTGTCTGCCTTGCCTCTTGGACACCAGCAAATGGTGTCAGTGGAGTTCAAGGAATGGTCCTCTTTCCACTGCAAATCTCTCTCTTGTTGTCTTGAACCCCAAAAGCATCCGATTTTATGTTCTGGAGGAGAGAGAGAGAGTCTGGGAGGTTAGAAACAGGAGCTATGGGAAACAGGAGGAAAGATCTGGGAACCATGAAAATTGTAATAAAATTGCTTTATTATTTTTAGTTACTACAAATATATATTATAATATTTACTAAGGAAAAAATCAGAACTCATAACAATAAGAACTTAAAAAATACCCACAATCTTATATACCAAAAGGTAAATGCTCTATATTTAAATACAGGTGTTTTTCATGAAGATGGTATGCAATAATTCTTATGAGAGCATTTTGTGATATGTAAAGTGCATGCAGTCCAGTGTCCAAGGGGTCATGGTTGTAAACAGCGGGTCGAGGGCGCTGTCCATGGTACTGAACCCGGGCAGATGAGGGGAGGAACATCTCTGAGCTTGTTTGGAAGTGCTAGCAGGGAAGTCCAGATAGATACTTGTATGCCTTTGACTGAAGCGTGGTCCTCCTCTATCAGAGAAGGTCGTCCTCTCGTCCTCTTCAACTGAGCATGCAGCTTTAGGAGGGACACATATGGGGCAGTGAGGGAGGACGGGGACACCCGCCTGCTCAGCCAGATCAACCAAATCAATCCTGGCGATCAATGGGGTGAAAGATGTTGCAGTCAGAGTACCCTCAAATCTGGAGCGTCTTTGAAAAATGAGCAGGAAAGCCTAGCCTGATATCATGACAAGCCCATTGGAGCGTCCACGGGTTTCTATTTGAGAATCTCCCAGCACTGCTGTCTCTCCTCTTTCTCCTTGGTAAGTACAGGGCTTGTTTCCTGTACTTACAATGGGAACATTGAGTTCCCATGGAAGGCTCTCAATGGGAAAATGCTCCACCAAGCTTAGCCGGACTGGGATCTCCTCACTCCCAGACTTCTCAGCTCCATGCCTTAAAATGATGTCGTCATTACCTGAGGCCTCTGAATTCGGATCTGAAAAGAGAGATAAAACCAAGTGAGGGCTCAGCCCATGAGGAATTTGGGATTCTGGAAGCATAAGGAGGATTGGGATAGGAAGTGTTCTGTTTAATTATTTTTATTTTTTATTATTTTTTTGAGACAGGGTCTTACTCTGCCATCCAGGCTGGAGTGCAGTGGCACAATCACGGCTCACCATGGCCTGTAACTTCTGGCCTCAAGCAATCCTCCCACCTCAGCCTCCCAAGTAGCTAGGACTACATGTGCACACAACCACACCTGAATAATTTTTAAATTTTTTGTAGAGATGAGGTTTCACTATGTTGCCCAGGGTGATCTCAAACTCCTGGGCTCAAGCAATCCATCCACTTCGACCTCCCCAAGTGCCGGGATTACAGGTGTGAGCCACTGTACCTGGCTATGATTATTATTTCTTTTATAGCAACAGAGTCTCACTTTGTTGCCCAGGCTGGTCCTAAACTCCTGACTTCAGACAATCTTCCTGCCTTGGCCTCACGAAGTTCTGGGATTGCAGGCATGAGCCACCGCACCTGGCCTAAGTGGTTGGTTTAGAACTTGTCCCATTACCTGGATTCTAGCACAAACCAATTGTGCCTTCCCCTCCCCGCCAGGTAGGTTTACAGTTATCCTTGCTGGAGATTTCATCCTTGCCCAAAGGGCTATGTCAAGGGAGCATAGCACCTGAAGACGTTCACACTTGTTATTTCTCCTACCCTCAAATATCCATCTAGTTTAAATCATATTAAAGCAGTGATCAAGGAGTGGTCACTTTTTGCCCAAGTGACCAATCTCGGCCTTAATCATGAGGGGAAAACCTGATGTTATATACTTGTTGAAGTGAGGCGATAGCATTATCTATGATATAACAAAAATGTTTAATCTGATTCCAGTTAAGCCTCTAGAACCAACCTCCAGTATTTCCAATCCTAGAATACCTCTAATACCTCTGATACTAAGGATGGGTGGGCAAGTTAGATGACACCATGAAACAAACCAGGAGTGTGAGACATTTTTCAAGACAACCATCCTAGACTCTTAAAAAAAGCAATATGTTAAAAAATGTAGGAGCCCATTCTAGATTAAAAGACCAAAGAGACATAACGGAAGTCAGTGAGTGAAATCTGTTATATCTACATCTGAGAAAAAAAAATAGTAATAAAAGATGTCCTTGGGCTAATTGGAAACATTGGGTACCAGACGATATTGTGAAGTTATGATCAATGTATTGGATATAATCGTGGTATTGGGAAGTGTGTGCTGAAATGGTTAGAGATCAAGTGTCATAATGTTGGCAGCTGACTTCCAAATTATTCAGCAAAAATTAGTGAATAGATCAATACAAAGAAAGAAACATATGGCATGTTAAGCCTTGTTGAGCTAGATGGAATATGTAAGTATTTACTGCACTGCTATTTTGACTTTTATGTGTGTTTACAAGTTAAAATAACTAAGTAAGTTGGCCATCAAGGATGTACTTAGAGTAGGGAAGGAAACCTCCGAACCTGAAGCCTCAGGGGTCAAAGGAAAGTGATTCCACCTTGCTACTTAGCTTTTATTCTTCCCCTGAGTTAGGCTTGTTTCCTGGCAGTATGGACCTGGGAGGATCACCTGGACCAATAAACTGTAAACATGGTTCTGTTTTTCTGAAGGTCCTACCATGTAGGAAAGGAGAAGAAGAAAGTCGCAGGGTTGGGGGAGGCCAGCATCCCATCCAGGCCCTTCTTACCTTTGTTTCAGGGTCTATGTGTCTCAAGGAGGGCTGGAAATTACTATAGATGGACTCCAGGTGGATGGAATCATCATCTTGTGGAGGGATGGAAAGCACCATGGAAACAGGAGGTTAGAAGGACAAACTTTCATCTCTCCCTTTAATCCCATCTGATGGAGGATGAGACAGTTTTTCTCTACCCCTAGGAAACTGCAAACCCTTGAAAATGTGACAAACTGTCAACATTACCTGACTCAGCAGCTCCCTAATACAGGCATATTAAGGCTATGAATTTTCTGAGTATAGCTGTAGCTGCATCCCACAAGTCTTGACACTAATTTCTCACTTTCACTATAATCTCTTATCTGATCCATACATTATTTAGACACTTGAAAAAAATTTCCAAAGATACGGGATTTTTGTTTTTGTTTTCCAAAACTATTTTTGTTATTGATTTCTAACATACTTGCATTATGGTCAGATAATATCGTCTGATTTAAATAATTTTTGTAAGTTTTTTGAGGCTTTTTTAATGGCCTGTGTATGGCCATCCTTAAAAGTTTTCTTGTGGACTCAGGTAATAAATGTGTACCCTCTATTTGTTGAATGTGGTGTTCTGTATTGTATTAAGGCTAATTATTTTGTACAAAAGTTCTGTAATCCTCACTGACTTTTGTCAATTACTAAGAGAGGCGTTTTAAAAATCTCTTACCATGTTGGTGAATTTGTTAATTTTTTTCTTGCAGCTTTGTCAGTTTTTGCTTTATCTATTTCGAGATTGTACTAACAGAGCATACAAATTAAACTTGTGTCTAACAGAGTAAGCCATTTCCTAATATTGATCATTTTTATACCTAGTAATTCTTTTTGCTTTAAAGTTTATGTGCCTGCAATGAGTACAGCTATACACAAAACAACAGACACTTTGTTTAGTATTACCCTGTTTTGTCTTTTCTACACTTTTGTTTCTAACCTTTGTGTTTCTATTTAACATGTACCTCCCACCGACAGTGGATACCTAGATTTTTTTTTAAAAAAATCCTTTTTAAACTAGAGTTTAATCTACTTATGTGTATTATGATTTGTGATATATTTGCATTACGTCCTATCATTTTATTTTCTATTTTCTATGTGTCCTATCTCCTCTTCCTCTTCCCCTTCCTCCTCCTCCTCCTCCTCCTTCTACGGAATCTTGCTCTGTTGCCCAGGCTGGAGTGTAGTGGTGCGATTTCAGCTCACTGCAGCCTCCACTTCCCAGGTTCCAGCGATTCTCCTGCCTCAGCCTCCCAGGTGGTTGGGATTACAGGCACATGCCACCATGTCCAGCTAATTTTTGTGTTTTTAGTAGAGACGGGGTTTCACCGTGTTGGCCAGGTTGGTCTCCTGACCTCAGGTGACCCACTAGCCTCAGCCTCCCAAAGTGCTAGGATTACAGGCATGAGCCACATTTTTTTTGTTTGTTTTGTTTTAGAGACAGGGTCTTGCTCTGTTGCCCAGGTTGGAGTGCAGTGGTGCAATCATAGCTCACGCAGCCTTGACCTCCTGGGCTCAAGTGATCCTCCTGACTCAGCCTCCTGAATAGCTAGGATTACAGGCATGCACCACTGTGCCTGGCTAATTTTTTTAATTTTTTGAACTCGTTATGTTGCCCAGGCTGGTCTTGAACTCCTGGCCTCAAGAGATCCTCCAGCCTCGGCCTCCCAAAGCATTGGGACTGTAAGCATGAGCCACTGCGTCTCACCTCCTTTTTCTTTTTCTCCCTTTCCTGCCTCTTTGTGGGTTGACTGGACTTTTCCTCATTCTAATCTTCCCCTTTTTAGAATTTAAAGACTATTTTGAGAAATTTCTCATTCCACATATTTCCTTCTTTAGAATTTAAAGACTCTATTTTTAGAAATTTTAACATGTGCCTTTAACCTAGCAAAATCTAATGTTAGTCTCTTTACTGAGGTACAACTCCCCTGCTAATGAGCTCACCCACTCCCGAGCACTAATCTGTGCACTAGAGAAATCTACCACCCTCAAGGAACCTGTGTCTCCCCAGTGGTTCAGTTCACTATGCCCCATCCAGGGTCTCACAGGAGTCAGTAATGGAAATAAGGTTTTAGCTGTGGAGCCAAACATTTTGGAGTGGGAAATATTTTCCCCCTTCACTCTATAAGCCTCAGGGTCTTCCCAGGTGCCTCCTATGTACTCTTTTTTTTTTTTTTTTTTTTTTTTTTTTTTTTTTTGACAGGGTCTTGTTCTGTTGCCCAGGCTGGAGTGCAGTGGTACAATCACAGCTCACTGCAGCCTCCATCTCCCAGGCTCAAGCAATTCTCCTGCCTCAGCCTCATGAGTAGTTGGGACTTCAGGTGCATGCCACCATGCCCAGATAATTTAAAATTTTTTTTCTTTTTTTTTTTTTTGAGACGGAGTTTCGTGCTTGTTGCCCAGGCTGGAGTGCAATGGCACAATCTCGGCTAACTGCAACCTCTGCCTCCCGGGTTCAAGTGATTCTCCTGCCTCAGCCTCCCGAGTAGCTGGGATTACAGGCACCTGCCACCATGCCCAGCTAATTTTTTTGTATTTTCAGTAGAGACAGGGTTTCACTATGTGGTCCAGGCTGGTCTCAAACTCCTGACCTCAAGTGGTCCACCTGCCTCAGCCTCCCTTTTTTATTTTTATTTTTTATTTTTTTTTAAGAGATAGAGTTTTGCTGTGTTGTTGCCCAGGCTGATCTTGAGCTCCTGGCCTCAAGTAATACTCCTGCCTTGGCCTTTCAAAGTGCTGGGATTACAGATGTGAGCCCACCGCACCCAGCCTGTTTCCACATTTTGAGCCATTCTGAGTTCAGAGAGGAAGGCCAATACCTTGGCAGATGTCAAAGCCAATGTTTTGGAAGGTCCCAGGAGCTGGTCCACTGTCCTCTTCTTGCCACTTGTATAACTGAGACAATCTGTACTTTTGCCTAGTGATGGAAACATCAGAGAGACCCCATTAGGATTGGGGAACAGGAATAAGGACCAGGGACAAGCTGTATCCCCATTTTTAGCTGCCCCCGCTGCCCACCTAGACTATGAAGTGATTAGAGACAGAGGGTTCAGAGGAAGAGGAGGAGCTGGAGGGAGTTGGAAGAGGAGGTGGTAGGGGCTCGCTCACCGTTTCACCTCTCTCTTGGAGCGGAAAACGAGCATCAGGAGAGCTACCAGGATGATCAGCATCAGCACGACCCCTGCCCCCACGAGGCCGTACACCAGACTCTTCTGGGTGCCCTGGTTACAGGTCTCCCCACTGTACCAGTGAGTTTCCGTGGTCACGCAGCTGAGATGGGAGAGAAGCGGCAGGTTGGGGAGAGAGAACGGAGTCAGCACCAGCTTCAGACCTGGGCCCTGCCCAGTGGGTGTTTAATGAAGAGGAGGCAAGAAGAGATTGCCAGGGGGCATAAAGCAAGGCACCCCGAGGGGATGAACAGAGATGAAGACCAGCATCCCTGGAGGTGGTCCTCAAATGAGCCCAATTCCCACTCCAAGCTTTTAGATTTTGCCTCCAGTTGCAACCCAGGACCTAGGACGGTTGGCCCAACCCTGGGTCTTCCCTGGGCTGCACCCCCAGGGACTCCAGGACCCCACAGTGATCTTGCATCCACCCATTAACCTCCTCACTTCCAGCCTTCCTCTCTGTCAAGAAAGCCAGGCTGCAGCCCTGATCCAGAGCTCCCACTACACCCCTGAAGCTCTTCTTCCCTGCTGCCTTGAGATGCCCTCTCTAAGCCCTGTTCCTTTCTTCCCCTTTCCAGCTTGTGACCCCCTCTTCCAGGAAGCCTTCCCAAATTAACTACTCAGGTCTTTGCCCACATGTGGCTTCTTCCCGCACCTGATGCTCCAGCTGTTCTCTCTCTTTGGTTCTGTTTAAAGTGACAATGTTTTTCTTCGCTTTCTTACCTCTGTGACTGGGCTAGAGGGCTTCTCCCCACTCCCCATATGGGTGTGTAACCTTCTGTTTCTATTTCACCAGCAGAGGATCTTGTTCTCTCTCTGGAGAGAGAGCAAGGCTCTGTCTCTGTTCCCTCAGTCGGACAACCTTCCCAGGAGGTTGTCACCTTCCTCAGCCCTCCTTAGCACAGAGAGGACATGGTTAGGCTGTTCTGGACACAGCCTTGGAGCTCAACTACTCATGTTTTTCCCTTATCCCCAACCCAATTCCTCTGCAGCTGGACACATTCAGGAGACGCTGGGACCTAGTCCCATGACCTTGGTCTCCAGGCAATGCCTGGGGTGAAGCCCTGCAGGGGAGGGGAGGACCAGGACGTCTGGGCTGGGCTGGAGGAGATGGGGGAGCACTCACAGGCACTGAGGTCCACTTAGAGACATCTGGCACTTGCCGAGGTTACAGTTCTTGGAGACACTGAAGCCAGGCTCACAGGGGCTGATGCAGTATGGCTTCTGGTCCCGGTACTCCACTACGAAGTAGTCTCCATATTCCTTGGCCATCTTCCGGCAGTCCTCTGGTGGGGGGTGCAGGGACAGGGAACAGCCGTGATCAGAGGGCTGGGGGGACACTGTCCCACTCCTCCTGGGCTCCCCACCTCTCCAGCCTTCCCCCAAACCCCTTGTGTTATCACCTACCTTCAGGGTCGTACTGGGTCACCGTAATGTTTTGCACTTGGGTGCCAGTGGTGTTGAAACACATCATGTCTGTGAAAGAGACACATAAAACCCCTCACGACACATACACGCTTGTTCTGCGTCCTCAGGGAGCTGAGACGTGTGTGTGTGAGAAGGGGGTGGGCTGCGATGGGGAGGTGGGAATCCGGCCCCGGCAGAGGGGCAGCATCAGCCTCGCGTCCAGTGACCCTCCAAGTGTCCTGAGCCTTTTTGTCCTATGCCTCCCTTTTCTCTCTTATTTTCTTTCTTACTCTTTTTTTTTTTTTTTTTTTTTTTTTGAGATGGAGTATTGCTCTGTCACCCAGGCTAGAGTACAGTGGTGCAATCTCGGCTCACTGCAACCTCTGCTTCCCGGTTTCAAGCGATTCTCCTGCCTCAGCCTCCCAAGTAGCTAGAACTACAGGCATCTGCCACCATGCCTGGCTAATTTTGTATTTTCAGTAGAGATGGGGTTTCACCACGTTGACCAGGCTGGTTTCGAACTCCTGGCCTCAAGTGATCTGCCCGTCTCAGCCTCCCAAAGTGCTGGGATTACAGGCGTGAGCCACCATGCCTGCCCAATGCCTCCTTCTTCCCTCTTCTGCCATGATCCACACACTTAGATGAACCCCTGTGTAACGAGGCCCATGGGTCCTCATTTCCAGCAGACTCCCCTGTCCTATAGCCGTTAGTCCTGGCACCCTGCAAGATCTGGTCTGCTTGTATGTCTGGCCTTGCAGGTTCCGGGACGAATTCCTGGATCTCCATGTTCTCCTACTCTCTCCATTTGCCTTTGTCCCTTCCCTTACCCCAGGGAAAAAAATGGGCCAGAGGATGATGAAGGTTAAAGACTCTCTCGGCCCAATCCTGGGGCTTCTTTGCGCTGCAACCCCAGGGACTCTAGGACCCCACAGTGATTCTTGCACCCACCCATTAACCATCCTCACTCCCGCCCTCCTGTCTATTAAGAAAGTCATGCCCCAGCTCTGATGCCTTCTCCCTTCCCTCCCTGGAAGCCCAGAGTTCACCTGAGCAAATATCATTAATCATTATTTGCTGTGTGGTCACTTTTGTGATTTTCTCTTTCACTACTTCGGTGGCATTGTCCAATACTGTCTTGTATTCTGGTGTGTACTTGGTTCTTAGGAGGACGTCATGCTCCACCACCACACTGCCAAGACTGAAGAGGGAAGGGAAGACGTCCTGGGGTCAGAATAGGGTGCTTACCTCTAGAATCTGTACCAGGCAAGCTTCACCCTCTCTGATCCCAAGGGAAGGCAGAGCTGGGGGCAGGACAGTTGGGGTGATGACTCTGTCCTAGGCATTTGGGGCAGGACAGTTTGGGGTGATGGCTCTGTCCTACACACTGCGCTGGGCCCCCTGCTATAGGAGTTCTCCCAGCAGCCTGTGCCTAAGAGAACTTTCCACAAAGGGAGTCTCTGGTAGGTCTTAGGGAAGCCTCAGCGATGAAGATGGATGGAGGAATGGGAACCACAGAAGAGGCCATCCTTGAGGTTTTTGGGTTTTTTGTTTTAGAGACAGAGTCTCACTGCTGCCCAGGCTGGAGAGCAATGGTGCGATCCTGGCTTACTCTAGCCTCTGACTCCTGGGCTCACGTGATCCTCCTGCCTCGGATTCCTGAGTAGCTAGGTCTACAGGTGTATACCACCATACCCTGCTAATTTTTGTATTTTTTGTAGAGACAAGGTCTTGCTATGTTGCTCAGGCTGGTCTTGTGCTCCCGGCCTCAAATAATCCTTCCACCTCGGCCTCCCAAAGTGCTGGGATTACAGGTGTGAGCTACTGCACCTGGTGCCTCCTACATTTATATATTGAAGCCCTAACCTCCAGAACCTCAGAATGTGACTATATTTGGAGATAGGGTCTTTAAAGAGGTGAGTAAATTAAAATGAGGTCATTAGTGTAGGCCCTCATCCAGTCTGACTGGTGTCCTTATAAGAAGGGGAAATTTGGATATGCAGAGACAGCAGGGAGATGTGCACAGAGGAAAGACCATGCAAAGACACAGCAAGAAGGCAGCCACCCACAAGCCAAGGAGAGAGGCCTCCAGAGAAACCACACCCACCCACACCTTCATCTTAGACCTCCAGCCCCTAGAACTGGGAGAAATAGATTTCTGTTGTTTAAGCCGCCCCATCGGTGGTATTCTGCAATAGCTGCCTGGGCACAGTAATGCAGGGGGCACAGTTCTAATTGCCTTTATAACTATGACCACTGCTTCCACGCCACAGACCCTCTTCCCAAGGGCCCAGACACTTACCGTAGCTTTGTGATGTTCACCCCGACATACTCAGGGATCCCGGAATACACAATATTCATCTGAAAGGCAAGGGGCCACTGTGTCATCCCAGAGGGACCACGGGGCCGTTCTGTGGGACATCAGGAGGTCACAGGACCAGGGGATGATCCTGTCCCGCAGCATCATAGCACACTCATCAAATGGAGTGGTTTCTTTCCAGAGACCTGCTCCACCCCAGGGGCCTCCTGCAGCCCCCAGGTAAAACCTGGCCTCATCTCTTCCCTCCTGCACTGGCAAGCCCTGAGGACGTGGGGGCCTGAGAGAACTCCCGCACATCTAACAAGGGAACAGCCCCCAGCTACCTTCTTACCCTACAGACTCTGCTCTGGGGGGAACTGAGTAGCTATGGGGCCTTGCTCTCCCAGACTTACCTGTTCCGTGAATGTCTGTTTGAACTCCTGGAATTCCTGGGAAGAGTGGTTTTTTAGCTCTTCGGTGAACTTCACACTGGTCACTGTCACAGTCAGTTCCATTTGGGCAGAGATAGTCTCCGGTGGCCCTGAGGCGGGTAGACTTACTGAGCAAAGCATCTCTGAGTTTCCTACTCAGAAGATCTGCCCCCAGCCTGGGTGGAGGGAGTGAGCTCCATTGTATTTTATGGTAAAATTTTGTGCCAAATTTGTATCCAAAATACACCTTCTTGTTTTATTTCCTTTTCTTTCCTTTTTATTCATTTTCTTTTCTTTCTTTATCTCTTTCCCTCTTTCTTTCTTTCTTTTTTCCTTCCTTCCTTCCTTCTTTCTTTTTTTTGACAGGGTATTGTTCTGTTGCTCAGGCTGGAGTGCAGTGGTGAGATCATAGCTCAGTGCAGTCTTGACCTCCTGGGCTCAAGCAATCCTCCCACATCAGCCTCCCAAGCAGCTAAGACTACAAGTATGCACCACCACACCCAGTCAAGTTTTTTTTTTTTTTAAATAAATAAATTAGATCTCAGTATGTTGCCCAGGCTGGTCTCGAGCTCCTGGCCTCAAGTGATCCTGCCTCAGGCTCCCAAAGTACTGGAATTACAGGCGAGAGCCACCGTGCCTGGCCTATTTTATTCATTTTGTAATGCTTTAGCATTCATAGCACTGGGTGGAAACAAAACAAAACAAAACAAAACAAAAAACACCACAGCCCAGAAGAGGCCCTATTCCTGGCCTCACATCAAGGTGGGGCAGGAACTGTTGCTTGTATGGAGGTCGGGTCCCAGGGCATGGGGTGGGGGAAGGCCTGGGGTTGCACTCACCTATGTCAATGCTGCTGACCACCTCCTCACACAACTCCCCATAATAGAGGTTGGGACACTGGCACTTGAGCCCATCCCAGGTGCCTCCATTCTTGCAGCGAGAGGCCGTATTCTGGCACCCATCTCCAAAGCCTGTGGAACAATCACAGAAGTTTTCTTTCCAAGTTCCTCCATTGAGGCACCTCACTGGAAGGAGCAGGGATCTACTGTGGTTACATGTTGAGCACAGCACTTTACAGCTTACAATGCGTTTGCACGGACACTGTCTAATTTGTTTGTTTTTTGAGTCCGAGTTTTACCCTTGTCACCCAGGCTGGAGTGCAATGGCGCGATCTTGGCTCACTGCAACCTCCACCTCCCAGGTTCAAGTGATTCTCCTGCCTCAGCCTCCTGAGTAGCTGAGATTACAGGCGCGTGCCACCACACCCAGCTAAGTTTTTGTATTTTTAGTAGAGACGGGGTTTCACCAGTTTGGCCAGGCTGGTCTCAAACTCCTGACCTCAGGTGATCTGCCCACCTCAGCCTCCCAAAGTGCTGGGATTACAAGTGTGAGCCACTGCGCCCGGCTCCGACACTGCCTAATATGATACTCTCATGAGACCCCAGGGGTGCACAGGACAGTTACTATTATCCTCACTTCACAGATACGCAAAGTGAGTCAGAGAGAGGCTAAGCCACGTCCCGATGGGTCCGAGTGCAGGCTACACTCCACCCAGTCCTAGTCCAGCATGCTTGACTTTACCCCAAAAACGTGAAGAAAGAGAAACCTGGTATTGTGAGAGGTGAGCGACACAGTCAGGGCTGAGGAAGGGAGAACCCGGGTGAACTTGAACAGTCTAGATTCCACCCAGGTTGAGAATTAGATGGTCGTTGTTCCTCAACACCCGCTTTGGAAAAGCCCATACTGGCAATCGTTACTGTTATGACTCATTCTGATTCTTTTTTAATTTACTGGGATGTGGAGTTTGAGGGAGGAGTTTAGATCTTATTTTATTTATTTATTTATTTATTTATTTATTTTAATTTTTTTTTTTTGAGACGGAGTCTTGCTCTGTCGCCCGGGCTGGAGTGCAGTGGCGTGATCTCGGCTCACTGCAAGCTCTGCCTCCCAGGTTCACGCCATTCTCCTACCTCAGCCTCCCAAGTAGCTGGGACTACAGGCATGCCTGCCACCACGCCCAGCTAATTTTTTGTATTTTTAATAGAGACGATGTTTCACCGTGTTAGCCAGGATGGTCTTGATCTCCTGACCTTGTGATCCACCCACCTCAGCCTCCCAAAGTGCTGGGATTACAGGTGTGAGCCACTGTGCCGGGCATTTTATTATTATTATTTTTTGAGACAGAGTCTCACCATCTCGTTCAGGTTGGAGCGCAGTGGTGCAATCATAGCTCACTACAGCCTTGACCTCCTGGGCTTAAGCAATCCTCCCACCCTAGCCTCCCAAGTAACTGGGACTGCAGGCATGAATCACCATGCCTGGCTAATTTTTAAAATTTTTCTGTAGAGATGGGGTATTGCTCTGTTGCTCAGGCTGGTCTCAAACTCCTGGCCTTAACAAATTCTCCAGTCTCAGCCTCACAAAATCCTGGGATTACAGGTATGAGCCATCATGCCCAGCCTAACAACTCCTTTTTAAATTGCAATTCAACAAATAAACTCCTCTTAGTTTAAATAGGTAGGAAGTAGTGATAGCCAACTCTAGAATATCTGTGCCAATCAACCTGGAAAATCTAAAGCTCTGTTTTCTTTGGCTTTTCTTGAAACTCGCTGTGCCTGGGCAGATCAGTATTCAAGGTGTATTTTGTCTGGGGAAGTGCACGAGGTATGTATAGACTCTGCAAAGACCTGCCTCACCTCTGCCTTCCGGTTTACCCTAAACAGACTCAGAGAGCAGGATCCACACTTGTGAAAATCACAGCATGCAGCCTCTATTTATGGGCTTTTGCTCCAAGACATTTGGAAAGAATAGAAGAGAGAAGTCAAGAGTCCTGGGCACACTGGAAACCCATACATCCTAAATCAGTCTCCTCCCTCTATCTCTCTCCCGCTTTCACTACTGAAGACGTCCAGACCTGAGCTAAGTGCCAAAACACAGGCTAGTCAGAAACAACAGAAGCAGATGCTGGGGCGCGTTCACCCATTGCTCAACAGTCTAAGGGAAGGCCAATCTCTGGGGAAGAAGAGGAAGACAGAAGGAGGACAATCTGCTTCAAAGATGTGACCGACACCAGATGGTGGGTCCAGTGGCATTGCAGCCACCTGGCCTTTGTCGTGAGACACCTACGAGGCTTCCTGGAAATACAAGGTCCAGGTCTCCCACCTGAAAATTCTCAGACCACTCATCTGAGAATCAGAGAGCTCAAGAAGACAAAGATATATTGGAGACAATCCAGAGAAAAAAGCCATATGATAGAAAATCCAGCCAGGCATGGTGGCTAACACCTGTAATCCTAACACTTTGGGAAGCTGAGGCGGGTGGATCACCTGAGGACAGGAGTTCAAGAACAGCCTGGCCAACATGGTGAAACCCTGTCTCTACTAAAAATACAAAAATTAGCTGGATGTGGTGGTGTGCTCTGTAATCCCAGCTACTTGGGAGGTTGAGGTGAGAGAATCACTTGAACCCGGGAGGTGGAGGTTGCAGTGAGCCATGATCGTGCCATTGCACTCCAGCTTGGGCAACAAGAGTGAAACTCCATCAAAAAAAAAAAGAAAAAGAAAAGAAAAGAAAAGAAAAAAGTTCAGGCAAAGTAGAATTCAGCAAAGGAAAAAAATCACAAAGTCCAGAGAAAATGTAGTAGTCAAAAGCTGAAGAACCACCCTTCATCATCATCAATTCAAGATGGGATTGGGCAGTTCTGTGGGCAGACACAGATCATATACCTGTGAGCCTATTCATCTAAATAAATCAGTGTTTTCAAGTATTTTAATTAGCATACTTTTAAAAATGTATGCAAAATATTCTTAATCTGGGAGTCATACTCACAGGTCTATTAGTATATTACATGATTCATATAATAAAATATACAGGATATTATAATAGCAGGTATTGAATGGTGCAACGCTCACCCTAACAAGAGAGAAGAAGGCTGAGTGAAAGTTCTTGAGTCAGAGAAAGGAAGGGGATACATAAGGACAGCAAAACACTCATAGGCATTGGAGGTAGAATTCAGAGCTGACAGAAGTGAAGGAATCTTCTTTTGCTTCTATAGTGGGTGCTCAGAGGATAAGATGAATCAAAATAAAAGTGAATGGTGGCAGAGATACTTGACAAAGGTACACATGAATGAATAGGCAAAAACCTTCTGCAAAAAAAAAGTTCGTACTTTAGTATGAACAAAATCAATGAGAAAATCCACTAGAAAGTTTACAAAGTAAACTAAAAAGTTTAAAAGAAAACAAACCACTCAGAGTTAATAACATCATGGCATACAAAGTGCAATGGAATAGAGACCTGCAGAATACAAAAGAGAGAAAACAGGACTTCTGGACAGAATACTGGAGACTGAGGTGCCCAGGCAAAGAGAGGTAATGCTTTGTTCAAAAAAGGGGAACTTGTGCAAGAAACAGTGAGAGCAGAGAAGTGAGAGAGTGCTGAGACAGAAAACCTTGATGCAGGTTTTATCAAAGGGAAAACAAGTAAGTCAGAGCAAAAGGAGTTTAGGAGTAAATGTTTAAGAAGAAAACCACAAAAAGTAGTGAGTGGAGATTGAAAAGAAAGGTCAGTTTCAAAAAGGAAAATTCTTTTGAAAAGTGTCTGTTCTTATCCTTTGCCCACTTTTTGATGGGGTTGTTTGATTTTTTTCTCGTAAATGTGTTTAAGTTCTTTGTAGATTCTGGATATTAGCTCTTTGTCAGATGGGTAGATTGCAAAAATTTCCTCCCATTCTGTAGGTTGCCTGTTCACTCCATGGAATACTATGCAGCCATTAAAAAAGGACGAGTTCACATCCTTTGTAGGGACATGGATGAAGCTGGAAACCATCATTCTGAGCAAACTATCACAAGGACAGAAAACCAAACACCAAATGTTCTCACTCATAGGTGGGAACTGAACAATGAGAACACTTGGACACAGGGCAGGGAACATCACACACCGGGGCCTGCCATGGGGTAGGGGGATGGGGGAGGGATAGCATTACGAGAAATACCTAATGTAAATGATGAGTTAATGGGTGCAGCAAACCAACATGGCACACGTATACATAGGTAACAAACCTGCACGTTGTGCACATGTACCCTAGAACTTACAGTATAATTTTAAAAAAAAGGAAAATTCAAGAAATCACTTACATGTTGTGGTTCTTGGCACAGTAGGAGTTGAGGTGGGGTTGCTCTTAATTGTAGTATTCGTGGGGACAGCGGTGGTGGTCACCGTGGGGAAGGAAGTGGTCCGTGTGCTGGGTTTTGTCCTGGTGGTCATGGTGGTGACAGCCTCAGGGTTCACAGTCGTGGAGGAGGCAGAGGTTGTTGGAGGTGTACTGGAGTGAGCAGGAGGAAATGTAGGTGGGATGGTGTGAGAAGTAATTGTTGACGGCCTGCTGGATTCTGATGAAGGGGTCACAGGACGGGTGGTGACAGAAGTAGAGGTGTGAGGTGTACTGGTTGCAGAAAGCGTTGATGCAGAAGTAGTGCAGCCTCTGCTGGTTGTTCTGGGTGTGCTGGGGGCAGTAGACATGGTCACATATGTGAGGGGAGCTGCAGTAGTCATTGCGGGTGTTGTAAATTCCTTAGTAGTTGAAAAAGATGTGGTGGTACTACTACTGGAGGTTGATGGTGTGTTTAGTTCAGTGGAAGTTATCACAGGGGTAGATACAGCACCAGTTGTTGCAGGAAAGACATCAGCAGTAGAACTGGTGACAGGAGTGCTGGGAATAAAAATGGTTGTCCCAGGTGTGCTTCCTTCTGTGATCACTGATACAGATATGGTGGTGGCTACAGGAATTGTGGGAGTTGAGGCAGTGTCAGTAGAAGGGGTAAAAGTTGTGCTTGTGTCAAGAGGAGGTGTCGAAGCTATGCTGGCCCCAGGAAAGCTAGTTGGAAGTGTGGTGCTGACAAGGAGAGTTGTTAATGGAGTGCTTCTTTCACTGGTAATTGAAATACGTATGGTAGTGACTTCAGCAGGTATGGAGAATGAACCGGCTTTGGTAGAGGTGAGCAAAGGTGTGCTGGTATCACCAGGAGGTGTTGAAAGTGTGCTGGCCTCAGAAGGACTCATCACAGATATAGGGCTGATGAGGACAGTTGTCAATAAAGTGCTTCTTTCACTCGTAGTTGACATAGGCATGGTGGTGGTGCCTTCAAGAGTTGTAGGAGATGAACTGCCTTCAGAGGCAGTGGTCATAGACATGCTGGTGTAAACAGATGGTATGGAAGGGGTGCTACTCTCAGGAAACCTCGTAACAGGTGTGGTACTGACAAGAATAGTGGTCCCAAGGGTGCTTATTTCCATGGGCATTGACACAGACATGGTGGTGCTGTCAAGAGTTGCAGAAGATGAAATGGCTTCAGTAGAAGTGGTCACAGGTGTGCTGGTGACAACAGAAGGTGTTGAAAGGGTGCTACCCTCAGAGCTGGTCACACGTGTGGTGCTGACAGGCATAGTTGTTAATGGAGTGCTTCCTTCACTAGGCGTCCAGATTGGCATGGTGGTACCTTCAGGAGTCACAGGAGATGAACTGACTTGGGTAGAAGTGATCACAGGTGTGCTGGTGTCAACAGGAAGTGTTGAAGCTGTGCCAGCCTCAGAAATGGTCACCGATGTGGTGCTGACAGGCATAATGGTTAATGGAGTGCTTACTTCACTAGGAGTTGACATTGGCAGGGTGATAACTTCAGGAGGTGTAGGAGTAGAATTGCTCTGAGTAGAAGTGGTCACAGGTGTGCTTCTGTCAACAGAAGGAGTGGAAGGTGTGCTAGCCTCAGAACTGGTCACATATGTGCTGCTGAGGAGCATAGTTGTTAATGAAGAGCTTCCTTCACTTGGAGTAGACATACGCATAGTGGTGACCTGAAGAGTTGCTGGAGATGAACTGGCTTGACTAGAACTGGTAACAAAAGTGTTGGAGTCAACAGGAGTTGTTGAAAGGGTGCTAGCCTCAGAACTGGCCACCGGTGTGGTGCTGACAGGCATATTTGTTAATGGAGTGCTTCCTTCACCAGCAGTTGATGTTGGCATGCTGGTAACTTCAGCAGTTGTAGGAGATGAATTGGTTGGAGAAGAAGTGGTCACAGGTGTGCTGGTGTCAACAGGAGTTGTTGAAAGGGTGCTAGCCTCAGAACTGGCCACCGGCGTGGTACTGAGAGGCATAATTGATAATGGAGTGCTTCCTTCACTAGTAGTTGAGGTTGGCAAGCTGGTACCTTCAGCGATTGTAGGAGATGAACTGGCTTCAGTAGAAGTGGTCACCAGAGTGTTGGAGTCCACAGGAGTTGTTGAAAGGGTGTTAACCTCAGAACTGACCACCGGCGTGGTGCTGACAGGCATACTTGCTAATGGAGTGGTTCCTTCACTAGGACTTGAGGTTGGTATGCTGGTACCTTCAGCAGTTGTAGGAGATAAACTGGCTTCAGTAGAAGTGGTGACAGGTGTGCTGGTGTCAACAGGAGTTGTGGAAAGGGTGCTAGCCTCAGAACTGACCACTGGCGTGGTGCTGAAAGACATATTTGTTAGTGGAGTGCTTCCTTCACTATAAGTTGAGGTTGGCATGCTAGTACCGTCAGCAATTGGAGGAGATGAACTGGCTTGAGAATAAGTGGTCACAGGTGTGCTGGTGTCAGCAGGAGTTGTTGAAAGGGTGCTCGTTTCAGAACTGGCCACCGTTGTGGTGCTGACAGGCATACTTGTTAATGGAGTGCTTCCTTCACTAGGAGTTGAGGTTGGCATGCTGGTACCTTCAGCAGTGGGAGGAGATGAACTGGCTTCAGTAGAAGTGGTCAAAGGAGTGTTGGAGTCAACAGGAGTTGTTGAAAGGATGCTAGCCTCAGAACTGGCCACCGGCGTGTTGCTGACAGGTACACTAGTTAATGGAGTCATTCCTTCACTAGGAGTTGAGGTTGGAATGCTGGTACCTTCAGCAGTTGTAGATGAAGTGGCTTCAGTAGAAGTGGTCACAGGTGTGCTGGTGTCAACAGGAGTTGCTGAAAGGGTGCTATCCTCAGAACTGACTACCAGCATGGTGCTGACAGGCATATATGTTAATGGAGTACTTCCTTCACTAGGAGTTGAGGTTGGCATGCTGGTACCTTCAGAAGTTGTAGGAGATGAATGGGCTTCAGTAGAAGTGGTCACAGGTGTGCTGGTGTCAACAGGAGTTGTTGAAAGGGTGCTGATTGCAGAACTGGTCACCGGTGTGGTGCTGACAGGCACACCTGTTAATGGAGTGCTTCCTTCACTATAAGTTGAGATTGGCATGCTGGTACCTTCAGCAGGTGTAGGAGATGAACTGACTTCAGTAGAAGTGACCACAGGACTGTTGGAGTCAACAGGAGTTGTTGAAAGGGTGCTAGCCTCAGGAATGGCCACTGGCGTGGTGCTGACAGGTATACTTGTTAATGGAGTACTTCCTTCACTAGGAGTTGAGATTGGTATGCCGGTACCTTCAGCAGTTGTAGGAGAGGAACTGGCTTCAGTAGAAGTGGTCACAGGTGTGCTGGTGTCAGCAGGAGTTCTTGAAAGGGTGCTAGCCTCAGAACTGGCCACCGGCATGGTGCTGACAGACATACTTGTTAATGGAGTTCTTCTTTCGCCAGGAGTTGAGATTGGCATGCTGGTACCTTCAGCAGTTGTAGGAGAAGAACTAGCTTCAGCAGAAGTGGTGACAGGTGTCCTGGTGTCAACAGGAGTTGTTGAAAGGGTGCTAGCCTCAGAACCGGCCACTGGCACGGTGCTGACAAGTATACTTGTTAATGGAGTACTTACTTCACTAGGAGTTGAGATTGGCATGCTGGTACCTTCAGCAGTTGTAGGAGAAGAACTGCCTTCAGTAGAAGTGGTGACAGGTATGCTGGTATCAACAGGAGTTGTTGAAAGGGTGCTAGCCTCAGAACTGGCCACCGGCGTGGTGCTGACAGGTATACTTGTTAATAGAGTACTTCCTTCACTAGCAGTTGAGATTGGCACGACGATACCTTCAGCAGTTGTAGGAGATGAACTGGCTTTAGTAGAAGTGGTCACAGGTGTGCTGGTGTCAACAGGAGTTGTTGAAAGGGTGCCAGCCTCAGAACTGGCCACTGGCGTGTGGTTGACAGGCATACTAGTTAATGGAGTACTTGTTTCACTAGGAGTTGAGGTTGGCATGCTGGTAACTTCAGCAGTTGTAGGAGAGGAACTGGCTTCAGTAGAAGTGGTGACAGGTATGCTGGTGTCAACAGCAGTTGTTGAAACGGTGCTAGCCTCAGAACTGGCCACTGGCAGGGTGCTGACAAGTATACTTGTTAATGGAGTACTTCCATCACTAGGAGTTGAGATTCGCATGCTGGTACCTTCAGCAGTTGTAGGAGAAGAACTGGCTTCAGCAGAAGTGGTGACAGGTGTGCTGGTGTCAACAGGAGTTGTTGAAAGGGTGCTAGCCTCAGAATTGGCCAACAGCGTGGTGCTGACAAGTATATTTGTTAATGGAGTGCTTCTTTCACCAGGAGTTGAGGTTGGCATGCTGCTACCTTCAGCAGTTGTAGGAGATGAACTGGTTCCAGTGGAAGTGGTCACAAGTGTCCTGGTGTCAACAGGAGTTGTTGAAAGGGTGCTAGCCTCAGAACTGGCCACTGGCATGGTGCTGACAAGTATACTTGTTAATGAAGTACTTACTTCACTAGGAGTTGAGATTGGCATGCTGGTATCTTTTGCAGTTGTAGGAGATGAACTGGTTTCAGTAGAAGTGGTGACAGGTATGCTGGTGTCAACAGGAGTTGTTGAAAGAGTGCTAGCCTCAGAACTGGCCAACGGCTTGGTGCTGACAGGCATACTTCTTAATGGAGTGCTTCCTTCACTATAAGTTGAGGTAGGCATGCTGGTACCTTCAGCGGATGTAGCAGATGAACTGATTTCAGTAGAAGTGACCACAGGACTGTTGGAGTCAACAGGAGTTGTTGAAAGGGTGCTAGCCTCAGGACTGGCCACTGGCGTGGTGCTGACAGGTATACTTGTTAATAGAGTACTTCCTTCACTAGCAGTTGAGATTGGCACGACGATATCTTCAGCAGTTGTAGGAGATGAACTGGCTTCAGTAGAAGTGGTCATAGGTGTGCTGGTGTCAACAGGAGTTGTGGAAAGGGTGCCAGCCTCAGAACTGACCACCGGCGTGGTGCTGACAGGCATACTTGCTAACGGAGTGGTTCCTTCACTAGGAGGTGAGGTTGGTATGCTGGTACCTTCAGCAGTTGTAGGAGATGAACTGGCTTCAGTAGAAGTGGTGACAGGTGTGCTGGTGTCAACAGGAGTTGTGGAATGGGTGCTAGCCTCAGAACTGACCACCGGCATGGTGCTGACAGGCACACTTGTTAGTGGAGTGCTTCCTTCACTATAAGTTGAGGTTGGCATGCTAGTATCGTCAGCAGTTGTAGGAGATGAACCGGCTTGAGAATAAGTAGTCACAGGTGTGCTGGTGTCAGCAGGAGTTGTAGAAAGTGTGCTTGTTTCAAAACTGGCCACCATTGTGGTGCTGACAGGCATACGTGTTAATGGAGTGTTTCCTTCACTAGAAGTTGAGGTTGGCATGCTGGTACCTTCAGCAGTGGGAGGAGGTGAACTGGCTTCAGTAGAAGTAGTGAAAGGAGTGTTGGAGTCAACAGGAGTTGTTGAAAGGGTGCTAACCTCAGAATTGGCCACCAGCGTGTGGCTGACAGGTATACTTGTTAATGGAGTCGTTCCTTCACTAAGAGTTGAAGTTGGTATGCTGGTACCTTCAGCAGTTGTAGGAGATGAAGTGGCTTCAGTAGAAGTGGTCACAGGTGTGCTGGTGTCAACAGGAGTTGCTGAAAGGGTGCTAGCCTCAGAAGTAACTACCGGCATGGTGCTGACAGGCATACTTGTGAATGGAGTGCTTCCTTCACTAGGAGTTGAGGTTGGCATGCTGGTACCTTCAGAAGTTGTAGGAGATGAACGGGCTTCAGTAGAATTGGTCACAGGTGTGCTGGTGTCAACAGGAGTTGTTGAAAGGGTGCTGATTGCAGAACTGGCCACCACTGTGGTGCTGACAGGCATACTTGTTAAAGGAGTTCTTCTGTCACTATAAGTTGAGGTTTGCATGCTGGTACCTTCAGTAGGTATAGGAGATGAACTGACTTCAGTAGAAGTGATCACAGGACTGTTGGAGTCAACAGGAGTTGTTGAAAGGGTGCTAGCCTCAGGACTGGCCACCGGCGTGGTGCTGAGAGGTATACTTGTTAGTAGAGGACTTCCTTCACTAGGAGCTGAGATTGTCATGCTGCTACCTTCAGCGGTTGCAGATGAACTGGCTTCAGTAGAATTGGTCACCTGAGTTTTGGAGTCAACAGGAGTTGTTGAAAGGGTGTTACCCTCAGAACTGACCACAAGCGTAGTGCTGACAGGCATACCTGCTAATGGAGTGGTCCGTTCACTAGGAGTTGAGGTTTGTATGCTGGTACCTCCTGCAGTTGTAGGAGATGAACTGCCTTCAGTAGAAGTGGTGGCAGGAGTGCTGGTGTCAACAGGAGTTGTGGAAAGAGTGCTAGCCTCAGAACTGACCACCAGCGTGGTGCTGAGAGGCATACTTGTTAGTGGAGTGCTTCCTTCACTATAAGCTGGGGTTGGCATGCTGGTACCATCAGCAGTTGTAGGAGATGAACTGGCTTGAGAATAAGTGGTCACAGGTGTCCTGGTGTCAGCAAGAGTTGTTGAAAGGGTGTTGATTTCAGAACTGGCCACTGTTGTGGTGCTGACAGGTATACTTGTTAATGGAGGCCTTCCTTCCCTAGGAGTTGAGGTTGGCATGCTGCTACCGTCAGCAGTTGTAGGAGATGAACTGACTTGAGCATAAGTGGTCACAGGTGTGCTGGTGACAGCGGGAGTTGTTGAAAGGGTGTTGGTTTCAGAACTGGCCACTGTTGTGGTGCTGACAGGTATACTTGTTAATGCAGTGCTTCCTTCACTAGGCGTTGAGGTTGCTATGCTGGTACCTTCAGCAGGTGTAGGAGATGAACTGACTGCTGTAGAAGTGACCACAGGACTGTTAGAGTCAACAGGAGTTGTTGAAAGGGTGCTAGCCTCAGAATTGGCCACCAGCGTGTGGCTGACAGGTGTGCTTGTTAATGGAGTCATTCCTTCACTAAGAGTCGAGGTTGGTATGCTGGTACCTTCAGCAGTTGTAGGAGACGAAGTGGCTTCAGTAGAAGTGGTCACAGGGGTGCTGGTGTCAATAGGAGTTGCTGAAAGGGTGCTAGCCTCAGAACTGAGTACCGGCGTGGTGCTGACAGGTATACTTGTTAATGGAGTGGTTCCTTCACTAGGAGTTGAGTTTGGCATGCTGGTACCTTCAGAAGTTGTAGGAGATGAACGGGCTTCAGTAGAAGTGGTCACAGGTGTGCTGTTGTCAACGGGAGTTGTTGAAAGGGTGCTGATTGCAGAGCTGGCCACCGGTGTTGTTCTGACAGTTATACTTGTTAAAGGAGTTCTTCCTTCAGTATAAGTTGAGGTTGGCATGCTGGTACCTTCAGCAGGTGTAGGAGATGAACTGACTTCAGTAGAAGTGATCACAGGACTGTTGGAGTCAACAGGAGTTGTTGAAAGGGTGCTAGCCTCAGGACTGGCCACCGGCGTGGTGCTGACAGGTATACTTGTTAATAGAGGACTTCCTTCACTAGGAGTTGAGATTGTCATGCTGCTACCTTCAGCGGTTGTAGATGAACTGGCTTCAGTAGAAGCGGTCACCTGAGTTTTGGAGTCAATAGGGGTTGTTGAAAGGGTGTTAGCCTCAGAACTGACCACCAGCATGGTGCTGACAGGCAAACTTGTTAGTGGAGTGCTTCCTTCACTATAAGTTGAGGTTTGCATGCTGGTACCGTCAGCAGTTGTAGGAGATGAACTGGCTTGAGAATAAGTGGTCACAGGTGTGCTGGTGACAGCAGGAGTTGTTGAAAGGCTGTTGATTTCAGAACTGGCCACTGTTGTGGTGCTGACAGGTATACTTGTTAATGCAGTGCTTCCTTCACTAGGCGTTGAGATTGCTATGCTGGTACCTTCAGCAGGTGTAGGAGATGAACTGACTGCTGTAGAAGTGACCACAGGACTGTTAGAGTCAACAGGAGTTGTTGAAAGGGTGCTAGCCTCAGAATTGGCCACCGGCGTGTTGCTGACAGGTATACTTTTTAATGGAGTCTTTCCTTCACTAGGAGTTGAGGTTGGTATGCTGATACCTTCAGCAGTTGTAGGAGATGAAGTGGCTTCAGCAGAAGTGGTCCCAGGGGTGCTGGTGTCAACAGGAGTTGCTGAAAGGGTGCTAGCCTCAGAACTGACTACCGGCGTGGTGCTGACAGGTATACTTGTTAACGGAGTGGTTCCTTCACTAGGATTTGAGTTTGGCATGCTGGTACCTTCAGAAGTTGTAGGAGATGAACAGGCTTCAGTAGAAGTGGTCACAGGTGTGCTGTTGTCAACAGGAGTTGTTGAAAGGATGCTGATTGCAGAACTGGCCACCAGTGTGGTGTTGACAGGTATACTTGTTAAAGGAGTTCTTCCTTCACTATAAGTTGAGGTTGGCATGCTGGTACCTTCAGCAGGTGTAGGAGATGAACTGACTTCATTAGAAGTGACCACAGGACCTTTAGTGTCAACAGGAGTTGTTAAAAGGGTGCTAGCCTCAGGACTGGTCACCAGCGTGGTGCTGACAGGTATACTTGTTAATAGAGTACTTCCTTCACTAGTAGTTGAGGTTGGCAAGCTGGTACCTTCAGCGGTTGTAGGAGAGGAACTGGTTTCAGCAGAAGTGGTCACAGGTGTGCTGGTGTCAACGGGAGATGTTGAAAGGGTGCTAGCCTCAGAACTGGCCACTGGCGTGTGTCTGACAGGCATACTTGTTAATGGAGTGCTTCTTTCTCCAGGAGTTGAGGTTGGCATGCTGGTAACTTCAGCAGTTGGAGGAGGTGAACTGGCTTCAGTAGAAGTGGCCACCTGAGTTTTGGAGTCCACAGGAGTTGTTGAAAGGGTGTTAGCCTCAGAACTGACCACCAGCGTGGTGCTGACAGGCATACTTGCTAACGGAGTGGTTCCTTCACTGGGAGGTGAGGTTGGTATGCTGGTACCTTCAGCAGTTGTAGGAGATGAACTGGCTTCAGTAGAAGTGGTGACAGGTATGCTGGTGTCGACAGGAGTTGTGGAAAGGGTGCTAGCCTCAGAACTGACCACCAGCCTGGTGCTGACAGGCACACTTGTTAGTGGAGTGCTTCCTTCACTATAAGTTGAGGTTGGCATGCTGGTACCGTCAGCAGTTGTAGAAGATGAACTGGCTTGAGAATAAGTGGTCACAGGTGTGCTGGTGTCAGCAGGAGTTGTTGAAAGTGTGCTCGTTTCAGAACTGGCCACCATTGTGGTGCTGACAGGCATACGTGTTAATGGAGTGCTTCCTTCACTAGGAGTTGAGGTTGGCATGCTGGTACCTTCAGCAGTGGGAGGAGGTGAACTGGCTTCAGTAGAAGTGGTCAAAGGAGTGTTGGAGTCAACAGGAGTTGTTGAAAGGGTGCTAGCCTCAGAATTGGCCACCAGCGTGTGGCTGACAGGTGTGCTTGTTAATGGAGTCGTTCCTTCACTAGGAGTCGAGGTTGGTATGCTGGTACCTTCAGCAGTTGTAGGAGATGAAGTGGCTTCAGTAGAAGTGGTCACAGGTGTGCTGGTGTCAACAGGAGTTGCTGAAAGTGTTCTAGCCTCAGAACTGACTACCGGCGTGGTGCTGTCAGGCATACTTGTTAATGGAGTGCTTCCTTCCCCAGGAGTTGAGGTTGGCATGCTGGTACCTTCAGAAGTTGTAGGAGACGAACGGGCTTCAGTAGAATTGGTCACAGGTGTGCTGGTGTCAACAGGAGTTGTTGAAAGGGTGCTGATTGCAGAAGTGGCCACCAGTGTGGTGCTGACAGGCATACTTGTTAAAGGAGTTCTTCCTTCACTATAAGTTGAGGTTGGCATGCTGGTACCTTCAGCAGGTGTAGGAGATGAACTGACTTCAGTAGAAGTGGTCACAGGACTGTTGGAGTCAACAGGAGTTGTTGAAAGGGTGCTAGCCTCAGGACTGGTCACCGGTGTGATGCTGACAGGTATACTTGTTAATAAAGGACTTCCTTCACTAGGAGTTGAGATTGGCATGCTGGTACCTTCAGTGGTTGTAGGAGAGCAACTGGCTTCAGTAGAAGTGGTGATATGTGTGCTTGTGTCAAGAGGAGTTGTTGAAAGGGTGCTAGCCTCAGAACTGGTCAACAGCGTTTTGCTGACAGGCATACTTGTTAATGGAGTGCTTCCTTCACTAGGAGTTGAGGTTGGCATACTGGCACCATCAGCAGTTGTAGGAGAGGAACTGGCTTCAGTTGAAGTGGTCACAGGTGTGCTGGTGTCAACAGGAGTTGTTGAAAGGGTGCTAGCCTCAGAACTGGCCACCAGTGTGGTGTTGACAGGCATACTTGTTAATGGAGTGCTTCCTTCAGTATAAGTTGAGGTTGGCATGCTGGTACCTTCCGCAGTTGTAGAAGATGAAGTGGCTTCAGTTGAAGTGGTCACAGGAGTGTTGGAGTCAACAGGAGTTGTTGAAAGGGTGCTAGCCTCAGAACTGGCCACCAGTGTGGTGCTGACAGACATACTTGTTATTGTAGTGCCTCTTTCACTGTAAGTTGAGGTTGGCATGCTGGTACCTTCAGCAGTTGTAGAAGATGAACTAGCTTCACTAGAAGTGGTCACAAAAGTGTTGGAGTCAGCAGGAGTTGTTGAAGTGGTGCTAGCCTCAGAACTGACCACCAGCCTGGTGCTGACAGGCATGTTTGTTAATGGAGTGCTTCCTTCACTAGGAGTTGAGGTTGGTATGCTGGTACCTTCAGGAGTTGTAGAAGATGAACTGGCTTCACTAGAAGTGGTCACAGGTGTGCTGGTGTCAACAGGAGTTGTTGAAAGGGTGCTAGCCTCAGAACTGGCCACCGGCATGGTGCTGACAGACATACTTGTTAATGGAGTGCTTCCTTCACTAGGAGTTGAGGTTGGCATGCTGTTAACTTCAGCAGTTGGAGGAGATGAACTGGCTTCAGTAGAAGTGGTCACCTGAGTTTTGGAGTCAACAGGAGTTGTTGAAAGGTTGCTAGCCTCAGAACTGGCCACTGGAGTGGTGCTGACAGGCATACTTGTTAATGGAGTGCTTCCTTCACTAGGAGTTGAGGTTGCAATGCTGGTATCTTCAGCAGTTGTGGGAGATGAGCTGGCTTCACTAGCAGTGGTCACAAAAGTTTTGGAGTCAACAGGAATTGTTGAAGTGGTGCTAGCCTCAGAACTGGCCACCAATATGGTGCTGACAGGCATATTTGTTAATGGAGTGCTTCCTTCACTAAGAGTTGAGGTTAGCATGCTGGTAGCTTCAGCAGTTGTAGGAAGTGAACTGGGTTCAGTAGAAGTGGTCACAAGTGTGCTGGTGTCAACAGGAGTTATTGAAAGTGTGCTCATTTCAGAAGTGGCAACCGGCATGGTGCTGGCAGGCGTACTTGTTAATGGAGTGCTTCCTTCAGTATAAGTTGAGGTTGGTATGCTGGTGCCTTCAGCCGTTGTAGGAGATGAACTGGCTTCAGTAGAAGTGATCACAGGAATGTTGGTGGCAGCAGGAGTTGTTGAAAGGGTGCTAGCCTCAGAACTGACCACCAGCATCACGCTGAGAGGCATTCTTGTTAATGGAGTGCTTCCTCCACTAGGAGCTGAGTTTGACAGGCTGGGACCTTCAGCAGTTGTAGGAGATGAACTGGCTTGAGCAGAAATGGTCACAGGTGTGCTGATTTCAACAGGAGTTGTCAAAAGGGTGATAGCCTCTGAACTGGCCACCTTCATGGTGCTGGCAGGCATACTTGTTAATGGAGTGCTTCCTTCACTGTTAGTTGATTTGGGTATGGTGGTGCTTTCAGGAGTAGTAGGAGATGAACTTGCCTGAGTAGAAGTGGTCAGAGGTGTGCTCATATCAACCTTATATGTTAAAGATGTGTAGGCCTCAAAACTGGGAAGAGGTGCAGTGCTGACAAAAGCCATTGTTGATGAAATGCTTTCTTCACTTGGTGTTGACATGGGCACGTCGGTGCCTTCAGGAGTTGTAGGAGATGAAGTGTCTTCAGTAGAACTGGGGAAAAGTGTGGTGCTGTCACTGGTAGATTCTGAAGTTGTTCTGGATTCTGTTGGTGTCATCCTGGTACTGGAGACACCAGGAGTGTCTGAAGTCACACTGGACTCAATCGAGGTCATCTCAGGGTTGGTGCTGCAACTCAAATACATTCTTGGCTCCACGACATTTGTAGATGTTGTACCTGTGGCGGTGTTTGCCGCAGAACCTGTTTAAGATACAATGATATTTTGTTTAGAAGTTTCTTAGGGTTCTGTATGTCAGGAGTGATTGTTGTAGTTGGGCTTTTTACTGAAAATGTGTTCAGATAAGGGATGTCATCCGTTTTCAGGAAGAAGTGGAATTAGTTTCTCCAGTGTGTTAGTCTCTCCTGCCTTCCCTTCTATGCAGTTAGGAATTGAACTCGACCCCTTTCCTCCACAGTCCCTGCCTGGGTGATTCCACATCTGCCTTGTAATTCCTGGCCCCAGATCTCAAGCCGTCACACACTGTAAAATATGGCAGCTTCACCAGCCTGGCAGGGGTCGCTCTAGCCCTTTCGCAGGTGAGCCACCTTCCCAGATAGATCTTGGAGTCTGTTGCCTTACCTGTCCTAACGTGCTGAGACAGCTGCTGGCACTGACGGTTCAAGACGTCCCCTTGGGAGATGCACCCTCCTCCATCCCACACAGCCCTGTTCACACTGAGGTCTGAAAGAGACAAAGGGGAGTTAGTATCCCAGAGCCATGATCTTCCTTCATTCTCTTGAAGACTCTGAGTCTCTACTCCCTGCCCTGGAAAGTCCCTGGCCCCTGAACCAGCCTGCTGATTTTAGTTAGAAATCAGCCATCAGGACCCTGCCCCAGAAAGTAAAGCAAGAAGATGGTACAGGGGATTTGCTCCCCAGCCTGGAGGAGGTCCAGCAATGTCAAATTGTGCAGGTGGCATGTGCCCGTAGTTCCAGCACTTTGGAGGCTGGGGGGAGAGGATCGCTTGAGCCCAGGAGGTCAAGGCTACAGTGAGCTATGATTGCACTACTGCACTCCAGCCTAGGTGACAGAGTGAGACCCTGTCTCTACAAAATTTTATAAAAATTAGCTGGGGATGGTGGCACATGCCTGTAGTCCCAGCTACCCAGGAGGCTGAGGCAGGAGGATCACTTGAGCCCAGGAGATCATGTTCATAATGAGCTATGATGGCACCACTGCACTCTAGCCTGGGTGACAGAGTGAGACCTTGTCTCTAAAATGAATAAATAAATATTTTTTAAAAGATAGAATATGACCTATTAGAATAACATGCCAACTGACTGGGCGTGGTGGCTCATGCCTGTAATCCCAGCACTTTGGGAAGCTGAGGCAGGTGGATCACGAGGTCAGGAGTTCGAGACCAGCCTGGCCAACATGGCAAAACCCTGTCTCTACTAAAAATACAAAAATTAGCTGGGCATGGTGGCATGTGCACCTGTAGTCCCAACTACTTGGGAGCCAGAGGCAGGAGAATTGCTTGAATCTGGGAGTCAGAGGTTGCAGTGAGCCAAGATCACACCACTGTACTCCAGCCTGGGTGACAGGGCAAGACTCAAAAAAAAAAAAAAAAGCCAACATTGTAATTGCTATTTGAAATATATAAGTGAGTGGTTGATTTAGATTTGTGATTTTCCATTAGAACATTGCTAAGATTGTAAACTGTTAAAACATTTAAGAGAACTTAAGGTTCAACACACGTAAACATTTAATTAGACCCGTAGAACAATCTATGTGTGGGAAAGTTTTAAAAATATATACATTTAATTTGTTAGATTTATGGAATTTCTTAAGTACTTGGGAAGTTTAATTTATTAATCAGACAACTGAAGTCCTTCAATAGAAAATACAATGTACAGTCACATATTCTTAGCTAGAAAATTTACTAAAAAAAAACCTAAAAGAGGTCGGGCACGGTGGTTCACGCCTGTAATCTCAGCATTTTGGGAGGCCGAGCCAGGCGTATTACCTGAGGTCAGGAGTTCAAGACCAGCCTGGCCAACATGGTGAAACCCTGTCTCTACTAAAAATACAAAAATTAGCCGGGTGCGGCGGCGTGCACCTATAATCCCAGCTACTCGGGAGGCTGAGGCAGGAGGATTGCTTGAGCCTGGGAGACAGAGGTTGCAGTGAGCTGAGATCGTGCCACTGCACTCCGGCCTGGCCAACAGAGCGAGACTCTGTCTCAAAAAATAATAATAATAATAATAAATTAATTAAAAAACGGAATGCAAAAATTCCCAGCACCCAACAAGGTAAAATTCACAACATCTGGCATGAATCATTACTGAGTATGAACAGTCAAGAAAACATGAACGATGGAGAGAAAAATAATCAACCTATGGAAACCTACCCAGAATGGACACAGACATAAGAATCTTCAGAGAAAGGCATTTAAGTAGTATGTGTGTGTGTATGTATGTATACATGTATGTATGTATGTATTTAGAGACAGAGCCTCGCTCTGTTGCCCAGGCTGGAGTGCAGTGGCGCGATCTCTGCTCACTGCAACCTCTGCCTCCCAGGTTCAAGCAATCCTCCTGCCTCAGCCTCCTGAGTAGCTGGGATTACAGACACCTGCCACCGTGTCCAGCTATTTTTTTTTTTTCTTTTTTGAGATGTAGTTTTGCTCTTGTTGCCCAGGCTGGAGTGCAATGGTGTGATCTTGGCTCACCACAACCTCTGCCTTCTGGGTTCAAGTGATTCTCCTGCCTCAGCCTCCCGAGTAGCTGGGATTACAGGCATGCGCCACCACACCCCAACTAATCTTGTATTTTTAGTAGAGATGGGGTTTCTCCACGTTGGTCAGGCTGGTCTCGAACTCCCGACCTCAGGTGATCTGCTGGCTTCGGCCTCCCAAAATGCTGGGTTTACAGGCATGAACCACCACGTCCGGACTTATTTATTAATTTTTAAGAGACAGTGTCTCTCTGTATCGCCCAGGCTGGAGTGCAGTGGGGCAATCATAGCTTACTGCAACCTCAAATTCCTGGGCTCAAGCAATTCTTCCACTTCAGCCTCCTGAGTAGCTGGCACTACAGGCATGAGACACCACACCTAGCCAGTTTTTTAAAAGTTTTTTTTTTTTGTAGAGACAGGGGTCTCACTATGCTGCCCAGGCTGCTCTTGAACTCTGGGCCTCAAGGGATCCTGCTGCCTCAGCCTCCCAAAGTGCTGGGATTACAGGTATGAGCCACCGCATCCAGTCCAAAATAGCTTCTATAACTGTTCCATATGTGCAATAATCCAATAGAAACATGGAAAAATGTGTATATAAACAAACAGAACTTCTAGAGATAAAAAAAATACACCAGATGGGATTAAGGACAGATTAGACATTGAAGAAGAAAATAAATAATGATGTGAAGGGATGGCAATAGAAACTATCCACACTGAAAGACGTAAAGAAAAAATGATCTGGACGCGGTGGCTTATGCCTGTAATCCCAGCACTTTGAGAGGCCGAGGCGGGCAGATCACAAGGTCAGGAGTTCGAGACCAGCCTGGCAAATATAGTGAAACCCTGTCTCTACTAAAAATACAAAAATTAGCTGGGTGTGATGGCATACACCTGTAGTCCCAGCTACTCGGGAGGCTGAGGCAGAAGAATCACTTGAACTGGGAGGCAGAGGTTGCAGTGAGCCAAGATCGTGCCACTGCACTCCAGCCTGGGTGACGGAGCAAGACTCCATCTCAAAAAAAAAAAAAAAAAGAATTAAAAAAAAATTTAAGGGTGAGGTGCAGTGGCTCACACCTGTAATCCCAGCACTTTGGGAAGCCCAGACAGGCAGATCACTTGAGCCCAGGAGTTCGAGACCAGCCTGGGCAACATGATGAAACCTCCATCTCAACAAAAAATACAAAAATTTGCTGGGCATCATGGCATGCACCTGTAGTACCAGCTACTTGAGAGGCCGAGACAGGAGAACTGCTTGAGCCCTAAAGGCGGAGGTTGCAGTGAGCTCAGATTGCATCACTGCACTCCAGTCTGGACAATGGAATGAAATCCTCTCTCAAAAAAAAAAGAAATTTTTTTTTAAAGATTATCAGTAAGTGTTGGGACAACTTTAAGCAGCCTAATATATAGGAGTCCCTAAAGGCAAGGAGAAAAAGGGGTAACTAAAAAATATGTGAAGAAAGAATGGCCCCAAATTTTCAAACTTGATAAAAACTATAAGCCCACAGCTCCAAAAAATTCAACAACTCCAAACACAAGACACATGAAGAAAACTACCAGGGCTCTCAGATTCTACAGATGTTAAAATGGAGATCTGTAAACAACTTCATGCCAATAAATTTGACAACTTAGATGAAATGAACAAATTCTCTGGAAGACACAAACTAGAAAAGCTCACTCAAGAATAAATAGATTGGCCAGGCATGGTGGTTCATGCTTGTAATCCCAGCCCTTTAGGGGACCAAGGGGCGGTGGATCACTTGAGACCAGGAGTTCGAGACCAGCCTGAGCAATAGCGAGAAACCTCATCTCTACAAGAAATATAAAATATAAAAATTAGGGCTGGGCATGGGCCCTAGGTGCCCCACCCCCAACCTCACTTACTACCTTTCATCCACACTGGATTCATGCAAATTAGTATAATATAATATAATATAATTTCTTTTTATTACTTTTAATAGACATACAGATGGGGTCTTGCTATGTTGCCCAGATAGTCCCAAGCTCTGGGTCCAAAGTGATCCTCCAGCCTCGGCCTCCCAAAATGCTGGAATTACAGACATGAGCCACTGTGTCTGGCATATTATCTTTCAATAATGAAAAAATAAAATAGGCCAGGCATGATGGCTCACACCTGTAATCCCAGCACTTTGGGAAGCCAAGTGGGGAGGGTTGCTTGAGGCCATGAGTTTGAGACCAGCCTCAGAAACATAGCAAGACCTCGTCTGTACTAAAAATAAAAAAAATTAGCTGGGCATGGTGGTGCGTGCCTGTAGTCCCAGGTACTCAAGAGGCTGAGGTAGGTGGATCACTTGAGGCCACAGTTTGAGATCAGCCTAGGCAACATGGTGAGATGCTACCTCTACTAAAAAACAATTAATCGGGCGTGGTGGTGCTTACCTCTAGTCCCAGCTAATTGGGAGGCTGAGGCGGGAAGACCACTTGAGCCCAGGAGTTCAAGGCTGCAGTGAGCTATGATGGCACCACCGCACTCCAGCCTGGGCAACAGAGCGAGGTCATATCTCTTAAAAACCACAAGAAATCTTTGAACGAAGGGCCTTGCATGTCCATTTTGCTCTGGGCCCTAAAATTATGTAACCAGTTTCGTCTAGAACCAGATGAGAGGTCTCAGCCCCATTATCTCAGCACTATGAGCTGCATGAAGTCGCTTAGTCTGTGGGGTGCTAGTGGCTGGGGTTGGCTACCTAAGACAGAGTGTGCCAGGGATGGAGTGACAAGGCCAAGTTACCAAGGCCAACGAGGCTTCATGGATTCCATAGCCAGCCCTCCTTATGGCAAAGCCAGGCCATAGGCCCAGGCCCACAGCAGGACTTCCTGGAAACAGCATACCCCTGTCCCTGCCTGGGCCTGGCCCCTGCAGGTAAATCCAGGCAGATATAGGAGGCCAAGGGCTCCCCGTGAGCACCTTCACTCCACTGTGCCCGGTAGGCCCTGATCCACTGACCCCTAAGAGGTGGGAAGAGGGTGGAGTCAGAGGGAAGTAAAAAAGCTTTGCAGGGGTGAGTATAGGAGACAAGGGGAGAGAAGGGACTGGGACTTGGACAGTGTTATTGGGGTGAGTCCACCACACACAGCAAGCACTCAGTTCCACAACATCTACCGTGTGGGCTCCTCCATAACTGCTTTCTTTTATTTTTATTTTTTCTTTCTTTCTTTTTTGAGACAAGGTCTCACTGTTGCCCAGGCTGGAGTGCAGTCTTGGCTCACTGCAATCTCCGCCTCCTGGGTTCAAGCAATCCTTCAACTTCAGTCTCCCAAGTAGCTGGGACTACAGGCATGCATCACCATGCCCAGCTTTTTTTTTTTTTTTTTGAGAGAGAGATCTCGCTCTGTCACCCAGGCTGGAGCGCAGTGGCATGATCCTGGCTCGCTGCAACCTCCACCTCCCAGGTTCAAGAGATTTACCTGCCTCAGCCTCCTGAGTAGCTGGGATTACAGGGGCACATAACTACACCTGGCTAATTTTTTTGTATTTTTAGTAGAGGCGGGGTTTCACCATGTTGGCCAGGCTGGTCTCGAACTCCTGACCTCATGCAATCCGCCCGCCTTGGCCTCCCAAAGTGCTGGGATTACTGGTGTGAGCCACTGTGCTTGGCCTATATTTTTTGTAGAGACAGATTTTCACCATGTTAGCCAGGCTGGTCTTAAACTCCTGGCCTCAAGTGATCCGCCTGCCTTGGCCTCCCAAAGTGCTGGGATTACAGGTGTAAGCCACCATGCCAAGCCTCTTTTTTTTTTTTTCTTAAGACGGAGTCTCCCTCTGTCACCCAGGCTGGATTGCAGTGGTGCAAACATGGCTTATTGCAGCCTCCACCTCCTGGCCTCAAGTGATCCTCCTACCTCAGCCTCCCAAGTAGCTGGGACCACAGGCGCACACCACAATGCCTAATTTTTACATTTTTTTGTAGAGATGAAAGTCTCCCTGTGTTGCCCAGGCTGGTCTCAAACTTCTGGGCTCAAGCGATCCTCCCACCTCAGCCTCCCAAAGTGCTGGGATTCCAGGCATGAACCACCCATGCCTGGTCCTCTAATTGTTTTTATGTTGGCTCTGTTCTCCCCAAACCCATTAAATTTTTCTTTTTTTTAGAGACGTGGTCTCCGTCTGTTACCCAGGCTGGAGTGCAGTCCTCAAGTGGGGTGCTGGTGGCCGTGGTCAGTCACCTAAGACAGAGTGTGCCAGCCTCCCAAAATGCTGAGATTACAGACATAAACCACTGCTCCTGGTCAACGATTTCTTTTTTTAAAAGAAGGCCTGCTCCCTCCCATCAAGATGGAGGTGGAGGTTGCAGTGAGCTGACATCACGCTACAGCACTCCAGCCTGGGCGACAGGGCAAGGCGCCATCTCAGAAAAAAAAAAAAAAAAAAAAGGAGGAGACAGAGCAGGGAGGAGGTTTGGGAGTGAAATAAAAGATCAGTGCTCAAGTGCTATTCTCCATTAATTTTGACCAATTACAGAGAAATAGATTGTTCATGTTGAAGCCAAAGCGTTCATCTGATCTCAGAAGGTTAGGGCAATGGGTTGGGTTGAGGCCCCGCAGACCAGGCAACTACCTCCCCACTGGAGGGCCATGGGAGGTGGGAGGATGGGGATGGAAGAGAAGGAGGCAGAAGCAGTTGCGGTCACAACCCCCCTTCTCCTCACTTGTTTCCTCCCTTGCCGTTTTGTTCCAGCTATTAGCAATTTCTTCTTTTTCTTTTTTTTTTTTGAGATAGAGTCTCACTTTGTCGCCCAGGCTGGAGTGCAGTGATGCCATCTCGGCTCACGGCAACCTCTGCCTCCCAGATTCAAGTGATTGTCGTGTCTCAGCCTCCTGAGGGGCTGAGATTACAGGCTTGTCACACCATGCCCAGATAATTTTTCTATTTTTAGTAGAGATGGGGTTTTGCCAGGTTGGCCAGGCTGATCTTGAACTCCTGACCTCAAGTGATCCACCGCCTCAGCCTCCCAAAGGGCTGGGATTACAGGCATGAATCACTACTCCTGGTCAGCAATTTCTCTTTTAAAAAAAAAAGAAAGCCTGCTCCCTCCCATCAAAAAGTGGGCAAAGGCCATGAACAGACACTTCTCAAAAGAAGATCAACAAATGACCACCAAGCATATGAAAAAATGCTCAACATCACTAATCATCAGGGAGATGCAAATTGAAACCACAATGAGATATAGAATATATCCCAGTCACAGTGATCGTTATTAAAAAGCCAAAAAAAAAAACTGCAAATAGATGTTGGCATGGATGTGGTAAAAAGGGAATGCTTATACATTGCTGACAGGAAGTAAATCAGTACAACCTCTATAGAAAACAGTATGGAGATTTCTCAGAGAACTCAAAGTAAATCTGCCATTTGATCCTGCAATCCCACTACTGGGTATCTAATGAAAAGAAAACAAGTCACTGTATCAGCCAGGGGCAGTGGCTCATGCCTGTAATCCCCACACTTTGGGAGGCTGAGGTGGACAAATCAGTTGAGGTCAGGAGTTCGAGACCAGCCTGGTCAACATGGCGAAACCCCCGTCTCTACTGAAAATACAAAAATTAGCCAGGCATAATTTAGCCAGCATTACAGGTGGTGGGCGCCTGTAATCCCAGCTACTCAGGAGGCTGAGGCAGGAGAATCACTTGAACCTGGGAGGCAGAGGTTGCAATGAGCTGAGATAGTGTCACTGCACTCCAGCCTGGGACAGAGTGAGACCATGTCTTAAAAAAATATAAAAACCAAAAATATTTCTTTTTAATTTTGAAAGGTCTGCTCCTCATGCCCCACCCCGGCAGGGTCTCCCCTCATTCCTTTCTGTTGTGAGCTGAACTGAACCCTAATCCCCAGTGCCCCAGAAGTTGGCCTTATTTGGAGATAGGGTTTTTGCAGGGGATCGAGTTAAACTGAGGTCACTAGCATGGGTCCTAACCCAACACAGAGACAGACACACCCACAGCGAGATGAAGTAAAGATGGAGGCAAAGCGTCTACCAGCCCAGGAACGCCAGAGATTGCCACCAACCACCCGCAACCAGGAAACAGGCCTGGGACAGACCCTTCCCTGGCGACTTCAGAGGGATCATGGCCCTGTGACACCTCGGTTTTAGATTCTGGCCTCCAGGACAGCAAGGCAATCCATTTCTGTTATTGTAAGGCACGGAGATTGCTGTGCTTTATAATGACAGCCCCAGGGAGCAAAAACTACAGTTTTTTCTGGTCCCCTGTGGTTGCAGGGGTGGGTTTGAGGCAAGGAGAGTTAGTGCAGATTCCTGGAAGGCTCCCTGGAGGAGGTGGGTGTTTTTGATTTTTTTTTTAGAGACAGGGTCTCACTCTGTCATCCAGGCTGGAGTGCAGTAGTGCAATCACAGCTCACTGCAGCCTCGACCTCCCAGGCTCAAGCAGTCCTCCCACCTCAGCCTCCCAGGTAGGTGGGACACAGGCGTGTACCACCATTTCCAGCTAATTTATTGTAGAGATGGGGTCTTGCTATGTTGCCCAGGATGGTCTCAAACTCCTAGGCTCAAGTGATCCTTCCAACTTGGCCTCCCAATATGCCTGGATTATAGGCATGAGCCACTGCACCTGGCCTGGGAGGAGAGCCTTGTTGATGGGAGTAGGGAGCTGGGGTAGACATTTGAAGTTTCCTTAGAATCTCTCAGGAGGGTACTGGGTGCAGTGGCTCACGCCTGTAATCCCAGCACTTTGGGAAGCAGAGGCAGGTGGATCACCTGAGATTCCGAGTTCAAGACCACCCTCGCCAACATGGCGAAACCCCGTCTCTACTAAAAATACACAAATTAGCTGGGTACAGTAGCGTGCATCCGTAATCCCAGCTACTCGGGAGGCTGAGGCAGGAGAATTGCTTGAACCTGGGAGGTGGAGGTTGCAGTGAGCTGAGATGGCGCCACCGCACTCCAGCCTGGGAGATAGACTGAGACTCCTCCTCAAAAAAAAAAAAAAAAAAAAATCTCTCGGGAGGAGGACAAGAGTGGGATGGTGATGGAAGTGCTAGATGGGGACAGAGCCCTAGACAGGGATGGGGGGAGGGCAAAGGGATACCTGCCATGGACAGGTGACTGAGCACCCAAGCCTTGGTGGCCCTCATGCTGGGTGTAGGGATGAGAGGGCATCTGTGATGGCAGGGCCGGGCTGGGCAAACAGACAGGACATTGTGTTTTGTTGACAAGCAATATAACCAGGTGATCTGCAGGATGAGAGGGTGTGTCTGCTGGGAAGGACCAGGCTGAGGCCACTGCAGCTCTCTCTCTAGACCCACGCCCTGCCCTGGTATCCCCAGCCCCATGACTTCAGCAGGGGTGAGGCTCTGGGTCCCTGGAGAAGGGACATGGAAAGGGTCAGAGGCTGCCCAAAGCTGGCCAGGGTCCCAAAGGACAGCCAATGCCAGGCACAGAGACGGAGGAGCCACAGAATCCTGGAGAGTAGGAACAGGGTCTGAGAAGTCACATTCTACAAAGGCAGACTGAGGCTAGGGATGAAATCAATGATAACACGCAGAAAGTGGGGAGAGGCCAGGAAGGGGCCAAGGAGAGGTGGGGAGAAGAAGAAAGAGAAGAGAGGGGGAAGGAAGGGGCTAGAAGAACCCAGGAAGAGGGAAGGGAGGAGCAGAGAGAAAGAAAGGAGGGGGCCAGGAGCGGTGGCTCACCCCTGTAATCCCAGCACTTTGGGAGCCCAAGGTGGGAGGACTACCTGAGATCAGGAGTTTGAGACCAGCCCGGTTAACATGGTGAAACCCTGTCCTTACTAAAAATATACAAAATCTAGCTGGGCATGGTGGCATGTGGCTGTAATCCCAGCTACTCAAGAGCCTGAGGCGGGAGAATCGCTTGAACCCGGGAGGCAGAGGTTGCAGTGGGCTGACATCACGCTACAGAACTCCAGCCTGGGTGACAGAGCGAGGCTCCGTCTCAAAAAAAAAAAAAAAAAAAAAAGGAGGAGACAGAGGTGAGGGTTGGGGAGGAAAACAAAAGATCATGTCTAAGATGCTGTTATTAGAGATACATCACCAAGGGTCTGGAAGGCACAGAAAGTGCAAGGAAAGGAGTGTTTTCATTACAACGAATGGGCTGGCAGATCTGGGTGAGATTGCCACAGGGTGACATCTCGAGGGGCAGGGACCCTGAGGTCTATGGGTCCAGTTTCTGTCTTGGTTCCCCTGCGCCCTTCTCTGGGGGCAGGTGAGGGGCAGAGGGAGCTCCCAGAGAGTCCAGCTGGAACCCACTGTCATCCCTCCTGCTCTGAGCCCCCCGGGGTCCCTGTGGCCATGAAGCCCAAAGCGGCTGAGCTGGAATGATCCTCAGAGGTCCTAATGCCTTGTCTTTTGGGGAGACTGAGGCAGGAGATGAACTGAGCGGCCCCAGGGTGCACAGCTGGTTCATGGCAGGATTAGAATCTGGGGCTCCTGAAACGCCATTTTGTGCCCATGTGGCTATGTCCCGGAAACATTCCTGGGGCACACAGCAGGGTGTGCTGGTGTGGGAGGTGACAGGGACTTGGCGGGAACATTCACTGGGTAAGGATAGACTCTAATATGGGTTGAACACCAGTCTTGTGCCAGGGATCATGCCTCGGGGGGGGAGCTCTTTTCAATCCTAGCAGCTGCCCTGAAAAGCAGGTGTTATTATTCTTACTTTCCGGAGGGGAGACTGAGGCTCGGAAGGGGAAACTAAGGCTCAGAGACCTCAACTGGAAGAGGCTCCAATGCCCTGGCTCTTCCCCCAAAGCTCGCTGGGGAGAGAAGAGAAGTCCAGGGGGTAGGCACAGGGCTGAGCTCCAGGCAGAGGGCACACCCCTATTGGTGTCCTGGAGGCAGCTCTCCCTCGGGGATGGGCAGACAGAGCAGGCTGGCCCCTGGGATGGGGGCCTCTTGGGCAGCGGGGCGTGGGGGTCACTCACCCTGTTCTGCAGCAGCTTGTGGGGGCAAGAGCGAGAGGACCAAGGTCAGCAGACACAGCGCCATGGTCCCTGGCCTTGGCATCGGAGCTCTGAGCACGTCTCACTTGCCTGTCACCCCCAGAGGAGCTGGCGAAATGAGCCTCAGAGAAGGAAACTGATAAATAAATGGGTGCCAGAGACCTTTGGTCCCTGAGACACTGGGGATCAGGGGCCAGCCTGAGCCTGAGTCAGTCTGGAAGCTTCCCTCATGACTTGGGGCGCAGGGCCTGTTTCAGGCCAAAGGGCAGAGGGAGGGGGTGCCTCTCCCTGGCCCGGCAGCCCATAGGCATGAGGGTTATCAGCTTTATCACCCCAACAGAGGGGCAGCCCAGAGGGCCTGTAGGAGCCAGGGGGGAACTGATGAGATCCCCCGACCGAGGGTGGTGGGAGATGGGCAAGAGGGACTGGGCCTGAGCTGGGAAAGGAGGAGGGTACCACCTGCATTTGACCCTAACCCCTAGCAGGGACACCCCCTTTGTCTCTTTTCTAACCCTTCTTATTGGCCGGGTATGGTGGCTCACACCTGTAATCCCAGCACTTTGGGAGGCTGACGCGGGAAGATCACTTGAGATGAGGAGTTTGAGACCAACCTGGCCAACATGATGAAACACCATCTCTACTAAAAATACAAAAATCAGCCAGACTTGGTGGCGGGCGCCTGTAATCCCAGCTACTCAGGAGGCTGAGGCAGGAGAATCGCTTGAACCTGGGAGGCGGAGGTTGCAGAGAGCCAAGATCGTGCCTCCGTACTCCAGCCTGGGCAACAGAGCAAGACTCTGTCTCGGCAAAAATAAATAAATAAAATAACCCTTCTTATTGTCCTATGAGTATGCCCTGAAGACATGGCCATGCCTGGGCAGGGAGTTCTTGGGTTTGGTCTGTGGGTTCCGAGGTAAGCACAGCTCCCATGGCCATCTGGAGTGACCCTGCCTTGTGCAAGCTCAGCAGAGCCAAGTGCTCACTCCCTGGCCAACTGGGGTTGAATCTGAGGTCCTCTCCTGTCCCCAGAACCTGACATTAGGCTTTTCTGCCACAGGGACCTCAGCAGAGGCAGGCCTAGACCTGTCCTGACTGGAGCCGGGGAGGGGGCTCCCTGCAAAGACACAGGAAGGGGCCCAGAGCATTCGTTCCATGCCCCATTCAGCAGCCAGTCCTGGGAGAAATCCCATCCCAGGAGGGCTCTGACCCCTAACCTGACCCCAACTGCAGAAGGAGGAGAAGGAAACCTCTCACTTCTCATTCTGAGCTTTCAGATTTGCTTTTATTGGTAGGGAAATTCCAGAGTGGGGAGCCACCCAGGAGGAGACAGGGGTGCCGAGGCTTCTGGGAGTCTGGAAGCTCCCGGATGGAGAGGCTTACAGCCCCCAGCCTTCCCCAGCAGGAGCACAGGCAGGGGACTGGCCAAGTCTGTCAGCTCAGAGCAGGACCGGCTTCAGGGCCTGACTTCGGTCTCCTCTTGACCCGCCCCGGAGGCTTGTGGTGGGCTCTGTGTTTGCAGCTCTCCTGAACAGAGCTAGATGAGGGTGGGAGGCCCCCGTTGGCTCACACAGTGGATGCTACCATCTCCGGCCTCTGGATGTGGAGCTGGGGGACGGGAGAGAAGAGGTGAGGCCAAGGGGCAGACCCGGGAAAGGGGGAGCCCCAGGAGGAAGAGGGAGCCCTGGCGGGGAGGAGGGAACCCCAGGGGGAGGGAGGGAGTCCCAGGGGGAGGGAGGGAGTCCTAGGGAGAGGAGGGAGTGGCGGGGGAGGGGGGAGTCCCAGGGGAAGGGGTGGCCCCAGGGTGAGGAGGGAGTCCTGGGGGAGGAGGGAGTCCCAGGAGAAGGGAGGGAGTCCTAGGGGGAGAAGGGAGTCCCAGGGGTAGGGAGAGTGTCCCAGGGAGAGGGAGGGAGTCCTAAGGAGAGGAGGGAGTCCTGGGGGAGGAGGGAGTCCCGGGGGAAGGGAGGGAGTCCCGGGGGAAGGGAAGGGGTCCCAGGGGGAGGGAGGGAGTCCCAGGGGGAAGGGAAGGGGTCCCAGGGGGAGGGGAGGGAGTCCCAGGGGGAAGGGGAAGGGGTCCCAGGGGGAGGGAGGGAATCCAGGGGGGAAGGGAGGGGTCCCAGGGGGAGGGAGGGAGTCCCAGGGGGAAGGGAAGGGGTCCCAGGGGGAGGGAGGGAGTCCCAGGGGGAAGGGAAGGGGTCCCAGGGGGAGGGAGGGAGTCCCAGGGGGAAGGGAAGGGGTCCCAGGGGGAGGGAGGGAATCCCAGGGGGAAGGGAAGGGGTCCCAGGGGGAGGGAGGGAGTCCCAGGGGGAAGGGAAGGGGTCCCAGGGGGAGGGAGGGAGTCCCAGGGGGAAAGGAAGGGGTCCCAGGGGGAGGAAGGGAGTCCCAGGGGGAAGGGAAAGGGAAGGGGTCCCAGGGGGAAGGGAGGGAGTCCCAGGGGGAGAAGGGAGTCCCAGGGGGAGAAGGGAGTCCCGGGGGAAGAGGGAACCCCAGAGGAAGTGGAGCAGCCTCAGGGGGTGGGGGCAGCTCGCAGCTGAGTCACCTCTGTGCCAGAGTCAACAGTCTCCAGGGTGGGCCGGAAGTTGTTGTAGGCGTTCTCAAGGCCGAATCTGCTCTCCCTCAGATTCTGGTCTGTAGGGAGAGGCCGTGATGAGTGATGGGAGCCTTGGTAGGGGGAGGACTAGGGGGCAGAGGGGATTTCCTCTGGCAAAAGGAAGAGTCAGCCCGGCATCTGCCCTACGCCCTTTCCCACTGCCGACCACCCCTCCGACCCTGCATCACTGGGCTGCGGGTAAGTGCAGAGCCTGCCTGGGGAGCCGCCCGCTGGACCCCGGAACAGGAGGGAGCGGAGCAGAAGCCCCCCACATGCACGGGGTGGAAGCGGGGGCCACGGAGGAGCGTGCGTTCAGCCCTGGACTCAGGGGTGAGGTCAGAGTGGAGCGGGAGACAGGGCTGGCTCTGGGTCAGCAGGGCCGCCCTCCTTCATAGCAACGGTAACCATAGCAGGCAAAAAAGCTGCGTCTGGAATCTTCTTCCAGCATCCTCCCGGAGCACAGCGATCACTTACTTCCTGGTCCCGCAGAACCACTCACTCTCTGGACTCCGGGGCTCTCCCTGCACCTCTGACCCCTCTTTTCCTGCGTCCTCCTAGATCGGGGTCCTCATGCCCTACCTGTCCTTCTACGGGGGCTCCTGGGGGGGGGTTCTCCTTTCACCCTCCTCACTTCTCACTCTGCATTCTCCCCGATGAATGGACAAACCTCTATTCCAGTACGTGGTTCAGGCTGCAGACCCCTCCCGGAGATTCAGACAGGCACGAGCCTTGCAGCCTCCTCCTCAGCACCCACCAGCCCCCCAACTCAGTGTGCTCCACCGGCTGCTTCTCCCCCATCCTTCGGGGCCCAAGGGTCAGCTCGGACAATCCCGGAAATCCTCCCTCACTCCCTCTCCCTCTCCCACCCACTCAGCCTCATCTCCACCAGGCTGCGTCTCCTCTCCCTCCCCCCACCCCCTCAGCCTCACTTCCTCCACCTGGTCTCCCTGCTTTAGTGCTCCCTGAATGGCCTTTTGAGTAAAAAAAATTCAAAATGTGACCGGGCATGGTGGTTCACGCCTGTAATCCCAGCACTTTGGGAGGCCAAGGCGGGCGGATCACCTAAGGTCTGGAGTTCGAGACCAGCCTGGCCAACATGATGAAACCCTGTCTCTACAGTCTCTACTAAAAATACAAAAATTAGCCACGCGTGGTGGCATGCCTGTAATCACAGCTACTAGGGAGGCTGAGGGCAGGAGAATCGCTTGAACCTGGGAGACAGAAGTTGCAGTGAGCCAAGATTGTGCCACTGTACTCCAGCCTGGGTGACAGAGTGAGACTCTGTCTCACAAAAAAAGGTGGGCGGCCAAAGCCCCTCAACCCCCCACCCCATTCCCAAAGCCCTGCCAACCTCACGTCCCTCACTCTTTCTTTGTGAGATTGACCTGCCTTCCCTTCCCCGCCAAAAGCAAGCTCCTTCCCAACTGCAGGCGTTTCTCATGCAGTGCCCCCTGCCTGGGGTGCCCTTTCCCTTGTCCTCACTGGGATAAGGCCTCCCTGCTTACTGGGCTCCCACTGTGTTGAAGGAGGAAGCACACCTGCTTACTCACCTATTCAAGAGTCAGTCTCACCTGGGGGCTAATCTGACCCCCTATCCCCACCCAGGCTGGGTCAGGTCCACCCCTCTGCTCCCTCTGCCCTGGGAATGGCCCTATCACCCCGCTTAGCTGAGTGTGCACTGGATGCCCTCACTGAGTTGGTCTCTGGGGGCAAGATCTGGTTCTCAACCACTCCTGCACTCTTGCACACAGCAGGGGTGGTGTCTGGGTCCGGGGCTGCAGCGGCAGGTAGGGAACGGGCTGTCAGTCACAGCCACCCCAAAGGGGGGCTGGACCCCACGTCACCCCCACAGGCACAGGCACCGCCCTGCCTTTCTTCACCCTCCAGCTCTGCTCATCTCCTTGCCCTTAACTAGAGGTACCTTCCCAGATGGCCGTCTTCTGGAAGATGCCAGGGGTGCCTTCCTTTCGCCACTCTTGAGGCACATCATACTGTTCCCTGCAGACAGAAATGCCTTGAGCAGCTGTAGGCAAGGAGGCTGAGGAGGGACTTGGTGGACCCTGACCTTCAGCTTCCCTCGAGGGGACAGTCACAGCCACACCCCGAGTCAGAGATGGCAGCGATGATGGCAGAGAACAAAAAGTAGCATCACCATGGCTTCCCTTCTACCAAGGCAAGCACTGGCCAGGCCTCCTGGCTGCCCCTCACTCCCTTTAGTGGCCCTCAGTTTCCATATCCATGAGATGGGGGCGTAGGGTAGCTCCCTTCAGTTGCTGACTTCGGGTCAGGTACTGTGCCAGGGTTTCCCAGCAACCTTCACAGGTGCATCTTATCCCATTTTACAGCTGGGAAAAGTGAGACCCAGACGCTCCATCTCAGCTTCCCCATGTGGTGCTGTGCTCTGTGGTGGCCAAGGTGAGTGATAACTAACTACAGGGAATGTCATTACATAGTCTAATTTCCACACATAAGCTTCTGTTTCCATTCTCTGTGTTATGGTTTGAATGTGTCCCTTAGAGTTCATGTGTTGGAAATTTAATCCCCAAGGCAGCAATGCTGAGAGGTAGGACCTTGAAGACATGATTAGGTCATGAAGGTGCTGTCCTCATGAATAGATTAACATCATTATCTCAAAAGTGGGTGTGTAATAAAAGCGAGTTCAGACAGCCAGGGGTGACAGCTCACACCTGTAATCCCAACAACTTTGTAGGCTGAGGTGAGAGGACTGCTTGAGGCCAGGAGTTTCAGACCAGCCGGGGCAATATAGTGAGACCCTATTTCTACAACACATTTAATTTAATTTAATTTAATTTAATTTAATTTAATTTAATTTAAGGCCGGGCACGGTGGCTCACACCTGTAATCCCAGCACTTTGGGAAGCCAGGGTGGGTGGATCACTCAAGGTCAGGAGTTCAAGACCAGCCTGGCCAACATGGTGAAACCCCGTTTCTACTAAAAATACAAAAATTAGCCAGGCATGGTGGAATGCACTTGTAATCCCAGCTACTCGAGAGGCTGAGGCATGAGAATCACTTCAACCTGGGAGGCGGAGGTTGCAGTGAGCCGAGATCATGCCACTGCACTCCAGCCTGGGTGACAGCAAGACCCTGTCTCTTAAAGAAAAAAAAAAAGTGAGTTCAGCCCTCTCTTCCTCTCTGTCCATGTGCTGCAGACTGCCATGTTGCCATGCTGTGATGCAGCAAGAAAGTCCTCACCAGATGCAGCCCCTTGATCTTGGACTTCCCAGCCTCCAGAACTGTGAGCCAAATAAACTTCTATTGTTTATCAATTACCCAGTGGTGGTATTCTGTTATAATAGCACAAAATGGACTAAAACACTGCCAAATTGATGTATCCTACAGGAAGGCCGCCCTTTGCTGCACCCAGGGCTGGGAGGGTCTGGGCACCCCATCTGGCCTCAGCTGACCTCTCTGATTGCTGGCCTGGAAGGAGCAGAGCCTTAGGACATTCAGACAGTGGCCACCCCAGGATCTGTCCCCTCTGTGTGGGCCTGCGGTGCTGGCCTCACAAGCTCACCTGTGCCGTTTTCTCTGGGATAGGCTGAATAAGATGATTAGGATGATCAATGCGAGCAGCAGCACCGCCATCACAGCCCCCACGATCCCATACACGAGGCTCTTGGCGATGTTGAATTCACAGGTCTCTCCCCAGTACCAGTGTGTGTTCGTATTTGGGCACCTGGGGACACAGACAAGCTCACGCTGATCCCCTGGGATCCCTCACATCCAATATCCCAAGGGTTAACCCACTCTCCTAAGCACAGGAAACCAGATCTCCCTCACTCCAACGGCTGGAGCTCAGCCCCCAGAGAGCCTGGGTCCCTGACTTCCTCAGGCTGATGGGCACTGAGGGAGTTGGGGGGACCTGGAGACTGCAGATCAGGAATTCAAATGACTAGGGCTCAAGGGGACCTGAGAGTGTTGGGTGTCTCGTCCCAGACACGTACCATTCACCCACCTAATCTCTAAGCATCTGCTACCTAAATGGGCCTGTTATCATGGTTTTTCTTTTGCACCTTAATTTATGGTCTGTGGACTTAGTGCTGTGGCTGCAGCTAGAGGTAATCTTGACAGCATGGCAGAGATGACATAAGGGAAATTAACAATATAGACAGATATAGAGATTGAGATAGAGATACAAAGATAGAGATAGAGATAGAGATACAGACAAAGATAGAGATAGAGATAGATTTGGAAATTGACAGCATGAACTTTCTCAGGAAGGGATTGCCCAGCTTTGGGACCTCTATGTCTATAATCTACTCCTACTCCTCACTCTTGTGGGTGTGGGGGGTGGGAATGAGATTACAGGGGAGAGGTATGTCCAGGAGTGGGGAGGAGGCACCTCCCAAGCTCTACTCAATCCCCCAACCCTGTGGGTGACTGCTGGGGAGGGGGAGGGCCCTATCACCAGGACAGAGTGGGTGCTGGGCTTATGGGGACACTCACAGGCAGCGGGGGCCACTGCGTTGCAGCTGACATGTGCCCAGGTTACAGTTCATTTGCGACTTCGTTCCTTTGGTGCACTTGTTCACACAGGCCAGCTTCCCATCCAAGACATCCACATAGTAGAACTGGGTATATCCTTCGGCAGCCTTCTGGGTGCATTGCTCTGAGGGAGAGGGGCGGGCAGCATGCATGAGCCTGGCCAAAGCATCCCAGCCCCCACTCTTAGTGCCCACGCTCCACGTAGTCGCTTACCCTGGAAGTCAAAGCCCGGAGTCACCGATGAATCCACGAAAGTGTCCTCTTCACTATAGCACAGTATGGCCTCTGCCGAGAGTGGATGGGAAGGAAGATGGAATAGAAACACTTCCCTCTGCCTCCCTGGGGGTAGCCAGGCCTCTCTCTTCTATACCATGCCCTCCCCTGGGCCAATGCCCGTGGGAGTCTTTGCCCACCCTAGACATGCAGCTGGGCTTGTGAGGAGGCTCAAATGGGGATATGATAGCCTCAGCCTGGGACCGAGAGGGGGCTGTTGGGAGCAGCTTTGGGATCTGGGGAAGGCACCCTGGGCCTGGCTTCTGGGTTCCTGTGGCAGAAGTCTTGGGAGTACCAGAAGAAAGAAGACGTAGAGGAGGGAGAGGTCAAGGTCACGATCTCCAAGACACCCACAGGTGTCAAGGGGTTTTAGGTGAGCTTACTTCTGCAGGAATCAGGATCAAGAAGAGTTGTTCTAGTTTCATTCATAATCTTGGCCTTTACAATCTCTGCCAGGTTTTCAAACAGTTCCTCATACTCTAAAGTGTAGTCTGCCTCCAGGATGACATCGTTCTTGACCACGATGCTACCGTTGCTGGAAGTGGGAATCGTTTCATCAGTTACCCATGTCACCACCCAGCCAGCAAGTGGAGCCCAAGCACCCAGAGTGGTAATGGGAGATGAAGCTGCCATGTGACCCAGAGGTGAGAAAGAATACAGAGTCTTCCCTCCAGCAGCTAACCACCCAGACAGAGGGAGGAGAGCGAAACGATTCAAGATCTCACATATCAGTGATCATGATAAATGCCAATGAGTGAAATTCATCTCTCGCAAAATAGTGGCTCTTGGATGAACAAGTGGAGAAATTTGAATCCCTGTGTCCTGTTGATGCGAAAGTAAAATAGTGCAGCTGCTATGGAAAACAGTATGGAGCTCCTCAAAAAATTTAAAATAGAATTAATGCATGATCCAGCAATTCTACTTCTGGGTATATATACAAAATAACTGAAAGCAGGTCTTGAATTTATATTTGTACCCTTGTGTTTTTAGTAGCATTATTTACCATAGCCAAAAGGTGGAAGCAAACCAAGGGTCCATCAACAGACAAATGGAGAAACAAATGTGGTCTATTGTGGAATATTATTTAGCCTTAAAAAGGAAGTACAGGGCAGGAAGTGCGGTGGCTCATGCCTGTCATCCCAGCAATTTGGGAGGCCGAGGTGGGAGGACTGCTTGAGGCCAGGAGTTCAAGACCAGCCTGGGCAACATGATGAGACCCCATCTCTACAAAAAATACAAAAATTAGCCAGCCAAGTTAGTGCACGCTTGTAGTCCCAGCTACTCAGGACGCTACGTCAGGAGGATGGCTTGAGCCCAGGAGTTTGAGGCTGTGTTGAGCTATGATTGCACCACTGCACTTCAGGCAACAGAGCAAGACCCCATTTTTTAAAATTTAAAAAAGAAAGAAAAAGGTAAGTTTCTAACCTAGAAGCTACTCCTTCAATAGCCAATGATGCAGCTGGGGGGAGAGATCTTGAGACAAGGCAAGTCATCTGTCACTGTCATTTTGAAAGATAAGTCAGTAGTAGGACTCAGGAGGACTTGGACAAAAAAAATCCTGAGCCAAAATGGAAAGACCAGGGTGCCGACGCTGAGCCAGGGGCAAGGTTGGGGCACCGGGACCCTCTCTTCCCTGCTGCAAGGACACGGCACCCTTGAAGCACCCTTCCCACCCCTCTATCTGCCTCTTTCCATTCTCCACTGGGGGCTCTGGCTAGATCTTAAATGTTGGTGCTTTCCAGCTTCATTCCTGGGACACCCTCGTTTTGTGCCATGACCCTCCCTCACCCCCGACCTGAGCCATCTCTTCCTACTCCCAGGACTTCCAGTGACATCCAACTGGGGATACCAATGCCTGTGTCTCTGATAATACCCTTTAGAGGCTGGGTGTGGTGGCTTACGCTTGTAATCCCAGCAATTTGGGAGGCCGAGGCGGGAGGATCACTTGAACCCAGGAGTTTGAGACCAGCCCGGGCAACATAGCAAGACCCCATCTCTGCAAAAATTACAAAAATTAGGCTGGGGCAGTGGCTTACACCTGTAATCCCAGCATTTTTGGAGGCCAAGGCGGGCGGATCACTTGAGGTCAGGAGTTCGAGACCAGCCTGGCCAACGTGGTGAAACCCTGTCTCTACTAAAAATACAAAATTTAGCTGGGTGTGATGACATGTGCCTGTAGTCCCAGCTACTCGGGAAGCTAAGGCAGGATAATCACTTGAACCTGGGAGGTGAAGCTGCAGTGAGCCGAGATTGCACCACGGCACTCCAGCCCAGGCGACAGAGCAAGACTCTGTCTCAAAAAAAGCAAAACAAAAAAATTACAAAAATTAGCCAAGCACGATGGCGCAGGCCTGTAGTCCCAGCTACTCGAGAGGCTGAGGTGGGAGGATTGCTTGAACCCGAGAGGTTGAGCCTGCAGTGAGCCATAATTATGCCACTGCATTCCAGCCTGGGCAAGAGAGCGAGACCCTGCCCCCGATCCCCCCAAAATAAGACCCTTTAGGGCACATTCCACTGCTGCATCACGCAACCACTCCATGTGGCTGGGCCCTGGGCACTTGAAACTTGATGTGATGCACACTGAACTCATCATCTCCTTCCCCCATTCTACCCCTCATGACATTCCTCCACGCAGCACAGGGCACCCCACACCTCCAGCCGCCCAGAAATCTGCCCTCGTTCCTCATTCTTCCCTCCCTCCTCTCCTGCAGCAAATCCCAGGTCTGCTGGTCCTGCCTCCCAAAGACCTTTCACACTGGACCTGTTTTCTCCTTTACTGTCACCTATCTGGTGTAGGCCACCATCATCTCCAGTACAGGCTTCTGCTTATGCAATCTCTACCCTACAGCCAGACTGAGCTATCTACTCTGCAGACCAGACACTATCCCTCATGGGTCTACACTGCTGATGCCAAAAGTCTAACTAACTTGGCATGAGCCATCTTTCCAGCCTCCTCCCCCATCACTGCTCCTTTGCTCTTAAGCACCCAGCCGTTCTGAGCGTCTTTAGGTTCCTGGAATCTGCCCTCCTCTCTCTCCCCTCTGGGCTTCTTCTCATCGATTCCCTCTGCTGCAACTGCCTCTCCTTCCCTTCCCTCTCTCTGGATCATTCCTCCTCATCCTTCAAGCCTCAGTTTTGCTGTTACATTTTTTTTTCTTTTTGTAGAGATGGGATCTCGCTATGTTGCCCAGGCTAGTCTCGAATTCCTGGCCTGAAGTGATCCTCCCCCATTGGCCTCCCAAAGCATTGAGATTACATGCATGAACCACCACGCCCAGCCTGTTGCCAGTTTTTCCAGGAAGAATTCCTTCTGCCACACCAAGCTTTGCTTTTGGGACCTCTCCCAGGGCACCCTGTGTGCCCCTTACTGAAACTCTAAGCAGACTGCTTAGCCACTTTTCCATCTGTGTTCTGCCACTCTGAGCTCAAGGAAAACTGGGACTACTGTGTTCCCAGCACCCAGCAGGGGGCTGGCTTTCAACAAATGTGTGTTGAGTGGATGAATGAATGAAGAATGAAAGGTGTCACAGCCCCCAGTGTTCCCTAGCGGCTGCAGGACTCTCTGACCCAACCAGTATTGATATTCTAGCCATTCATGATAGGAGGAGGCAGGAAAGCAGGGACAAGGAGGATTTCCCCACATCTATAAACCTGCCCCCCAATATACTCACAGCAATCTCCGAATGTTCACCCCTCTATACTGAGGAAGATTGTCGCCCTTCAAAACGACATCCATCTGAAAGAAACAAGGCAGCGAAGGTCACACAAAGCTAGAGCATGAAGACTCTCCTGTTACCCTTCTTGAGGCAGCCCTAGGCACCTTTCTGTGGAGCCCAGGTAAGCTCCCATAGGAGGAACCACCAACCCAGGAAGCTCCCTCTGCCATAATGTGGGTCATGTGGGGCTGAAGGCTGGAAGCTCTCAAAGGACCTCCTTTCAAGACTTAGGGAGACTGGTAGGGAGGGGGCTCATGAGCAGAAGAACTCAGATCACTAAGTTGGGGTGCACCCCCCAATTTCCTCTCACGTGGGACATCACCCTGGGGTGTCTGGGTGTGCCCTGGTCTTACCCGATTCTTGAAGAGGGTACTGAAGTTCTGGTATTCCTGGGAGGATGCGTCATTCATCTTTTCTGTGAAATTTCTGTAAGTCACTTTCACTGTCATACCTAAAGTGGCGTTGAGTTTTTCCGGGGTTTCTGTGGGAAAAGGCCATGGTATGCGTGAGACAGCGACCTCCCAATAATGTCCCCCAGGATTGATACATTCTCTGCCTGTGGGTGTCTTGAAGGTGAAAGAAACTTAAGAGGAAGGTGGGGTCACTGTTCCCTGTCTCCCAAAACCCTGAGGAGCCAGTGGCCAGGAGGGAAAGGGACAGAACTAAGTACAGAAGCCCTTTGATGAGGGGGGCAGGTGAGCTAATGGAAAGAGCCCTGGGCCGGGTGCTGTGGCTCACACCTGTAATCCCAGTGCATTGGGGAGATGGGAAGACCTACCTGGGCAACAAAGTGAGACCCTGTCTCCACGAAAATAAAAAAATTAACCAGGCATGGTAGTGCACGCCTGTAGTCCCAGCTACTCGGAAGGCTGAGGCCAGAGGATAACTTGAGCCCAGGAGTTCGAGGCTGTGGTGAGCTATGATCTGCACCTCTGCACTCCAGCCTGGGCCACAGAGTGAGACCCTATCTCAAAAGAAATGGAGGTTCCTAAAACTAAAAATAGAGCTACCGGCCGGGCGCGGTGGCTCACACCTGTAATCCCAGCACTTTGGGAGACCGAGGTGGGTGGATCACGAGGTCAGGAGATCAAGACAATCCTGGCTAACACGGTGAAACCCCATCTCTACTAAAAATACAAAAAAAAAAAAAATAGCCAGGCATGGTGACGGGCACCTGTAGTCCCAGCTACTTGGGAGGCTGAGGCAGGAGAATGGCATGAACCTGGGAGGTGGAGCTTGCAGTAAGCCGAGATCATGCCACTGCACTCCAGCCTGGGCAACAGAGCAAGACTCCATCTCTAAAAATAAAAAATAAAAATAGAGCTACCATACAATCCAGCAATCCCACTGCTGGGTATATACCCAAAAGAAAGGAAATCAGTACATTGAAGAGATCTCTGCACTCCCATGTTTGTTGCTGTTCACAATAGCCAAGACTTGGAAGCAACCCAAGTGTCCATCAACAGATGAATGGATAGAGAAAATGTGGTACATATACACAATGGAGTACTATTCAGCCATCAAAAAGAATGAGATCCTGTCAATTGCAACAACATGGATGGAACTGGAGGTCGTTGTTAAGTGAAATAAGCCAGGCACAGAAAGACAAACATTGCATGTTCTCACTTGTTAGTGGAATCTAAAAGTCCAAATAATTGAACTAATGGAGGCAGAGCGTAGAAGGATGGTTACCAGAGGCTGGGAAGGGTAGTAGGGTGGAGGTGAGAGGGAGGTGGGCATGGTTAATGGGTACAAAAAATGTATAGTTAGAAAGGATGAATAAGACCTAGTATTTAACACGACAGAGTGACTATAGTCAATAATAATTTAATTGAACATTTAAAAACAACTAAAATAGCTGGGCGCGATGGCTCATGCCTGTAATCCCAGCACTTTGGGAGGCCGAGGCAGGAGGATCACCTAAGATCAGTAGTTCCATACCAGCCTGGCCAATATGGTGAAACTCCGTCCCTATTAAAAATACAAAAATTAGCCAGGCATGGTGGCCCATGCCTCTAATCTCAACTACTCAGGAGGCTGAGGCAGGAGAATCACCTGAACCCAGGAGGTGGAGGTTGCAGTGAGCCAAGATCGTGCCATCACACTCCAGCCTGGGAGACAGAGCGAGACTCCCTCTCAAAAAATAAAATAAAATAAAATAACTAAAATAGTACCGTAGGATTGTTTGTAACATAAAGGTTAAATGCTTGAGGGAATGTGTACCCCATTCTCCATGCTGTGATTATTACATATTGCATTCCTGTAACAAAACATCTCATGTATACTCCATAAATATATACATCTACTATGTACCCCTAAAAATTAAAAATTAAAAAAAATCGACCACCCCATTTTTCTACCTTCTACTTTTGTCCCTGAAGGCAAAGGTAGAAGGTTCATGTTCTCCCTACAGTGTTGCTGGGAAGAGTCACACCTCCTCCACCTGCAAGTGAGGCAGTGGCTGATCCTTCCAACACTGCCATGCTGTTTTCAGGGGTGAAAGGGCCTGCAAAGAGCTGCAGGTCTCAGAAAAGGTCATTACCTACAGGGAAGGATTCCAGAGGGGACAAGCACTGGTAACCAACGTAGCCTTGGGGACAGACGCATTGTTTTCCATTCCAAATTTGTCCTTCCTGGCACAACCCTGTGGAGAGATAGAATCCACAGCAGTCACCGTGGGAGCCCAAAGAGCAAAAACACGCACTCCCATTCCAGGTCCAGTCACTCAGCATCGCACTGGAGAGCAGGACGATGCCAGATGACCGCACAGCAATGAAGATGCCTCTGCTGCCACCTCTGCCCCCGGGAGATAGTAAGAAAGGGAGGAGGAACAGCAGAGAGTAAGGAAACAAAAGATACAAGAGGTCCAGCTATGAAAAAAGCACTCTTATGTACCAAAAGAAGACAACTCTACCCATGGGATCACCTGGAACAGGGAGGAGAAAGAGTTGGAAATGTGAAACAAAACCACAGGAGGCCAGAGCAGATGCGGATTCTCATGATGACAGACAGAAGGAGGCCCGGCGCGGTGGCTCACACCTGTAATCCCAGCACTTTGGGAGGCTGAGGTGGGTGGATCACTTGAGGTCAGGAGTTTGAGACTAGCTTGGTCAACATGGTAAAAACCCGTCTCTACTAAAAATACAAAAATTAGGTAGGCATGGTGGTGGGCACCTGTAATCCAAGCCACTTGGGAGGACAAGGTAGGAGAATCGCTTGAGCCCAGGAGGCAGAGGTTGCAGTGAACCAAGATCATGTCATTGCACCCCAGCCTGGGCAACAGAGCAACACTCTGTCTCAAAAAAAAAAAAAAATCCAGAGAAGAGGGGTTCATGGAAGGATGAAAAATAAATACATAAATAAAACCACCCTGGAGTCATAGAGGAAGGAGAGATTGTCATCATACATGTGTGGGGACCAGTGAACGGCACATGAACACTGGAAGTGGTATCGAACCCAGAAACTGGATAATCGGTAGACCCAAGTAAAGTGGAAGACAGAGGAAAAGAACCAAGAGAGGTTGTAATGGATGAAGAAGACTCATGGACAGGCCTGGAGAAGAAGCTAAACGTGGATGAAATGGAAAGAGCAGTACCTGGTGCTAAGGTTTCCAGGCTTTCAGTAGACACAATTGTAGAAGTGAAGCTTGGACTGGTGTGGAAGGTGGTAGATTCCTCAGTGAGGCCTGATGTGCTGGAACTCGCAGGAAAGAGTGTTGTGTAAGTAGGGGATGGGCTGATGTAGAAAGTTGTAGGTTCTCCAACAAGGTCTGAGGCTGTGGAGCGGGCAGGTAAGGGTGTTGTTCCAGTTGCGTCTGAGCTGCTGTGGAAGGCTGTTGATTCCTGACCAATGTCTGTGGTTGTGAGGGTGGCAGGTAACACTGTGTGAGTGAAGCCTGGGCTGTCAGGGAAGGGTGTAGATTGTTGACTATGAATGGACATTGTGTTGCTGTGAGAAAACGCTGTGGTTTCAGTTGAGCCTGGGCTGCTGTAGAAGGTGGTAGATTCCTCACTAAGGCCTGGCACTGTGGTGCTGGCAGGTGACACTGTTGACAGAGCTGAGCCTGGTTGGCTATGAGGGGTGGTAAATTCTTGAGCAAAAGATGAAGTTGTGATGCTGCCAGGGGACAGTGTTGTCTCAGTTGAGCCTGGCTTACTGTGGAAAGTTGTTGATTCCTGACTGAGGCCTGAGGTGGTGGTGCTGGCAGGGAACGCTGTTGTGTGTGTTGACTCTGCTTGGCTATACAAGCTGGTGGGTTCTCCACTGATGCTGGAGCTTGTCATGCTGGCAGGTGAGAGTGTTTGGTCTGGTGATCTGGAGCTACTGTAAAGGATGGTAGATTTTGCACTGAGGCCTGGTGTTGTGGCAGTGCTGGCTAATGTTGTTTCCATTGAGCCTGGAGAGATATAGAAGGTGGTAGATTCTGCAATGCGGCCTGAGGTAGTAAAATGGGCAGGTAAGGGTGTGATTCCATTTGTATCTGGGCTGCTGTGGGATGCTGTTGATTCCTCACTACGGCCGGAGGTTGTGGAGCTCTCAGGAAAGTGTGTTGTTGCAATTGAGCCCGGGCTGCTGTGGTAGCTGGTAGGTTCTTCAACAAGGGCAGATGTGGTGCTAGGAGGTGAAGATATTGTGTGTGTTGTGCTGCTGTGGGAAGTTCTTGATTCTTCACTACGACCTGAAGCTGTGGAGCTTTCAGGGAAGTGCATTGTTTGAGTTGAGCCCGGGCTGCTGTGGTACGCCGTAGATTCTTCAACGAGGCCTGAGGTTGTGGAGCGGGCAGGCGAGGGTGTTGTTGCAGTTGCAACTGGGCTGCTGTGGACTGTTGTCGATTCCTCACTACGGCCCAAGGTTGTGGAGCTGGCAGAAAAGTGGGTTGTTGGAGTTGAGCTCGGGCTACTGTGGAAAGTGGTAGATTTCTCACTGAGGCCTGGCGTTGTGGTACTGCCGGGTAACGCTGTCGTTTCCATTGAGCCTGAACTGATGGGTGAGGTCGTAGATTCTCCAAGAAGAACTGAGGTTGTGGAGCGGGCAGGTAGGACTATTGTTCCCGTTGCGTCTTGGCTGCTGTGGGATGCTGTTGATTCCTCACTACGGCCTGAGGTTGTGGAGCTGTCAGGGAAGTGTGTTGTTGCAGTTGAGCCCGGGCTGCTGTGGTAGCTGGTAGGTTCTTCAACAAGGGCAGATGTGGTGCTAGGAGCTGAAGATATTGTGTGTGTTGTGCTGCTGTGGGAAGTTGTTGATTCTTCACCACGGCCTGAAGTTGTGTTGCTTTCAGGGAAGTGCATTGTTTGAGTTGAGCCCGGGCTGCTGTGGTAGGTCGTAGATTCTTCAACGAGGCCTGAGGTTGTGGAGCGGGCAGGCGAGGGTGTTGTTGCAGTTGCAACTGGGCTGCTGTGGACTGTTGTCGATTCCTCACTACGGCCCAATGTTGTGGAGCTGGCAGAAAAGTGGGTTGTTGGAGTTGAGCTCGGGCTGCCGTGGGAGGTTGTAGATAGCTCAACAAAGGCTGATGTGGTAGTAGGAGGTGCAGGGGTAGTGTCCTTCGAGTTTGGCCAGCTCTGGAAGGTGGTAGATTCTCCCTGACGGGTTGTAGAGCCGGCAGGGGACAGTGTTGTGTGTGGCGATCCAGTGCTGCTGTGGACGGGTGTAGATGCTTCAAGGAGGCCTGAGGCTGTGGTGTTGTCAGGTAAGAGTGTTGTTTCAGTGGAGCCTGGGCTGCTGTGGAAGGTAGTAGATTCTGGACCAAGGGATGATGCTGTGGTACTGCCAGGGGACAGTGTTGTGTCTGTGGAGCCTGGGCTGCTGTGGGAAGCTGTAGATTCCTGACTGACGCCTGGCATGGTGGTACTGCTAGGGAATGCTGTTGTGTGCATTGAGCCTGGTCGGCTGTGGGAGGTGGTGGATTCTTCACTGACGCCTGAGCTTGTCGTGCTGGCAGGTGAAAGTGTTGTGTCCGGTGATCTGGGGCTACTGTAGAAGGTGGTAGATTTCTCACTCAGGCCTGCTGTTGTGGTACTGCCAGGTAACGCTGTTGTTTCCGTTGAGCCTGAACTGATGGGTGACGTTGTAGGTTCTCCAACAAGAACTGAGGTTGCAGAGCGGGTAGGGAAGAGTGCTGTTCCAGTTGCACCTGGGCTGCTGTGGACTGTTGTTGATTCCTCACTACGGCCCAAGGTTGTGGAACTGGCAGAAAAGTGTGTTGTTGGAGTTGAGCTCGGGCGGCTGTGGTAGGTTGTGGATACTTCAACAGGGACTGCTGTGGTGCTGGGAGGTGAAGGTGTTGTGTCACTTGAGCTTGGCCAGCTCTGGAAAGTGGTAGATTCTTCCTGAAGGCCAGTGCTTGTGGAGCTGGCAGGGGTCAGTGTTGTGTGTAGCGAGCCAGTGCTGCTGTGGGTGGGTGTAGATGCCTCCACGAGGCCTGAGGTTATGGTGTCGTCAGGTAAGAGTGTGGTTTCAGTGTCGCCTGGGCTGCTGTGGAAGGTTGTAGATTGTTGACCAAGGGATGAGGCTGTGGTACTGCCAGGGGACAGTGTTGCCTCTGTTGAGCCTTGGCTGCTGTGGGAAGTTGTAGGTTCCTGACTGAGGCCTGAGGTGGTGGTGCTGTCAGGGAACGCTGTTGTGTGCGTTGAGCCTGGTTGACTGTGGGATGTGCTGGATTCTTCGCTGACGCCTGAGCTTGTTGTGGTTGCAGGTGAGAGTGTTGCATCTGGTGATCTGGGGCTAGTGTAGAAGGTGGTTGATTTCTCACTGAGGCTTGGTGTTGTGGGACTGCCGGGTAAAGTTGTTGTTTCGGTTGAGCTTGGACTGAGGCGTGAGGGTGTGGATTCTCCAACGAGGCCAGAGGTGGTGGAGCGGGCAGGTGAGAGTTTTGTTCCAGTTGAGCCTGAGCTGCTGGGAAAGGTAGTTGATTCCTCACCGAGGTCTGCGGTTGTGAGTGTGGCAGGTAACCCTGTTTGGGTGGAGGCTGGGCTGCCGGGGAAGGCTGTAGATTCTTCAGTGAGGCCCGAGGTGGTGCTGTCCTCAGTGAACAGTGTTGTGTGAGTTGAGGCTGGCCGGCTGTGGAAGGTTGTAGGCTCTTCACGACGAACTGAGGTTGTGGTGCTGCGAGGGAACACTGTGGTTTCAGTTGAGCCTGGGCTGCTGCTGTAGACGGTGGTAGATTCCTCACTGAGGCCTGGCGTGGTGGTGCTGGCAGGTGACACTGTTGAGTGAGTAGAACCTGGTTGGCTACGGGAGGTGGTGGATTCTTCACCGACGCCTAGGCTTGTCATACTGGCAGGTGAGAGTGTTGTGGTTGGTGATCTGGGGCTGCTGTAGAAGGTGGTAGATGCCTCACTGAGGCCTGGTGTTGTGGTACTGCCAGGTAACGTTGTTATTTCAGTTGAGCCTGGACTGATGCGTGAGGTTGTAGATTCTCCACGACCTGAGGTTGTGGAGTGGGCAGATGAGGGTGTTGTTCCACTTGCATCTGGGCTGCTGTGGAATATTGTTGATTTCTCACTGTGGCCCGAAGTTGTGGAGCTGGCAGGGAAGTGTGTTGTTGGAGTCGAGCCTGGGCTGCGGTGGTAGGTTGTAGATTCTTCAACAGGGGCTGTTGCGGTGCTAGGAGGTGAAGGCGTCGTGTGAGTTGAGGCTGGGTGGGTCTGGAAGGCGGTAGATTCTCCCTGAAGTCCAGGGCTTGTGGAGCTGGCAGGGGACAGTGTTGTGCGTGGTGAGCCAGTGCTGCTGTGGACGCGTGTAGATGCTTCAACGATGCCTGAGCTTGTGGTGCTGTCAGGGAAGAGTGTTGTGTGAGTGGAGCCTGGGCTGCTGTGGAAGGTTGTAGATTCTTGACCAAAGGATAAGGCTGTGGTACTGCCAGGGGACAGTGCTGTGTCAGTTGAACCTGAGCTGCTGTGGGAAGTTGTTGATTCCTGACTGGAGCCTGAGGTGGTGGTGCTGGCAGGTAACAGTGTTGTATCCGTTGAGCCTGGGCTGCTGTGGGAAGTTGTAGAATGCCGACTGAGGCCTGGCGTGGTGGTGCTGTCAGGGAATGCTGTTGTGTGCGTTGAGCCTGGTCGGCTGTGGGAGGTGGTGGATTCTTCACTGACGCCTGAGCTTGTCGTGCTGGCAGGTGAGAGTGTTGTGGCTGGTGATCTGGGGCTACTGTGGAAAGTGGTAGATTTCTCACTGAGGCCTGGCGTTGTGGTACTGCCGGGTAACGCTGTCGTTTCCATTGAGCCTGAACTGATGGGTGAGGTCGTAGATTCTCCAAGAAGAACTGAGGTTGTGGAGCGGGCAGGTAGGACTATTGTTCCCGTTGCGTCTTGGCTGCTGTGGGATGCTGTTGATTCCTCACTACGGCCTGAGGTTGTGGAGCTGTCAGGGAAGTGTGTTGTTGCAGTTGAGCCCGGGCTGCTGTGGTAGCTGGTAGGTTCTTCAACAAGGGCAGATGTGGTGCTAGGAGCTGAAGATATTGTGTGTGTTGTGCTGCTGTGGGAAGTTGTTGATTCTTCACCACGGCCTGAAGTTGTGTCGCTTTCAGGGAAGTGCATTGTTTGAGTTGAGCCCGGGCTGCTGTGGTAGGTCGTAGATTCTTCAACGAGGCCTGAGGTTGTGGAGCGGGCAGGCGAGGGTGTTGTTGCAGTTGCAACTGGGCTGCTGTGGACTGTTGTCGATTCCTCACTACGGCCCAAGGTTGTGGAGCTGGCAGAAAAGTGGGTTGTTGGAGTTGAGCTCGGGCTGCCGTGGGAGGTTGTAGATAGCTCAACAAAGGCTGATGTGGTAGTAGGAGGTGCAGGGGTAGTGTCCTTCGAGTTAGGCCAGCTCTGGAAGGTGGTAGATTCTCCCTGACGGGTTGTAGAGCCGGCAGGGGACAGTGTTGTGTGTGGCGATCCAGTGCTGCTGTGGACGGGCGTAGATGCTTCAAGGAGGCCTGAGGCTGTGGTGTTGTCAGGTAAGAGTGTTGTTTCAGTGGAGCCTGGGCCGCTGTGGAAGGTAGTAGATTCTGGACCAAGGGATGATGCTGTGGTACTGCCAGGGGACAGTGTTGTGTCTGTGGAGCCTGGGCTGCTGTGGGAAGCTGTAGATTCCTGACTGACGCCTGGCATGGTGGTACTGCCAGGGAATGCTGTTGTGTGCGTTGAGCCTGGTCGGCTGTGGGAGGTGGTGGATTCTTCACTGACGCCTGAGCTTGTCGTGCTGGCAGGTGAGAGTGTTGTGTCCGGTGATCTGGGGCTACTGTAGAAGGTGGTAGATTTCTCACTCAGGCCTGCTGTTGTGGTACTGCCAGGTAACGCTGTTGTTTCCGTTGAGCCTGAACTGATGGGTGACGTTGTAGGTTCTCCAACAAGAACTGAGGTTGCAGAGCGGGTAGGGAAGAGTGCTGTTCCAGTTGCACCTGGGCTGCTGTGGACTGTTGTTGATTCCTCACTACGGCCCAAGGTTGTGGAACTGGCAGAAAAGTGTGTTGTTGGAGTTGAGCTCGGGCGGCTGTGGTAGGTTGTGGATACTTCAACAGGGGCTGCTGTGGTGCCGGGAGGTGAAGGTGTTGTGTCACTTGAGCTTGGCCAGCTCTGGAAAGTGGTAGATTCTTCCTGAAGGCCAGCGCTTGTGGAGCTGGCAGGGGTCAGTGTTGTGTGTAGCGAGCCAGTGCTGCTGTGGGTGGGTGTAGATGCCTCCACGAGGCCTGAGGTTATGGTGTCGTCAGGTAAGAGTGTGGTTTCAGTGTCGCCTGGGCTGCTGTGGAAGGTTGTAGATTGTTGACCAAGGGATGAGGCTGTGGTACTGCCAGGGGACAGTGTTGCCTCTGTTGAGCCTTGGCTGCTGTGGGAAGCTGTAGGTTCCTGACTGAGGCCTGAGGTGGTGGTGCTGTCAGGGAACGCTGTTGTGTGCGTTGAGCCTGGTTGACTGTGGGATGTGCTGGATTCTTCACTGACGCCTGAGCTTGTTGTGGTTGCAGGTGAGAGTGTTGCATCTGGTGATCTGGGGCTAGTGTAGAAGGTGGTTGATTTCTCACTGAGGCTTGGTGTTGTGGGACTGCCGGGTAAAGTTGTTGTTTCGGTTGAGCTTGGACTGAGGCGTGAGGGTGTGGATTCTCCAACGAGGCCAGAGGTGGTGGAGCGGGCAGGTGAGAGTGTTGTTCCAGTTGAGCCTGAGCTGCTGGGAAAGGTAGTTGATTCCTCACCGAGGTCTGCGGTTGTGAGTGTGGCAGGTAACCCTGTTTGGGTGGAGGCTGGGCTGCCGGGGAAGGCTGTAGATTCTTCAGTGAGGCCCGAGGTGGTGCTGTCCTCAGTGAACAGTGTTGTGTGAGTTGAGGCTGGCCGGCTGTGGAAGGTTGTAGGCTCTTCACCACGAACTGAGGTTGTGGTGCTGCGAGGGAACACTGTGGTTTCAGTTGAGCCTGGGCTGCTGCTGTAGACGGTGGTAGATTCCTCACTGAGGCCTGGCGTGGTGGTGCTGGCAGGTGACACTGTTGAGTGAGTAGAACCTGGTTGGCTACGGGAGGTGGTGGATTCTTCACCGACGCCTAGGCTTGTCATACTGGCAGGTGAGAGTGTTGTGGTTGGTGATCTGGGGCTGCTGTAGAAGGTGGTAGATGCCTCACTGAGGCCTGGTGTTGTGGTACTGCCAGGTAACGTTGTTATTTCAGTTGAGCCTGGACTGATGCGTGAGGTTGTAGATTCTCCACGACCTGAGGTTGTGGAGTGGGCAGATGAGGGTGTTGTTCCACTTGCATCTGGGCTGCTGTGGAATATTGTTGATTTCTCACTGTGGCCCGAAGTTGTGGAGCTGGCAGGGAAGTGTGTTGTTGGAGTCGAGCCTGGGCTGCGGTGGTAGGTTGTAGATTCTTCAACAGGGGCTGTTGCGGTGCTAGGAGGTGAAGGCGTCGTGTGAGTTGAGGCTGGGTGGGTCTGGAAGGTGGTAGATTCTCCCTGAAGTCCAGGGCTTGTGGAGCTGGCAGGGGACAGTGTTGTGCGTGGTGAGCCAGTGCTGCTGTGGACGCGTGTAGATGCTTCAACGATGCCTGAGCTTGTGGTGCTGTCAGGGAAGAGTGTTGTGTGAGTGGAGCCTGGGCTGCTGTGGAAGGTTGTAGATTCTTGACCAAAGGATAAGGCTGTGGTACTGCCAGGGGACAGTGCTGTGTCAGTTGAACCTGGGCTGCTGTGGGAAGTTGTTGATTCCTGACTGGGGCCTGAGGTGGTGGTGCTGGCAGGTAACAGTGTTGTATCCGTTGAGCCTGGGCTGCTGTGGGAAGTTGTAGAATGCCGACTGAGGCCTGGCGTGGTGGTGCTGTCAGGGAATGCTGTTGTGTGCGTTGAGCCTGGTTGACTGTGGGATGTGCTGGATTCTTCACTGACGCCTGAGCTTGTTGTGGTTGCAGGTGAGAGTGTTGCATCTGGTGATCTGGGGCTAGTGTAGAAGGTGGTTGATTTCTCACTGAGGCTTGGTGTTGTGGGACTGCCGGGTAAAGTTGTTGTTTCGGTTGAGCTTGGACTGAGGCGTGAGGGTGTGGATTCTCCAACGAGGCCAGAGGTGGTGGAGCGGGCAGGTGAGAGTGTTGTTCCAGTTGAGCCTGAGCTGCTGGGAAAGGTAGTTGATTCCTCACCGAGGTCTGCGGTTGTGAGTGTGGCAGGTAACCCTGTTTGGGTGGAGGCTGGGCTGCCGGGGAAGGCTGTAGATTCTTCAGTGAGGCCCGAGGTGGTGCTGTCCTCAGTGAACAGTGTTGTGTGAGTTGAGGCTGGCCGGCTGTGGAAGGTTGTAGGCTCTTCACCACGAACTGAGGTTGTGGGGGTGCGAGGGAACACTGTGGTTTCAGTTGAGCCTGGGCTGCTGCTGTAGACGGTGGTAGATTCCTCACTGAGGCCTGGCGTGGTGGTGCTGGCAGGTGACACTGTTGAGTGAGTAGAACCTGGTTGGCTACGGGAGGTGGTGGATTCTTCACCGACGCCTAGGCTTGTCATACTGGCAGGTGAGAGTGTTGTGGTTGGTGATCTGGGGCTGCTGTAGAAGGTGGTAGATGCCTCACTGAGGCCTGGTGTTGTGGTACTGCCAGGTAACGTTGTTATTTCAGTTGAGCCTGGACTGATGCGTGAGGTTGTAGATTCTCCACGACCTGAGGTTGTGGAGTGGGCAGATGAGGGTGTTGTTCCACTTGCATCTGGGCTGCTGTGGAATATTGTTGATTTCTCACTGTGGCCCGAAGTTGTGGAGCTGGCAGGGAAGTGTGTTGTTGGAGTCGAGCCTGGGCTGCGGTGGTAGGTTGTAGATTCTTCAACAGGGGCTGTTGCGGTGCTAGGAGGTGAAGGCGTCGTGTGAGTTGAGGCTGGGTGGGTCTGGAAGGCGGTAGATTCTCCCTGAAGTCCAGGGCTTGTGGAGCTGGCAGGGGACAGTGTTGTGCGTGGTGAGCCAGTGCTGCTGTGGACGCGTGTAGATGCTTCAACGATGCCTGAGCTTGTGGTGCTGTCAGGGAAGAGCGTTGTGTGAGTGGAGCCTGGGCTGCTGTGGAAGGTTGTAGATTCTTGACCAAAGGATAAGGCTGTGGTACTGCCAGGGGACAGTGCTGTGTCAGTTGAACCTGGGCTGCTGTGGGAAGTTGTTGATTCCTGACTGGGGCCTGAGGTGGTGGTGCTGGCAGGTAACAGTGTTGTATCCGTTGAGCCTGGGCTGCTGTGGGAAGTTGTAGAATGCCGACTGAGGCCTGGCGTGGTGGTGCTGTCAGGGAATGCTGTTGTGTGCGTTGAGCCTGGTCGGCTGTGGGAGGTGGTGGATTCTTCACTGACGCCTGAGCTTGTCGTGCTGGCAGGTGAGAGTGTTGTGGCTGGTGATCTGGGGCTACTGTGGAAAGTGGTAGATTTCTCACTGAGGCCTGGCGTTGTGGTACTGCCGGGTAACGCTGTCGTTTCCATTGAGCCTGAACTGATGGGTGAGGTCGTAGATTCTCCAAGAAGAACTGAGGTTGTGGAGCGGGCAGGTAGGACTATTGTTCCCGTTGCGTCTTGGCTGCTGTGGGATGCTGTTGATTCCTCACTACGGCCTGAGGTTGTGGAGCTGTCAGGGAAGTGTGTTGTTGCAGTTGAGCCCGGGCTGCTGTGGTAGCTGGTAGGTTCTTCAACAAGGGCAGATGTGGTGCTAGGAGGTGAAGATATTGTGTGTGTTGTGCTGCTGTGGGAAGTTCTTGATTCTTCACTACGACCTGAAGCTGTGGAGCTTTCAGGGAAGTGCATTGTTTGAGTTGAGCCCGGGCTGCTGTGGTACGCCGTAGATTCTTCAACGAGGCCTGAGGTTGTGGAGCGGGCAGGCGAGGGTGTTGTTGCAGTTGCAACTGGGCTGCTGTGGACTGTTGTCGATTCCTCACTACGGCCCAAGGTTGTGGAGCTGGCAGAAAAGTGGGTTGTTGGAGTTGAGCTCGGGCTGCCGTGGGAGGTTGTAGATAGCTCAACAAAGGCTGATGTGGTAGTAGGAGGTGCAGGCATAGTGTCCTTTGAGCTTGGCCAGCTCTGGAAGGTGGTAGATTCTCCCTGACGTGTTGTAGAGCCGGCAGGGGACAGTGTTGTGTGTGGCGATCCAGTGCTGCTGTGGACGGGCGTAGATGCTTCAAGGAGGCCTGAGGCTGTGGTGTTGTCAGGTAAGAGTGTTGTTTCAGTGGAGCCTGGGCTGCTGTGGAAAGTAGTAGATTCTGGACCAAGGGATGATGCTGTGGTACTGCCAGGGGACAATGTTGTGTCTGTGGAGCCTGGGCTGCTGTGGGAAGCTGTAGATTCCTGACTGACGCCTGGCATGGTGGTACTGCCAGGGAATGCTGTTGTGTGCGTTGAGCCTGGTCGGCTGTGGGAGGTGGTGGATTCTTCACTGACGCCTGAGCTTGTCGTGCTGGCAGGTGAGAGTGTTGTGTCCGGTGATCTGGGGCTACTGTAGAAGGTGGTAGATTTCTCACTCAGGCCTGCTGTTGTGGTACTGCCAGGTAACGCTGTTGTTTCCGTTGAGCCTGAACTGATGGGTGACGTTGTAGGTTCTCCAACAAGAACTGAGGTTGCAGAGCGGGTAGGGAAGAGTGCTGTTCCAGTTGCACCTGGGCTGCTGTGGACTGTTGTTGATTCCTCACTACGGCCCAAGGTTGTGGAACTGGCAGAAAAGTGTGTTGTTGGAGTTGAGCTCGGGCGGCTGTGGTAGGTTGTGGATACTTCAACAGGGGCTGCTGTGGTGCCGGGAGGTGAAGGTGTTGTGTCACTTGAGCTTGGCCAGCTCTGGAAAGTGGTAGATTCTTCCTGAAGGCCAGCGCTTGTGGAGCTGGCAGGGGTCAGTGTTGTGTGTAGCGAGCCAGTGCTGCTGTGGGTGGGTGTAGATGCCTCCACGAGGCCTGAGGTTATGGTGTCGTCAGGTAAGAGTGTGGTTTCAGTGTCGCCTGGGCTGCTGTGGAAGGTTGTAGATTGTTGACCAAGGGATGAGGCTGTGGTACTGCCAGGGGACAGTGTTGCCTCTGTTGAGCCTTGGCTGCTGTGGGAAGTTGTAGGTTCCTGACTGAGGTCTGAGGTGGTGGTGCTGTCAGGGAATGCTGTTGTGTGCGTTGAGCCTGGTTGACTGTGGGATGTGCTGGATTCTTCGCTGACGCCTGAGCTTGTTGTGGTTGCAGGTGAGAGTGTTGCATCTGGTGATCTGGGGCTAGTGTAGAAGGTGGTTGATTTCTCACTGAGGCTTGGTGTTGTGGGACTGCCAGGTAAAGTTGTTGTTTCGGTTGAGCTTGGACTGAGGCGTGAGGGTGTGGATTCTCCAACGAGGCCAGAGGTGGTGGAGCGGGCAGGTGAGAGTTTTGTTCCAGTTGAGCCTGAGCTGCTGGGAAAGGTAGTTGATTCCTCACCGAGGTCTGCGGTTGTGAGTGTGGCAGGTAACCCTGTTTGGGTGGAGGCTGGGCTGCCGGGGAAGGCTGTAGATTCTTCAGTGAGGCCCGAGGTGGTGCTGTCCTCAGTGAACAGTGTTGTGTGAGTTGAGGCTGGCCGGCTGTGGAAGGTTGTAGGCTCTTCACCATGAACTGAGGTTGTGGTGCTGTGAGGGAACACTGTGGTTTCAGTTGAGCCTCGGCTGCTGCTGTAGACGGTGGTAGATTCCTCACTGAGGCCTGGCGTGGTGGTGCTGGCAGGTGACACTGTTGAGTGAGTAGAACCTGGTTGGCTACGGGAGGTGGTGGATTCTTCACCGACGCCCAGGCTTGTCATGCTGGCAGGTGAGAGTGTTGTGGTTGGTGATCTGGGGCTGCTGTAGAAGGTGGTAGATGCCTCACTGAGGCCTGGTGTTGTGGTACTGCCAGGTAACGTTGTTATTTCAGTTGAGCCTGGACTGATGCGTGAGGTTGTAGATTCTCCACGACCTGAGGTTGTGGAGTGGGCAGATGAGGGTGTTGTTCCACTTGCATCTGGGCTGCTGTGGAATATTGTTGATTTCTCACTGTGGCCCGAAGTTGTGGAGCTGGCAGGGAAGTGTGTTGTTGGAGTCGAGCCTGGGCTGCGGTGGTAGGTTGTAGATTCTTCAACAGGGGCTGTTGCGGTGCTAGGAGGTGAAGGCGTTGTGTGAGTTGAGGCTGGGTGGGTCTGGAAGGCAGTAGATTCTCCCTGAAGTCCAGGGCTTGTGGAGCTGGCAGGGGACAGTGTTGTGCGTGGTGAGCCAGTGCTGCTGTGGACGCGTGTAGATGCTTCAACGATGCCTGAGCTTGTGGTGCTGTCAGGGAAGAGTGTTGTGTGAGTGGAGCCTGGGTTGCTGTGGAAGGTTGTAGATTCTTGACCAAAGGATAAGGCTGTGGTACTGCCAGGGGACAGTGCTGTGTCAGTTGAACCTGAGCTGCTGTGGGAAGTTGTTGATTCCTGACTGGGGCCTGAGGTGGTGGTGCTGGCAGGTAACAGTGTTGTATCCGTTGAGCCTGGGCTGCTGTGGGAAGTTGTAGAATGCCGACTGAGGCCTGGCGTGGTGGTGCTGTCAGGGAATGCTGTTGTGTGCGTTGAGCCTGGTCGGCTGCGGGAGGTGGTGGATTCTTCACTGACGCCTGAGCTTGTCGTGCTGGCAGGTGAGAGTGTTGTGGCTGGTGATCTGGGGCTACTATGGAAAGTGGTAGATCTCTCACTGAGGCCTGGCGTTGTGGTACTGCCGGGTAACGCTGTCGTTTCCATTGAGCCTGAACTGATGGGTGAGGTCGTAGATTCTCCAAGAAGAACTGAGGTTGTGGAGCGGGCAGGTAGGACTATTGTTCCCGTTGCGTCTTGGCTGCTGTGCGATGCTGTTGATTCCTCACTACGGCCTGAGGTTGTGGAGCTGTCAGGGAAGTGTGTTGTTGCAGTTGAGCCCGGGCTGCTGTGGTAGCTGGTAGGTTCTTCAACAAGGGCAGATGTGGTGCTAGGAGCTGAAGATATTGTGTGTGTTGTGCTGCTGTGGGAAGTTGTTGATTCTTCACCACGGCCTGAAGTTGTGTCGCTTTCAGGGAAGTGCATTGTTTGAGTTGAGCCCGGGCTGCTGTGGTAGGTCGTAGATTCTTCAACGAGGCCTGAGGTTGTGGAGCGGGCAGAAATGTGGGTTGTTGGAATTGAGCTCGGGCTGCCGTGGGAGGTTGTAGATGGCTCAACAAAGGCTGATGTGGTAGTAGGAGGTGCAGGCCTAGTGTCCTTTGAGCTTGGCCAGCTATGGAATGTGGTAGATTCTCCCTGACGGGTTGTAGAGCCGGCAGGGGACAGTGTTGTGTGTGGCGATCTGGTGCTGCTGTGGACGGGCATAGATGCTTCAAGGAGTCCTGAGGCTGTGGTGTTGTCAGGTAAGAGTGTTGTTTCAGTGGAGCCTGGGCGGCTGTGGAAGGTAGTATATTCTGGACCAAGGGATGATGCTGTGGTACTGCCAGGGGACAATGTTGTGTCTGTGGGGCCTGGGCTGCTGTGGGAAGCTGTAGATTCCTGACTGAGGCCTGGCATGGTGGTACTGCCAGGGAATGCTGTTGTGTGTGTTGAGCCTGGTCGGCTGTGGGAGGTGGTGGATTCTTCACTGACGCCTGAGCTTGTCATGCTGGCAGGTAAGTGTGTTGTGTCTGGTGATCTGGGGCTACTGTAGAAAGTGGTAGATTTCTCACTGAGGCCTGGTTTTGTGGTACTGCCGGGTAACGCTGTGGTTTCCATTGAGCCTGAACTGATGGGTGAGGGCGTCGAGTCTCCAACAAGAACTGAGGGTGTAGAGCCGGCAGGTAAGACTGTTGTTGCCATTGCATCTGGGCTGCTGTGGGATGCTTTTGATTCCTCACTACGGCCTGAGATTGTGGAGCTATCACGGAAGTGTGTTGTTTCAGTTGAGCCCAGGCTGCTGTGGTAGCTTGTATGTGCTAGGGCAGCTGTGGTGCTAGGAGTTGAAGATTTTGTGTGTGTTGTGCTGCCGTGGAAAGTTGCTGATTCTTCACTATGGCCTGAAGTTGTGGAGCTTTCAGGGAAGTGCATTGTTTGAGTTGAGCCCGGGCTCCTGTGGTAGGCTGTAGATTCTTCA